>NC_000002.12:56250958-56553988 GCF_000001405.40 Homo sapiens
CCTTTCTATTTACTCTTTTTCCTTCCATTTTAGTTTAGTTCTGTCTTTTGTGTGTCTGTGTTTTCCATTCATTTTATACGTTTCTGGTCTGACACTTTATTACCTAGTGTTGTCTGTGCTGTATGTTTCATCAGTTCTTTCCTCCCCCAGAGGTATCTCCTGGGATCTATAAATAGTACTGCAACAATGTGTTGGTGAACTTTGGGTGAACAAAGGGTATGGGTCGCTTTAGACCTTTCTTAAGGCAGCCCTGTGTTGAGGGCTCTGTTTTCTCCTGTAGGCAGCAAATCCTTTGTGAGCCCAAGTTTGCCCAGTGCCTGGTATATATTAGGTGCTTAGTGAATATTTGTTGAACACATGGATGTATTATCTGAAAATGTTGGGCCCATATGAGTGGAAAATAAGGGTTGCTGTTTGGGAAAAAGTTGACGAGTTTCATGTGAGTTTTCCTCTGGGAATAGTGGCCTTGCCAGTTTGGTTGCTGTTTAGTCTTGACACTTTCTTCTACAAATGCTTATTTTCTGTGGGTTCTGCTGTTTCTTTTTCCTTCTCTATTAATAAATATTGTTTGTATCATGTTGCAACCTCCTCTTTGGCTTAACCTCCCTTGGTCTGTGTTGGTGGTGGCAGGGTCTGTTTGCTCCTTCCTTCATTGCTGTCTCAGTGGCAGCTCCTTTCTTCTTCTTTACCTGCTCTGCCTCTTCTTGCTGTTCCTGTTCTTATTATTGGGACTCCTTGTCTACTCTCCCTTCTTTGGTCCTTTTACTGATTTTTTTTTTGCCTTCTTGAGCATCATGGGGCTTGGTCTTTTTAGGATAAGGACCAGGAAGCTCTGCTGCACTACTCCAGGATGGGCACTGGAAGTGAAAAGAACCCTGAACAAGTGGAATGCCCGTAGCAGGAGAGAAGGTGGCTGATTTCTTTTTTTTCCTTTGTGTTTATTTTATTTTATTATTATTATACTTTAAGTTTTAGGGTACATGTGCACAACGTGCAGGTTTGTCGGATAGTCTGTGCTATTCAGTTTGACCTAGTCTTTTATGTCTCTGTGGGCTTCATCCCCTCATAGTTTCCCTGGCTGTATCATCAACTATTTTTTTTTTTTTTTGAAATGGACTCACACTGTCCCCGGGGTTGGAGTGCAATGGCTCAATCTTGGCTCACTGCATCCTCTGCCTCCCAGGTTCAAGCGATTCTCCTGCCTCAGCCTCCCGAGTAGCTGGAATTACAGGTGCCTGCCACCATGCCCAGCTAATTTTTTGTATTTTTAGTAGAGACAGGGTTTCCCTGTGTTGGCCAGGCTGGTATCGAATACCTGACCTTGTGATCCACCTGCCTCGGCCTCTCAAAGTGCTGGGATTATAGGCGTGAGCCACTGCGCCTGACCTCATCAACTATTTTTTAAGTACTTAACTAGGCCAGGTATTGTAGGGTCAATGACAGGGAAACTCAGCCTGCTTCTGTGGAGCTTAGGCTCTCATGGGGGTGTGTCAGATGTTAATCAAATAACGTAAAATTGCAGCTGTGAAAATGCATAGTACGTAAAAGGAGAATTGCACTATGATCAGGCTGCTCTGGGTATTTTTTTTTTAGGTTTATTATACTTTAAGTTCTGGGATACGTGTGCAGAATGTGCAGGTTTGTTACATAGGTATACACGTGCCATGGTGGTTTGCTGCACCCATCAACCCGTCATCTACATTAGGTATTTCTCCTAATGTTATCCCTCCTCGGGCCCCCCCGCCCAACCGACAGGCCCCAGTGTGTGATGTTCCCCTCCCTGTGTCCATGTGTTCTCGTTGCTCAACTCCCACCTATGAGTGAGAACATGTGGTGTTTGGTTTTCTGTTCTTGTGTTAGTTTGCTGAGAATGATGGTTTCCAGCTTCATCCATGTCCCTGCAAAGGACATGAATTCATCCCTCGGTATTTTTAAAAGCCTTTTATACTACTCGGGAGGCTGAGGCAGGAGAATCACTTGAACTGGGGAGGCGGAGGTTGCAGTAAGCCAAGATCGCGCCACTGCACTCCAGTCTGGGTGACAAAGCAAGACTCCATCTCAAAATAAATAAATAAATAAATAAATAACAAAAAAAGTAAAATATACAGACAGAAGAAGACTGTTCTTATTATAGGTGTATAGCTCAGCAAACTTGCACAAACTCAACACTCCTGTGTAGCTTTCACTCACATTAAGAAACAGAATTTTACCAGCACCCAGAAGCCCCCTCTTGTTTTCTTCAAGTCCCTACGCCCATCAAGGATAAACTGTGATTGAAACTTCTAACACCATAAGCTGCTTTAGAGATTTTTGTCTAGAGCAAGAGACTAGAAAAGATTCTTGAGGAAAGTATTGCCTGAGCTGAGAGCTGAAGAATGAGTAGGACAGGAGCTAGGGTGAAGATCAAGGGAAGAGTTTCCAGGCAAGAGATCTCATGGGAGGGAGCAGGAAGCATGTAAAGAACAAGAAGACCAGAGCGGGTTGGAAAGAGAAGGGCTCCTAGTACAGTATGTGGTAGGGTCTCCTGAGCCATAGTACAGGTTTCATCTCATCCTAAAAGCAGCTGAGTTAGGGAGGGGAGAATTAAATTTGAATTTGAAAGAGATCACTCAGAGAGGAGAATGGATTGAATAGGGGTCAGGGTGAATAAGAGAAGACTAGTTAAAAAAGTTATTGCAATATTCTAAGCTGGAGAGGAGGTGGCCTAGTCAAGGCTGATGGTAGCAATGCATAGAAGAGAGTGGATTCAAGAGATGTTTCGGAGCAAAGATTGATAGGACTTATTGATGGATTAGCCATAGAGACCAACAGGAAGAAGTGTCAGGGATGATTTCTAAGTTTCTGCTTGAAAACATGCAAGAATGGGGATGCCAGTTGCTGAGATTGTGTGCTAGCTTAAATAAAATGTTTCCTCACAATGTAGATTTGGGACAAAGGACAGGTGTGATTGGTTTTGTGCCCATCTGAGTGGACATTGGCTTTGATGGCTATGAGTCATGACTGGCACATATGGGTATTAAATGAAAGTGCCATATTTACTTGTGTATCTCCTTGCTTATTTCCCTCAACTCTAGTCTTAAGGAAGATACATGTGCATGCACACACATATACACATATACATATATGTGCACATACACATATATATGTGTTTCAATGCATGGTTTACATACATTTTCCCTCTTAGCAGGCAGGGTTAGCTGGAGTAATTGTTCAGGTATTTGAAGAAATGAGAAAGGCTGTTAAATTTGATGAATGTGAAAAAATTAATACCTACCTCCTGTTCATAGTTCATAAAGTTGTCTTAACATTCTCGGAGGGTTCCCAGCAGTTTCTCTGGTGATGCTGTGTCGGTGTTATTGATGCTGTCTCTTTGTTCTTGGGGTGGTGGTGGTAGCAGTGGTATCAAGGATAAAAATGTGGACCCCATCCTGAAACAATTAAATAGAGATACGACATTTATTCCTATATCAGTCATGTATGATAATGCCATATTGATTAATTAATTCATGTGAAAAACCAAGTGTTTCACCAAGCACTGTGTTAGACATGGCAGAAACAAAAAATGAGCAACACTGTCTCAGTTCACAAGTGTTTATTCATTTCTTACTTTCCGCTGTTCTAGACTGGGTTTTAATGGTGAACTAAAATACGCATGGTGTCCCTGATCTCATGGAGCCCATGGCTAGAAGAGGAGATGGACATTAATCAAATAACCAACAAATAAATAACACTGATGTGTACTATAAGGGAAAAATATAGGTGTCATGACAGCATATAAGTAGGGGACTGGATCTAGCCAGGGACATCAGCAGAGGCTTCCCTGAAGAAGTGATGATTAAGTTGAAAGAAGAATAGTATCACTTGGGCAAGAGAGGATGGAGAGAAGAGCATTTTGTCTGATGGGGTAGTTTGATGAGGCAGGAGTGAAAGCAGGCTAGGTTATATGTGAAGAACACATGAACCCCTTGATTCCAGGGACTTAGCATCACAAAGGTTTGCTTCTTCCTCTCACTACATGAATGATGTAGCTTGGTGAGGAGGTTCTGTTCTTTATAGGTATTCTGGGACACCGCTGATGAAGGCTTCCCTCTCTGAGCATTGCTGTTGGTGTGGCAGAGGAGAAAACATGGACTTATCACACCTTGCTCTTCTCTGTTCCCACCTGGAAGTGACCCATATTACTTCTGCCCATGGTCCATTGGCCAGACTGACCACATGGCCCCACTTCACGGCAAGGAACTGGGTGGTATAGTTTTCTGTAAGAGGTTATAATAGCATTTACTGAAGTGATGCTTATGGCTATGTGGAAGAAATAAAGCATATCAGTGACTATGCAAATAATGTCCCAGAGTGATTTGTTGGCTGCTAAAATGTGGGTGGTGAAGAAGGAGAGGGAGTCAAAAAGGGGGAGGTAGCCTTTAGCTCCTAGGTAAGTGGTAGAATTAAGGAACCATTCACAAGGTTGAGGAAGGGATAGACAGGGTGATAAGTAAAAGATGGTAAGAACTGTACCTTGGGGAACACAAAGATATAGCTGGCACCAGGAGAAAAAAGAGTCATCAGAGGAGACAGAAGAGGAGCAAAGGATAGTGATTGGGAGTTTTCACAGCCAGGATAAGGGGCCTTTCAGAAGGAAGGAGGGCCCAGCTGTGTCAAATGCCCTACACGTTAAAGAAGATGGAGAATAAGACCAGGTCATTGGGCTGGGAATGGAGGAGGTCATTGATGATCTTCTAGGAAGGAGAAAGAAATGATGGAATCATGTGAGACTCTTAAAGTCATGGGTTGGGGTTTTTGTTGTTGTTGTTGTTGTTTTGTTTTATGAGGGATAGAGGAGAATAAATCCTGAACATGGTGATAGGTACAGAATGAAAGAGAGAATGAACACAGGAAAAATAAGATTTAGAAGAGACAAGAGTGGAAGAAATACAGGGTTAACATTGGTAACAAGGAGTCACATTTCCTTCTTAGAGGTAAGAGCAATAGATGGGAGGAGAGTTTGGAAAAACAAATATTTGAGATAATGAATGGCTTGATAGGAGAGATGAACAGATGTACATATCCTATGTAGAATTCAAGATCCTTAGAAGTTAACTGCTCATAATCCTGAAATATACAATAAATTGCATGGCAGGACTGCAAATTCAAGTTAGCTCAAAAAAGGCTCAGAATTCAGATATGCTTTGATTACAGGTCAAAATGCAGAGGACCCTATGAAAGGGCTATTGTTGGAAAATTAAAAACAATAGTAAATGTTGCATTTTCTGGAATTGTGCATTGGCTATTATATTATTTCTATGGGAATATAGAATGAACCTCCTGGTTGGAATTGACTACACATCTTTTTAAGCAGAGTCAAGGCACCTTTTAGGATGGTGTATGAGAATTAATTAATGGGAATATCTTTCAGATGTCAGAAATCTGCTTATTATTACTATTTATTAAGTGGGCACAATGTGTCCTTGGTGGCCTATTGATCAGTGTTATCATTTTAAAACCTGTCAGTCTAGCTGTGAATTACCTAAAGAAAATTCAATTATAAAGTAGTTCACTAAAATAGCTCATGCATAAGGAGGGAATGAATTGTACCGATTGGAATTAATTCGCAACTCAGATATTTTCTAGGGGATAGGTCTTCTTTGTTCGCTGTAAAAATTCAAAGTAGGGCAGGCCCTTTTTATCCTCATTTAGGAGCCCTGCAGTTGACTTAGGTATTGTTTCATTGGATTTGACTCCCTTGCCCAGGCAGATAAATATAACCTTCCTGGCCTAATGTCTGAGTGGCATGAATGACTGCCACTTACATTTGGTAAATTCCCTGTGACTTCAGAAGTTGTGAAAAGTCTGAACAGCCCTGCAGACTCGTCTGAAAAGATTAAAAAGTAAATCAGGTTCCAGTTGTAAAGTGTTGCTGAATGAGGGCCATTTATTTTTCATTTTGTGCTTGAAGGTTTTAAAAATAACTGGTAGTAATTTCAAACAGATTCAAATTGTCAAACATGTTTGAGAGGGAAAGGGAAAGAGCTTGTTTATAGGGGGAACATTCAACTGAAGTCCATATAGTACTGCCCTTCTGATACCATGAATGTCAATAAACTCACTCTCCATGGCTCAGTGTATGATAGACCTCAGTTTGCTTTTATTCAGTTTGTAAAACATTTAGTGAATACCTTCTGTGTGCGAGATGCTATGGTGTGAACATTCTGAAAGCAAAAACTTAAGTACGTTTCAGTCCCTGACATAAGGTATCTTCGAGTACCACTGTGTTGGGGAGATGGTGGCAAGGCATTAGTTAATTATAATGCAGTCCAGAATGTGATGGCTGTCACAATGGGGCCCAACGTACTGTAGGAGTTCAAAGAATGAAGGCAATATTTTCAATTAAAGGATTAGGAAAACTTTCATGAACAAGATAGTATTTGAAGTGAGACCTAAATTAAGAGGTGAAGCCATGTTATGGTGGGATAGTGAAAGAGGAAAATAAACAGCTAGGGGCAAGCATACGACGAGGGGCCAAAAACAATGGAGGAAAACATGAGAGGTGGGAGAAGTTAGGGTTGTGGAGTCAAGCAGTCAAGCAAGTCTAGTGGGGAGGAAGTTACATGAAAAACATCTGGGAGGAAGGTAGGTTTGGGCATATTGTGGAGGTCTTAGGTGATTGTGTAAGGAATTTTGACACTCTTTTGAGTGGAGGAGTGGGATAATAAAACATTTAAAAGAAACTCAATCAGGTGTTTTTTCAGGTATCTACAAGGCGAATTAGAGAACAGATACTGAAGGCAGGGAGATGAGTTAGGAAGCTATTGTGATGTTATACATGAGAAATGATGAGGATCTGAACAAGGAGAGGCCCTCTCTGAACCTGACATGGAGGAGAAGATATAAAAGATGTTGTAGATGCCAAATCTTTGAATATTAGCAACTGATGGAGGGGGAGAGAAAGGTAATGAAGATGGTGGTAAGATGTTGACATCATTTTCACCAACAGAAATAAAAAATCATCAGTAAGGGCTGTTCTTTAATCAGCTATTATAATGGGTTTGGATTTATACTTTCTTAAATCATAGCCATGTTAGGATTTATCAGAGATGTTCTCCTTTGAGGTGTTGACTTGGTAACTGTACATGATATTGAAGGAGTGAATTGGCTTCCGAGTAGGGAGTGTGAGAATGCAGGGGATGGAGAACAGGGTCCCACAGCAAACCTGCAGGTAAGAGGTGGGGGAGGCCATGGAAGCATGGCTGTGGGAGAAGATGAAGAAGAATGAAGCTGGTGCTGTGGTACAGAAGCCAATGGAACAAAGAGTTTGGAAAAGGAGGGTACTGGAAAGAACATAGAATGAGAAAATGTCTGTTGATTTATTAATTTAAATCTCACTTAAAACCAGGGTGTAAGAAGTTATGGGGTGAGAGGGTGGTATAAAAGGAAAGACAGTGTGTTTTTCCATGTCAGCAGATAGGCCACACTCTCCCTGCCATACCTCACCACCCCTCGTCAGACTTCATTATCCGATATGGCCTGAGCTTGGCCTGAGTCCTTCTCCACAGAGAGTTATGGAGAGAGTCTACCAGACTTGGCCTGGGATGAGACTGTTTGGCATCCCAGTTTAGACTCTCTCATGCAGAATTTTGGTAGAATGGGATAGATAGCAAAATCTAGGACAGGAGAGACCGGAATATATCTGTGGCAGGGATAAAGTTTGCAGACAAAATTTAAATTGAACTGTAAGAGAAAGTAGTTACCTCATAAAGTTAGATCTTTGCAAAGGCAAGAGGGAAAGAGATCAGGTCTGGGTTTGGCTTGATGAGGAGAGGGGCCATTTCTTCTTGAGAAATGAGGAAGAAACTGAAGTACGGAGATTTTGAAGCAGAATGAAAGGAAATATGGAGGACTTCCAGTTGGATTTCTTCAATCTTCTCTGTAAAATATGGAATGAAGTCCTCTGCTGAGAGTGAGTAGGTGGGTAAGATGTGGAGCTAAGGCTTTTGAGAAAGTTTAGGATAATTGCTGAAGGTCGGGTGACTTAGGGCCAACACTAAATGAATAAAATAATGGTTGGACCACCTTGAAGGCACAGGTGAGGTTGGATGTCATATGGTTATAATGACCTAGGTTATGACTTTTTCCTGCAGCGATTGCTAACTGAGGAGCCGTGCTGTGCTGACCAGTTGGGGTTATCATGTACTAAGGATGGAAAGAGCAAGGAACTTGACAGAAACAGGAAGCCTAGAATGGTGGGGAGTACATTTTTGACACTGTTTTTGGGTAAGGCTTGTTTTTTTATGGATGGGATCATATGCATTGATTGCCTCACCATCCATATTCCTAGAGGCTGGCCTATTGGAAGTAAGTCCTTCAGATGGCAAAGAGCAGAGGAGACATGAGAGAAAGCTGTGACCAAGGAGCCAATGGGCCCTGGCTTCCCCGGCACCATATCCCAGCCTATTGCTCCAGTGCCTCCCTCGCTGGGCTCAGGCCTCTCCAATCCCTGGCCATACTGAGTAGGACAAGGAATGTGCCCACTGGGAGCTTCCAGTCCATGGTGGGTGAAGGTAGAATTAGTTATGCTTCTGTACTCCTGGGTCTGGTCCTTGGATGCCCATAAAGTTGTAGCTTTCACCTGATCCTCCTGGCATTTTCAGAAGGCACATGCTTTAACTTCAGCTAGTGTTTCTCTTTGAGTCTGGGACCATTCAAAACTCTGCCTGCCTGGCTGGAGCTGTGTCACCTTCCTAGATCTTCCCAGAGCCTATTCTCCAAGGACTAGAAATTTCACCATTAGCCAAAGTTCTGCCCTTAATGGACTTAAAACCAGGAAGCTTCTTTGTCTTTCTTGCCAAATTGGGCCTCTTCAGTACTGATGATGACACATGTCAGACTTGATTTCTCCTTGCCTTTCTGGACACAGAATGCTAAACTTCTCATTACTCATCTTAAGGGCCAGGTTGATAGCTGGATCATCTTCACCAAACTCAAGTGGGGCCTTTTCCTTATGAATCTATGTTGCGGGGACTTCATTGGCTATCCTGCTAAAGTGTTGTCATATTTGAATAGGGGGATTTAATCAAGGTACTCATGGTAGTGAGTTTAGCACCCAAACTAGCATTTAAGACAATAAAAGAGAAGTAGGATCTGAAGGGAACCAGATGGTCAAAGAGCAGGGAAGACTGATGGGAACCAGAAAAATACCAATGTGAAAATCAGTGTGCATCTTGGAGGCTGCACAGATAGTGTGGGACCACAATAATATGGGAAAATGGACCAAAAAATAGACAAACTCATGCTGTCCCTGAAACACCATTGGTCTCCTGCTGGAGTAGTGATTTTGTTGAGCTTGGTTTTCCCAGGGATCTCAGCTAGAACTGGAGTGAGGGTGGGAGTAAAAAGAATCTGACAGGGAACCACAAGAATCTTTCCTTTGATCAGTGTTCTTTTCAAGAAGATGTTTGCCACTGTCCATAATATAAGTCATGCTTGAAATAAAACTTTAGTGGAGCAAATTTATTCAAGTCTGGGCTTACACAAACATGATAAATTTGTCCAATCTTTTTTTAGCTGCTCTAATGTCATGGTAGCTTTTTTGCCTGCAGGAGTAGCAATGTGATCTGGCTCCATAGTTCAGCCTGTTGAGCAGGGCAGGGCTGTATTAGTAGTCACATTACATTCATGACCTTCACTAGGCATTGCTGCCAGGAAGCATCATTTGAAGGTGACGTTGCCTGGAGTTGGCATAAACCTCACTGGCTGTGGAATGTATATGTGTATGGTACATACATGTTCAGACAACCTTGTTCAGGTTATTACTTTAGTAAAGGAAAAGGTCATTTAGACATATAAAAGAGTGTCCTCTTTTAGAATAATGATTCTATTTGTTGGCTAACTGTCTTATTTAGCCAGAATTGTCTCTCTATTGCTTGAGGGAGTTTAACCTTTGATTATTAGAACTCCTATTTCTTATAGAACTTGCCTTCACAAAAAATAATAATTTTCAAAATACACATTGGCATTACAAAAGCATCTTGTGCAAATTTAGTGGGTTCTTTTAAAGACATGAAAACTGTCTGATTTAGTAATGAAGTTGACATAGTACTGAACAGGCATCAGGACCCCTGGGTTTGCATCCTAGGTCACTTTTCCCCAGGTGATCTTGGGAAATTTACAAAGCCTCTTGGAGAAGCAACTTTCTCATCTCTTAAGTGGGGATAATGAAACCTCCTTCATCAGGGAGAATGTGAAAGAAACTGCGGTAGCACTTTAAAAACCATAATGCCATTCTTATAGAGAGACTATACCTTATAGAGAGAAACAGCACTATAAAATAGGTAGTTTATAAGCCCAGGTGTTCTCTCTCTTTTCCCTTTATTGGTGCTGTGTGCACATCACCAATGCATTTGAATGTATTTTACATCCAAAGTGACTCTGGCACAGCCCTGCTGCCATTTTAAACACTCAAACGTTTATCAGTTAACCAAATTCATATGCTAAGATTGTTCTCATTTAAGCCAGTCTGAAATTCAGCATACATTGCACCCTGGTAGTATCACTTTGGTTGTATTCCCACAATGTGTGCTTCATCTTACTTACTTCCATTTACCTGACATTTACTGAGTGAACATCCAATATATGCAAAATATGGTGTTGGATGGTAACATACGCATGTCATGGTCCCTGTCCTCAGGGACTTACCATCTGATGAAATGAAAATAAGCTAGCAGTACATTTGCTGTTTGGAAAGAAGAAACAATGCTAGTGACTTGAAGATGCATCACCTGGATGCTGAGGAGGGTGAGGCACCATGGGCACAGCGAGAACTGACCTGTAGGCTGGTTGGAGGGTGCAAATTGTGTTGTAGGTGAAGTGGATGTTGGAGCACTCTTCACACACCCTTTCATGATATCCTTCACTCATGCACTTTAGCTCTCAACTGCCCAGAGGCCCAGCCTAAGCCAGGTTCTGGCCCCTCTTCCTCAACCACCTTCTTAGGATCCAGTGTCCAGGTGGGCCGCAGTGAAAGAGCTAATGAAAGGCATGATTCATTCATTCATTCATTCATCCAATAAGTAGTGAACATCTGCCATAGGATGTGTTATAGGGCTTTGGAGTATTTTCAGTTAAGAAAATACTCTAATTTCAGCCCAATTTCAGGTGGTGAGATTTTTAGGATTGTTGAGGAAATTTGAGAGGTCAGTGGGAAGATTCAGTCTCCTGTGGCTGTGCAATTACCCCTCCTAAAGGTTAAGCTGATTTTTTCTACTTAAGCCTTAATTGAGGTGTAGATAATGGAGGGGTAATTATTCTGAATTTATTATTGGTTTCAAATTTTCTCATTGTTATTTTAGTATGAATAGGAGTGCATCAGATGTTCTGGGAATTTACTGCAAACAGAATAATAAGGTTCATGCATAAAGACTCAGTTTTTCTGTAACTAATTGCCAGAAATGTTTCTTTTTCTCGGTCTAATACAAATGGACTTCTGCCCAGATTTCCTTGGCTTCTAAGGGTTTTCTCATGAGAAGCCCTGGATTGTGAGAGTAGATGCTTCTGGATAAGTTGGTGTGACTCAAGTGTCCCCAGGTAATCAAGAGGTGTCTTCACCTCACTGGGAGATGCTCATGACCAGTGGTAGCCATCAGTAAACCATTCACACATTGCTAGGTTTCATTAAATTCTCTGTGGTATGTCATAGCAAGTGGCAATTGTATTTGTTAGATACTACAGCAGGATCAGATCTCATGCTCGAAGTCAGTTTAAGGCAGAGTATTGCTATCTCTTGCATCTCAAGATTCTGCTTTCTGATAGAGCCATCACAGGGAAGTTCTTTGGAATAGAGAATGTTCATATGATGCCAGCACAGCAGTTCACATATAGAAAATACAAGTATTCAGCCACATATATGTAACCAGGGCATTTGGTTTGCCCACTTCTCTTCCCACTGGATTACTCCATTAGTTTGGCAAAATATAACTACAGCTTCAATTCCATTGCTTCAAAAATAAGAGGTGCCACAGAGAACATTTTTTTTTTCAAGACCACTTAAAGCATTGATTAACAAAGAGACTAGTGGGGACTAAATGAATACTTAGGTAAGAAAAGCACTAGAAATACTGCAAACAGCACAAAGCAAGTGAAAATACTTAAGTAGAGTGTGTAAAACGTGACCTTTCTTGGGCACTGTGACATCCTATAGAAATACAGTATAATCCTAAAGACAGAGTTCCTGAAAAGAGCCCAGCACCCTTAGGATTGCTGTAGCCCTGATGCATAAGGGGAGAAGATGCCATGGAATTCTTTGTCTTGCACTGCCCAAACACATTCAAAGAGATCTTCTAGATAGTGTTCATAAGTAATAAAACTTGATTAAGAAATCCATTCTTCTTTAAAACTTGAATGAATGCTTGGAGACAGGTAGAATAATTTACTTTTTGCCTTGTGCTCCCTTTGGGAAGACATTCTGTGTAATTGAAATGAAACAGAGCCTCAAACTTCCAGAGTGAGTTTCCATTCCATGCCCCTTCTCTGCCTGTCTGCTCAGAGCCCTGGCCAGGATATTTCCAAGAATGGCCTCCTCAGTTTGCACTCTAGCTGTATATTGGGCTGGTCTTGTGGATGTGCAAGCTGGGTGTGAGGGGGTGTGTATGAGTGTGTGTTCTTGAGAGTCTGTGTCTGTATATATAAGAATATATGCTAGACTGAAAGATGAGTGGGATGACGTAGACACTTGAGCAGCCTTCTTCCTATAGTAGAGAGCATGGCTCTTAGGAACTGCAAGTTGATTCATTCTCCTTTTACACTGGGGCAAATAGGATAATTTATGCAGGATTCCTTCCCAGACTTCTTTGCTTATTTCCTTTTATCTCCTCCAGCTTACACACTATAACACTGGGTTACCTGGGGTTTTAGTCCTTGGCCTTCTTCCTTGTTCTATCTTCCTTCATTCCCTAGGTCAGGGGTGTCCAGTCTTTTGGCTTCCCTGGGCCACACTGGAAGAAGAAGAATTGTCTTGGGCCACACTTAAAATACGCTAACACTAATGATAGCTGATGAGCTAAAAAACAAAATCACAAAAAAATTTCACAATGTCTTAAGGAAGTTTACGAATTTGTGTTGAGTCACATGCAAAGCTGTTCAGGGCTGCATGTGGCCCTCAGGCTGTGGGTTGAACAGACTTGCCTTAGGTGATTTCATCCAGTCTCATGCCATGCATCTAATCTTTATATTATCTCTATGCTATCCACTCTTAAATTTTATCTCCAGCTTGAACTTTCCTTCAGAACTCCAGATTCTTATATCTAACTGCCTATTTGATATTTCTCCTTGAATATCCAGCAGGTTTTCACACCTAACATGTCTAAAATCAAGCTTCTAATATTCCCATCTTCCCCAAAACTGCTCCCCTGGCTGCCTGCCCTGTCTTAACTAAATGGCAACACCATCTTTTCTACTTCTAAGACCAGGATCCTAGGAGTCACCTTTGACTCTCACATCTTGTCTATTTCATACCCAAACCACCTGCAAATCCTTTCAGCTCTATTTTCAAAACATATCCAGAATCCATTCATTTGTTCTACCTATACTGCCAACACCCTGGTCTAAGCCACCATCATTTGTCTCCTGCATTATTACAGTAGCCTTTGAACTGGTCTCCATGCTTCACCCTAGCTTTCTAGTGTCTAGTCTGCATACAACCACCAGAGTCATCCTGTCATTATGTCACTCTTCTATTTACAGCCCTTCCAATTGACTTCACCTTCTTACAGTCTAAATGCAGAATTTCTTGTAGGACTTAAAAGACAGGCCCTCTGTGATCAGGCCTCTGCCTTCTTTCTGCCTCACCTCCCAGCATGCTCCACCTCACTCATTCCTCTCCAGGCCATCTTTGCATTTCTCTTCTTTAGTCACACGAAGTAGGCCCTTGCATGTGCTTTTCCTTCTGCCTTTTGCCTGCAGGTACTTGCATGATTCAGGACTTTATGTAATTCAGGTCTCTGGCAAAATGTCACACTTTTAAGGAGACCTACTTGGACTTGCCTGTGTAAAATAACACAGTAACAACAGCCCCCACCCCTCCAGGTTACCTCTGCCCCTTACCTTCCTTTATTTTTCTCCATAGCACTTGCCACTATGTGACTTCATGACCTGTGATGCTAGACTTTGCTCATGGATGCTCCTGGCATTCCCAAGCCTGAGACAAGGAATAGGAAGAGGGAAAAATGAAAAGGCATTGAAAGGGGAAGGACAAGCCAGAGAAAAGAAGAAAAGCTATCCTTCAGATGCCCCTTTGCCAGATGTGTCAAAGTTGCCTATAGTTGAACAAACTAACTAGAGTAATCTCTTCTATGGAGAGTTCTGCCTGTGTTCTTAACACAGCTACCTGTTAAGATTAACTGTGCTTATGTTTAAAATATATAAGGAACTAAATCTACTTCATAACAAGAAAACAAATAACCCTATTTTAAAAAGGGCAAAGGACCTGAGTAGATACTTCATAACAAGAAAACAAATAACCCTATTTTAAAAAGGGCAAAGGACCTGAGTAGATATTTCTCAAAAGAAGATATACAGATGGCCAACAGGTATATGAAAAAATGCTATTTATCTCTTATCATCAGAGAAATGCAAATTAAAACCACAGTGAGATATCACCTCATACCTGTTATATTGGCTATTATCGAAAAGATGAAAAATAAAAGTGTTGGTGAGGATGTGGAGAAAAGAAAGCCTTGCACACGGTTGGTGGTATTGTAAATTAGTACAGACATTATGGAAAACAGTGTGGAGGTGCCTCAAAAAACTAAAAATGGAATCACCCTTTGATCCAGCAGTCTCACTACTGGGTATATATCCAAAGAAAAGTAAACCAGATTTTGAAGATATATCTGCACTCCCATATTTATTATAGCACTATTCATAGTAGCTAAAATATGGAATCAATCTAAGTGTCCAACAGTAGATGAGTTAATTTTAAAAATGTAGAATATATACACAATGGCATACTATTCAGTCTTTAAAAGGTAGGAAATTCTGTCATTTGCCACATCGTGAATGAACCTAGAGGACATTATGCTAAGTGAAATAAGCCAGACACGGAAAGACAAATATTGCATGATGTCACTTACATGTGAAAAAGTAGATATCATAGACATAGAGAGTAGAATGGTGGTTACCAAAGGCTAGGGGAGTGAGAGTTGCAGGATATGGGTGGGGAAAGGGGAAATGTCAGTCAAAGAGTACAAAGTTTCACTTAGGATAAATAGGTTATAGTGCTCTATTATATAGCATGGTGACTATGATTAATAATAATGTATTGTGTATTTCAAACTAGCTGAAAGAATGTGGTGTGCTGGTATGCCCCTATAGTCCCAACTACTCAGAAGGCTGAGATGGGAGGATTGCTTTAGCCCAGGGGTTTGAATCCAGCCTGGGCAACATAGCAAGACCCTGTTTCTAATAAAAGCAAACCAAATAGCTAAAACAGTGGATTCTCAGGACAAAGAAACGATAAGTATCAGAGGTGATTGATATATTATTAGCCTGATTTGATTATTCCACAATGTATAGATGTATCAAAACATCACATTATGCCCAATAAATATATATAATTGTCAATTAACAATAACGCGCCCCCCCCCCCCATAATCTTCTTCCTCCAAAAAAGATCCATTGTGATTTATGTGAAATGAATTGAAGAAAGCCTTGGGTTTTGCAGATTTCTGGTTTATGGTTTTAATTTTCACTGAGAGTCTTACATGGGATGTCAGCTTCCGGATTACTGTTGTTATTTGAGTTTCTCTGTCCCTTTGCCTCCCTGTGGCGTCTATTGTTGCCTACTTATAGATCTGACCCTTAGTTATGTCCTCTTTATTGGAAAGGAATAGTATCAAGTTGTTCAAATGAAAATCTTTAAAATACGTTAGCAGTAAATTAAGGCTGAAACTATTAACATTCAAGTGAGTGGTGTGGTTTGTTTTGGAGAAAAAGTGAGTAGCTGCCAGACCCATTCCCTACTGAGAGCAAGATATTTGTGGTTTTTCTATTTGTGAGTGTCCATGTGCTTAGGCAAATGAAGACAGCTTTAGCTTTTTTTTTTCTAATATACAATGTAGGGATAGTGTTGTATGTAATTATGGACAATGAAATATGTTCTTGGGCTTGGTTTGTGATATTTCCAACTGAGAAGTAGATGCTGTTCTAAAATGGAACAATTTTCACTGGCCCTAAAAATAGCAATTAACTCCTCCTCTTCCACCCCCCAGACCCCACGCTCTTGCCAGTTCTCCAGTTCTCACCATCCCTAGCGAAGGCTGCAGAATATATTTCAAGCCAGCTCCCTGGGCAGATCTCTTTAACAACCAGTACTGCTATTTCTGATCCTTTTTTTTCCCAACACGACTAGGATCTATGAAAAGATTGATTAAATATGTTGGGAATGATAGTGGTTTCAAGTGCTCATTACCTTTTTACATATGGCGCACACTTAAATCATTTCAACTATGTTTTTATCCATGTTTTTAAAAACTCCTATTTAAAAAGATATTTGGTATATTCAACATAGTACACAGGCCCTTGAGTTCATTCTGACTGGGACCAGATGGGATGACTGTGGGGCGCCAACATAGCTCGAGCATGCTGGCATCCACAGTGAGCCCTGGAGGCTTTTGAGAAGGTTTACTGAGTACACATGGCCCTCATGCAGCATGAAACTGGCTATATTTTAAAAAGTTAACCTCAGAGGAGTGCCAAATAGACCCATATTTCATTGGGAACACTGGAGAGTGGAATTCAGTGTAATTCAAGGCTATTTTGAACTTCTGAATAGAATTACACTTACAATAAAAACTAGCTAAAATCTAACTATCAGGATTTAGATACATCTGAAATTTCTCCTTGAACCCAGTTCAGAGAAACAGGTGAAATGGGTAGTGGTGTTAGACCTCATTATGTTTGGTGTGAAGTTTGGTAGGCTCAGAAAAGCTGTATCAACAATTTTTCCTAAAAAGCTATTTCAAGGACAAATCTCATAGACTTTCTATGTTCATATTCTTTTGGGTGATGGTTAAGTGATGCCCCTAAAGCTTTATACATAAATGAAAGAAAATCTTAGATCAGATTATCCTTTTTAATACTTCTCAGGTTAATGTATTCTATATTTTTGGAAGATTTACATGAGGTGTTCAGTTAACATTAAGTAAGATCAAGTTTCTAAGTTTTTAAGGCTTTCACATATATATCAGGAATAAGAATCAATTATCTTATGGAACATTGAAGACAAGAATCTATAAGGATCTGCAGAGACAGATTCAGGTTTCATGGGGCTTGAAACAAAGTTTTGAAGGACCTTTCAAAGAAAAAAAATGACAGGCCGGGCACAGTGGCTCACACCTGTAATCCCAGCACTTTGGGAGGCCAGCACTTTGGGCTGACGTCAGGAGATCGAGACCATTGTGGCTAACACGGCTGAAACCCTGTCTCTACTAAAAATACAAAAAATTAGCCAAGAGTGGTGGCGGACGCCTGTAGTCCCAGCTACTTGGGAGGCTGAGGCAGGAGAATCGCTTGAACCTGGGAGGCGGAGGTTGCAGTGAGCCGAGATTGCACCACTGCATTCCAGCCTGAGCAACAGAGCAAGATTCCGTCTCAAAAAAAAAAAAAAAGAAAAGAAAAGAAAAGAAGAAAAAAATGACAAAGTTACAAGTAAATCAGAAAAGAAATCACAAGAAATTACAGATTTTCAAAAACCTGACATCATTATCACAAAATATTTAGGAAGATTGTATAATGTTTTAAATAACCTCTATTGTCCTTTATTAAAAAAACATTTTTGGCTCCATACTCTGATCATTTCATACAATAACAATTTTTCTAATATATTCTATAGAGAGAATAGAAAGATAATACAGTCTTCCCTTTGACAATTTGAGCTTTTTTTGTTATTGTTAGTTTAGAAAATTTTAGCTTTTATTCATAATGCTGCGTACATTTTTAGGATTGCTGTCAAATTTGGAAAATTATCAAGTTTCTTTCACTGTAAGTATCTTTCTGTAAGACTTGGAACACTTTTCCATAGACTAGTTTTTGGCTCTGAATACTTATTTCAGGACTTGTTTTCTCCTTTCTTACCTCATCCCTTCTTGGTGCTGAATAACGTAGGCCACATTTATTTTACATTCTCTGGCTCTGCATCTTTGGGCCACAACACAAGGGTAATTGGGACAGTAAATGGTAGGAGCATCCTCCACTAGGACCCATAGCAATAACTTACCTTACCTGGGACACATAAACATATCCCAGTCATTCCCAATTAAATGTACTCCCAGCTCTACTGCTCTTTAGCTGGCTCCCAAAATGCCCATGCACACTACCATACTCCTTGGCAAGGGTGTGTGTGTGTGTGTGTGTGTGTGTGTTTGAAGGAGGAAAAGTTGGAGTGGAAGGAAGCAATCTTAATGGTTGTGGTAATAGATTTCATTTTCTCAGGATTTAGAAAAACATAAGTCTATGTGAAAACATTGCTAGGGCTCCTCCTATGTTCTTGGAAGAGGCCCTTACAAGTGTGGGTCCCAAGGCTTAAGCTTCATTATCTTTACAGTAAATTTGTCTTTGCTAACACGTATTGAGGATTCATCAAATTCTCCAGAGAAAGGGTATGGCACTTTCCCTCACCAACAACTCCATCTCTCAGGCTCACATTCAGTTGTCGTAAGTCAAGCATATGCTTTAAAATCCTCTGTTTTTAATTGGTGCTGTCTTAATTCTCCCATTAGCACCATCATCCCCCTCACTACAAAAGCCTTTCATTTTTTTTAAGTGAGCATTTGCAAATATTAGGCTGACTCTGGACATAAAGTAGAGTTAACATCCATTTCCTCTCTTGCGTTATTTCAGATGATCCATTTCGAAAAATAGCGCTATTATATTTTCTATCCACATTAGCTTTGCTGGTGAGTTTTATTTTATACTCAACACAGAGCATACATAGCTGTCGGTTGTTCTGCTATTACCAGTCCTGTCTGCTAAATGCTTTCTCACAGTAGTGGCATTGCCAAGCTGAGTGAGTGTCAGATTCATTTTGTGTAGAAATAGCCTGTCAAATACACCCTACCTGTTTTCGTTTCATTGCATAAATTATTAAGATTTTGGTGGGTGAACATATATATGTGTTTATGTCAGTCTGGATTGTTGATTTGCTCCTTTCCTTTAGACTAATGAGTGGTAGACTCCAGAGAGTTTTGATGATTTATCTTAGCAAATGGAAATTGGCAAAATTTCAGGAATTATGGAAAAATTAGCATTAATTTAAAAAATGTTATTTATGTAATTTCATACTTTGATAGCAAAGAAGGATACCTAAAAAGAAAAAAATATGCTAGATATCTTTGAAAGCTGATTTTTTAAATGAAGAATCCTGGATAGTCAGTCATGTAGAATGTTGCCACTAGCCAGATTTTCAAAGAAAATGTGATCATAATATGCCAAAGAAAAGCTTTGAGTTAAATAGTATCTTCACATTTTCATTTAAACACCCTGGATGAAAAGTAATAGATACTTTGTAGGTATCTGCTATATTATGTAAATTACTGCGTACCCCTGAGCGTAGCTGCTTTTTCTATTTAAGTCAAGAACTGGTGGACCTAGAGGAGTCATTTTTGTAGTTATTTTTACAATTTCAAATTAATTTTAATGAACTCTCGTTTTAGTTTTTTAACTTTATTTTTAAGGTCCATTGGATATTGCAATGGCTCTCAAAGTTTGGCTTTGCGTGTGCAGTTGAAGGCTGACTGATTTAGAAGTGTCCAGAAATCAGCAATAAAGACAAAGGTGTTTAATGTAGGAACTCAAGGCAGACAGGGTCCATGTGATGCTTCGTAGGCAGTTTATGCAGTCCACCATGGGAAAGCCACTAAATTTATTACCAGTTCAAGTCAGCTTCGATGGGAGGGGCTAATACATAATCAAGTGCCTTTTCTGTTTCATGCATTGTGTTAGTTACTAGTTGCTGTATTATTTCATCAAATCCTAACAACTTTTGAATTAGGATTTATATTATCTCCATTTTCTAGATCAGGGAAATAGACTCAAAGAAATGCAGTGGCTTGCCCAGTGTCCCACAGCTTGTAAGTGGCAGAACTGCAACTGAACCCAGATCAGTCTGGCCACAGCATGTAATGTGTTACTAGTACACTATGTCACTTCTCCTGTAGGATTTACTAAACAGAAGTTATGAGGCAGGCGTCAAATGTGGGTCAGTTATGTAGGGCTATAGAGTTTGGTCTTCAGTAGGGATCAGAATAATTTGAGTAATGAATTGCCAGCGAACAGAGCACAGGGGCAGGGTTGGTATATAGCATGCGTGTTTAGGTGAGTGTGGAATTGGATCCAGGAAGCTAAGCTATAGTGAAGAGGGGCAAACAACTATCACTGGCTAGATTGGCTGGACTCAGAGTCCAGGAAGCAGGAGAACTAACTGGAGGTGGGGGACATTGTGTGTGAGCCAGAGCTGCTCCCTGTCTTGTGTTATGCAAGCTGCTTGCTTTGGGTTCACAGGCCCTACACAGCAGGTGTCAGTGGTATACGGGTGAGTTTTAGGACAGAGATGCTGGGGTTGCCTCATAAACTGACAGGCTAATACATTAGGTCATTTTGGCTTTTTTTCTTTCCTGTCAAGCTTCTCCTGATCCATCATTATATCCCAAAGGTTTGGCCCAATTAGGAGGTCTCCGTTGCTGAACAACTGTCCATGCCTGATGGGAGGTAAGGCACAGACAAGGGCAATCATTTCCTCTGTTTTTGAGCAGGAGAGAAGCACCAGGTCAGGAAGCTAAGTCAAGTACTGGCTGCTTAGAGTAAGCTCAGAGGCAGAAATATATCAGAACTTGGCTAGTCGTATCAGTAGCTTTCTGTCCCTGTCTTTGGCAAATTATGACATTGATGAGGTAAAGGATAGAGGCTAGAGTCCTGTACCATTTGGATGTGTGAGCTTCCTTCCAGTCTTTTAATTTCTGCCTAAAGATGGAACACCCTGATTGGGAGCTAAAGGAGGTGGGTAGTGAGGAGTGTTCATTTCCAAATATGTTTGCTCAGCTCTGATTGTGAGACTAAGAAGATGGTAAAGGACATAGTATAATGTCACAAATTTACTTCTTGTTTTTAACTCCTTTCCCTCTCCACCTAAATACTAGCAGACAAGAGTAAAGTTATGTGTTAATAATAAGTATTAATCCCTAAGGTTAAAGAATATGGGATAGGTGGTGTCAGTGAGTAGTAGATGTTAATAAAGTTTAACAAGGTAAAAAGCAGAAAGAGGAGTGGTAACCAACTTAAAAAAAAAACAGCAGAAAGTATTACCTACCATCCCACAGAGGGGGATATAAGCCAGAAGCAAGTAGATTAATATTTTAGAACTCCTAACGGTCTTATAAGTAGTGTGTTTTACAGAAACAGCAGGCAAGTCTGAACACTCCCCAAATGCATTTATTCAGAAGGGTCATAGGAGCAGTGAGTTTTGGGATCCTTGGACCTCCTCCACCTAACATGGTCATGTGATATTCTCCCCATCACCTCCCATTCTTTTCTTATAGAATAACTGAAGTTTGTTCTTTGGAGAAATTAACTGGGAAGCTCCACACCCAGGGACATCATATATAGCAGAGAGTAAAAGTAAATTACAGAGCTGAAAACCAGAAGATTCAGTAAATCTACACAGAAGGTTCAGCACAGGCAGGAGAGCAGAATATTAGCACCTTGAGAAAGAAAGATTCTTGGATAAAAAGTTTTCCAAATCCTTACATATGAGAGTCTCAATAAAAGGCCTTTTTCTGACTGACTGCTTTTCAGTGAAGTCTCCAAGGCAACTTGCTCAGCCTATTCCAACCTTTCAAGGATAATTTCAGTGCCTCAACTTGTAAATGTGAATAGGCAGGCCAATATTACAAGGTATTTGAAGAAAGCTTTCAACATGAAAGACAGACTAACATGACAAATTGGAAAAAGAAAAAGAGAGAGGAAGTGAAGCCAAGAATAAGTTAAGATAACCATACTGAATGACTTACATTTAGGATGATGTTACATTTGTGGAATAAGAACAGGATGTTACAATAAAAGAGTTATTAAGTAACAGTTAAGAGGTCTTCTAAATAAAACAGTATATAGCCAAAAAAAATTCAAAGGAAAGTTTGGAAGACAGTACTCTTAGTAAACTAAAAGCAAAGATGTAGAAAATATGGTATAAAAGATAAGAAAACTAGGAGATCAGTCTGTGAGTTTCGGATCTAATATGAATTCTAGAAAGAGGCCACAAGG
The DNA here is from genome assembly GCF_000001405.40 of Homo sapiens. Classification (NCBI taxonomy): domain Eukaryota; kingdom Metazoa; phylum Chordata; class Mammalia; order Primates; family Hominidae; genus Homo; species Homo sapiens. Next base: position 56,273,255 of record NC_000002.12, read on the forward strand.
ATGGGGGACAGGAAATTAACATAGAAATAATATTTTAAAATTCTCAAAACTGAAAGACGTGTTTCTAAAGGGTGCAGTGAGCACCTCAGTATATGGGAGGGGAAAGCCTAGCTCAAGGAAAACCATTGCAGTATTCCAATGATGGGAAAAAAGAAAGACATAAACAGAAAAAATTGGAGTTAGACTTTATAATAATAACACTGGATTATAGAAAACAAAGGGACAATGCCTTTAAAACTGAGGAAGAATTGCTTTCAACTTAATATTTCATACCCATGAAAATGATCAATCAAGTATGAGATTAATTATATTTTCAGAAATAAAAATATTTTAAAATGTGTCTTTCATATAACCTTCTTGGAAGGTTACTGGAGGATGTAACCCAGCAAAATGAATGAGTGAACCAAGAAAAAAGGAGAACATGGGTTTCAGAATATATATATATATATATATATCACACTAGAGAAAGGAAAAGGGAAGTCCCAGGACAACAGCTGTATAGCAGAACTGGGGTTGGAAGTAGGAGGACATGGGGTAACTGTGAGGAGGGAGTCTAGAAAAAAATGGAGTTTATAGAATATCTGATGTTTGTTCATTATGAAGAAAAATCGTTTGTTAGGCATAAGGCATATCTGATGGCAAAGATTAATAAAAAATGAATTACAAACTATGCTAGTGAGAAAACTGGGCAATTGTTATCTCTATGGAAAGCCCTAAAATGATATATAAAAACTAAACATGATCAAAGTAGACAATACTAAATGTTTTAATTTAACTGTATCTGGAGGATGGGAGAGGTACTAAATCAGTTGATAAGTATAAAATAGCTATGCTGTACTAGTGAACTCTGTAAAACTACCCAACCCTTGTAGATCATTCATGAAATATCTATGTATTGTTTTCTTTACCCCTGCCCCTACCATTGGTCCCAGTCACTGTCTATCCCATGTTTCTTTTATACTGTTCTGCTTAACCTGTGTATTAGGGTTCTACAGAGAAGTAGAACCAAAAGTATGTGTGTGTATATATGTGTGTATGTAAGTGTGTGTATTATATATATAGTGAGAGAGTTTTGATTTTAAGAAATGATTGTGGGGGCTGACAAGTTTGAAATTTTTAGGGCTGGCTGGCAGGCCATACATTTAAGCAACAGTTAATGTTTTAAGTTCAAAATCCACAGGGCAGGACAACAGGCTGGAGGCTCAGGTAGGGTTTCTGTGTTGCAGTCTTGAGGGAGAATTGCTTCCTTTTCAGGAAACCTCAGTCTTTGCTCTTAGGGCTTTCAACCGATTGGATAAAGCCCACCCACATTGTGGAGGGCAATCTGCTTCACTTAAAATCTATGGATTGTCAGTGTTAATTACATTCACAATACCTTCACAGCAGCATCTAGAGTAGTGTTTCACCAAATGACCGGGCACCGTAGTCTAGCCAAGTTGACACATGAAGTTAGCCATCATAATCTATTAAGCGTAAGCTATGTCTTAGTCTGCTCTGGTTGCCATAACAAAATACCCTAAGACTGTGGGGGTTAAATAACAAGAATTTATTCATCACAATTCCAGAGCCTGGAAGTCCAAGATCAAGACTGCTAGCAAGGTCAGTGTCTAGTGAGGGTTTTCTCTGTGGATTACAGATGGTACCTTCTTGCTATGTCCTCACATGGCCTTCTGGCCTTCTTGGTGTGTGTGGGTTAAGAGAGAGAAACCAAGCTCTCTGGTGTCTGTTCTTATAAGGACACTAATTTCATCATGAGGGCATCATCCTCACGACCTCATCCAAATCTGATTACCTCCCAAAGGCTTCATCTCTAAATACCACCATATCGGGAGCTTGGGTTTCAACCGATGACTTTTTGTTGTTGTTAGTGGGGGTCGGGGGGGAATTATTCAGTTCACAGAAACCTGCTTTGAACCCACCATGAATCTGTTATATTAATATAAGCCCTCAGTCTTTATATTAGGCCTGCTGGCCTTGAATGAATGTATCCCCAGCTACATGGCAGCATGAATACAGCAACCTGTATTCATTTTTTAACATTTTTTAACATCTTTTAACTTTTATTTGTAGTCCTTTGTAGAGTGCCTCTCTTGGTAAATGGAGTACAGTAGCTCAGTATAGCTAGAAGTTAAAGTTAGAATTGTTTCACTATGAAATAGATCATCACTGCTATAGGTGCCATTTAAAGAGAATCAGTTACACCAGCTATTTAACATCATATAGACCTTACACCAGCTATTTAACATCATATAGACCACTCATTTTATTTAATAAATTTTCACTTTTTCGCTGTTTGTCCACATTCTGTATTTACATCACGTGGCAAAGAGTGAAAAATGGAAATTAGGACAGAGCTTTCTACTATTGACCAATACTGAGCCTGAATACAGGGACCCATGTAATGTTCTAGTTTTAATCCGGCTTTAGAGTGCTGACTGTCTGATGTAATATTTTGTAAACATATACATCCCTGTATACTCTTGGTATTATTTATCTTCATCATGACCTTTATAACTAGATTGATCTGTGATAAGTTAGAGCTTGTTCTGTTATTTTTACCCATAAGCAAAAGCCAAATCCTTTCTCACTTCTGAGAATCAGGAGGCAAAAGTTCATCACGAATCTTCTGAGTAAATCTGACCTTTTGTTTTGGTATTTTTGTAGGTCCCTTTTTGCTAATTAGGAGAAAAGACTGAGTCAGAGCATGAAGATCCTATGGGCTAGCCTCATGATGTTTCCTCACCCTCTATAAGTATCCTGTTTAAATTTGGCTCAAGAAAGAAGGATTTCACAGTTAATCAATTTACTCAGATTGGTAGCTTTGAGGGAATTTTACATCACATGAAATAGATTTGGGGCGTCTCCCCTCCTTATATTCCTATTAGGTAAATTTAGAAACTCATTAATTTTTTTCTTACTGGAACTTCTGAGTATAGATATAAAATTATTCCCAGGAATATGGCAATTTCAGGATTGGCTAACAAGGTTATGGACCTAGAAACATATTTTTGAGTGCTTTTTATTTTGCTTACTGGCTTTTTATTTTGCTTACTGGCTTTACTTTCTGAAGATGACTGGCTAGAGGGGCCCAGGGTGGTTTTTATGCTTTGGTGAGTGATTCGGTTTGACTGTATCCCCACCCAAATCTCATCTTGAATTGTAACTCCTGAAATTCCCACGTGTCGTAGGAGGAACTGGTGGGAGGTGATTGAATTATGGGGGCAAGTCTTTCCTGTGCTAATCTCATGGTAGTGAATGAGTCTCACGAGATCTGATGGTTTCATGAGGGGAAACCCATTTAGCTTGGCTCTCATTCTCTCTCTTGCCGCTGCCACGTGAGATGTGCCTTTCACCTTCCACCATGATTGTGAGGCCTCCCCAGCCACTTGGAACTGTAAGTCCAATAAACCTCTTTGTTTTGTAAATTGCCCAGTCTCTGATATGTCTTTGTCAGCAGCGTGAAAATGGACTAATACAGTGAGTGTATTTTTTTTAACTTTTATTTTAAGTTTGGGGTACAAGTGCAGGTTTGTTATGTACGTAAACTTGTGTCATGGGGTTTATTGTATTTTAACTTGAAGGTTGATGTACATCTGGATTGCAAATGCAAACCAGTGAGTGATGGCTTAGCCAGGCATCGTCTGTTCCAGCAGTGAACTTCGTTTTCAGCATCTAGCCAGTGCTAACTAAGGACACTAGGGTCTTAGAATTACTACACAGCCTGAGGAGCAGAGAAGATAGTCTCCCAATCCTCCAAGAACAGGCCAGCTCTAAACTGCTTTGAGCTGCTGGGACTCTCTGAGGCCGCAGAGTCCTCTCTTTCTGATTATTCTTTTTTTGCTTTGATGACTTTTTTCATTCTTTCACAATAGCTCAGCAGCTTAAATGAGGAAGCTGGATCCTGGGTACCAAGTTGCCAACTTCCTTGATGGGAAGTTTCTACCTATGCCTTTTATGTCTGTTTTCTAATAATTAGGAAGTGGGAAAGGAGGTAAAATTTAAGAATCATCTTTCATGACCTATCATCTTGCAGACATGATTAAGCCATTCAGAACAGATTGTTGGTTGTTTTTCTCCTGAAAACTCTTTGGGAACAGAAAACCCAAAACGTCCTTCATTTTCTTCTCTTCTTCTTTAAGTTAAGCCCCTTTCCACAGAGATCCTGCATGGACACATTAAACATAGAATTTTAGAGCTGAAAAAAAACCTTTAGAGATTCTTTTTTCTTTCCATTTGACACTGGAGACATGGAAGCATTAAAAAACCACATGACTTGTTTAAAGTTATAGGTCAGTACCCTAACTTTGACTTGCTATGTGATAATTGCTTCAGACATTACATTTCATAATTTTCTGAAACCCTCGATAGACTTCATATCTTCATTGGTAAATTCACTTATTCCTTCCTCTAACATTTCCTAAGCACCCTCTGTATAAGGCACTCTGCCCAGCATAGGGAATGCTAACATGAGTAAGACGAGACTGTAGCCCTTAGGCGCAGAGTCTCCTAAGGAGCTGCCCCTTAATGTTTTCTTCTTGGAAAATGCCATAATGTAGTGAAAGTAGCACTTACCTCCCCTAGGTTCTACAAGATGGTGACCCTTGTGCTGAGTTTGGGAAGATAAGCTGGAGTAACTCAAAGACATTAGGAAGGGACGTATTGGACCAACAGAGCAGCATGCATGGAAAGCAACAGAGGCCACAGGTTCCAGACAGCTTGGCATGGGTGGGATTAGGTGAGCATGTGTGAACATGGGGGAGATGAGGCTGGGGAGGCCATACCTTCAAAGACCTTGCCATTGGATATGCTGGCCTAGAGCTCAGGACATTAGTACTGGCTAGAGATGCAAGTAGGTGGCTGTCGGTATAGAAGTGTCATTAGAACCTGTGTGTCTTTAGTGTCTTTCCCCCATGCCAGAGTGTCTGGATCCTCTATATTGGTTTGAGTAGTGTCTTCACTCTCCTCCCCTTTTTAATGAATAAAATCAAGAAAATGATTTCCTCATAAATGAACTGGACTTTTTTTTTTCTTTTAAGTCTGAATGGGTCTGGGTACATAACATAAAATGGTTTTATTTATTCTTCATTATATCCTTCAACTGTGCTGTGTTGAATTGCTTTTTGATGTGTTTTAATGATATCTCATGCATGTCCCAGAGCTTTCTGGTCACTTTTAGACGCATAGCAAAGTCCAATTCTGTCTTTTCCAGCTGAATACTTCAATCTGATATCTGGTTCAAGGATCATCTTATCATTTTGTCCTTCTCAACTCAGTCTGAGGGATTAGGCATGGGAGTAGCCTGGTCTATTTTTATTTTTTATTATTATTATTTTTTTGGAGATGGAGTCTCTCTCTGTTGCCCAGGCTGGAATGCAGTGGCACAATCTCGGCTCACTGCAACCTCTGCCTCCTGGGTTCAAGCGATTCTCCTGCCTTAGCCTCCCAAGTAGCTGGGATTACAGGTGGCCACCACCACGCCCGGCTAATTTCTGTGTTTTTAGTAGATCCAGGTTTCACCATGTTGGCCAGGCTGGTCACAAACTCCTGACTTCAAGTGAACAGCCCACCTCGGCCTTCCAAAGTGCTGGGATTACAGGCATGAGCCTCCGCGCCAGACACTGGTCTGCTTTCTTATTTTTCTCATTTCTTCCAGGTTACTTTCTCCTTTAGTGTGTGTGTTAGGGATCAACAGGAGGCACGAGGGGGAAGGAACAAACCATCTCCTTCTTAACTGATGAAACTACTGCCAAGGATCAACATTCTTGAGGTGGCCCAAGGCCAGCTGTGATTTGCCAGGGGGCCTTTGGAGGCTCTGTGCTCCACAGTCCCCTCTCTTCTGGTCTGTGTCTGTATCCTTGTTAGCATGAAGCTTAATGGACTGTGAACTAGAAAGTTGACCTTCCAGCAGACTCAGTTTAGGTGTGTGGCTAGTATTATCTTCTCAAGGTCTTTGGGAATTTGCATTGCATTTCCAAAGCCCTGGACAGGCTTTTTAAAAAAAATTTTATGGAGTTATAATTCACATATGCAGTTCACCCACTTAAAAATATATAATCCAATGGTTTTCAGTTTGTTCACAGAGTTGTACAACCACCACACAATTTTAAAACATATTCATAACCCCCCAAAGAACCTCCATAACCATTAATAGTCATTCCTTATTTCTCCCCCTCCCACCACCTATTTCTCCCCTTCACCCCTGGCTCCAGGCAATCGCTTCTCTACTTTCTGTCTCTATAAACTTGCCTATTCTGCAATGTAAAAAATATTTCTACTATTTTAACTGTAATTATATATCCTTTGATCAACATCTCCTTCCTCTGCTCTAACCACCCAAGCTTTTGGTAACCATCATTTGTATTGTGTTCTTCTATGAGATCAACTTTTTTAGACTCCACATATGAGTGAGATTATGTGGTATTTATTTTTCTGTGCCTGGGTTATTTCACTTACTATATTGTCCTCTAGATTCATTCCTGTTGCTGCAAATACAGGAATAAAATGAAATAAAAAGAATGAAATCTTTTTAATGACTGAGCAATATTCCATTGGGTATATATACCTGTTTTCTTTATTCATTCACTGATAGAAATGTAGGTTAATTTCATATCTTGGATATTGTGAAAAGTGCTGGAATAAACATGTGAATGCAGACTTCTCTTTGATACACTGATTTTAACAAAGTTGGTGCTGTTAATACAGGTTATTTCCCATGGAGCAAAATTGCCTAATCCTTAAATCTAAAACCTGAAAGAATAAGAAATTCAAAAGGAATATGGCATTTTAAAATTCCTCGTGAACTACATACTATCCTCACCCCCCCACCTCTAAACACAAGGCATGAATTCACTTAACGTATTGTGTCTCTCTCTCTTAGAACCTTTTCACTCCCTCTAGCACTTTTGAGTTTCATAGAATTTGATGGTTCATGCACTTGTGCTGGCCTAGCATCTAGAGTTGGCTCTCTGTGGGCCAGCTGGGCAAAGGCCCTTCCTTCTTTACTTCAAGGTTTTGCAGCTCAGCTAGAGTCATTACCCTTTTTGAACCTTGGCTTTTTAATCCATTATAAGAGCAATTTAGATCTTATTTAAAGACGTCTCAAGTTCAGTTTACTTGTGTTTGAAAATGCATCATAGCTTTAGGTGAGCCATTTCTTAGTCAATGAGAGTGAGATGCTTAAAGACCCAAGTATTAAGTTATAAGTAATTATAGTACTATAATTGCTTGACCGTCCATAGTACATGCCGAACCAAACTTCACGTTAATTCCTCCTCACCATGCTTACAAGCAAGAACTGAAATACCTTAATTAACTATAACACATCAAATCCAACACTCCAAAGACAATCCCCTCCCCCAAGCATACCAACTAATACGACAAATCCTTAAGAGTTAGGATCCAGCTACTGAGAGAATCACTTGTTATTTAGTGTTAGAGAGAGTGTTAAAAAACAATGAGGTGGAGGTGGGAGGCAATGATGTTAGCACATACATCTAACAGAAAAGTTATTTCTGGCCCATTCTCTCTCTCTCCCTCACAAACTTTTGGTGAGGAAGTAGTACTACATGTTAATAAAGTTATATTATTGACTAGTTTCACTCATAAAGTAAACTTCAGATTATCCTTTGACATTAGAAATTAATATTTATAGGATGTTGGAGCCACCAGAAATCCTAGATTCTTACTTTTTTTAGGTGAAATTTTAAACAAAGTGAAATACATATATTGTGAGTATATAATTTGATGAGTTTTGGCCAAGAGTATGTCCACGTAACCAATACTTAAATAAAGATTTAGAACATTTCCATCACCCCCAAAAGTTACCTTTTACCCTCTTACAGTGAATCTCTAAACCATTTAGGTGGCCACTATTCTTATTTATATCACATACATTAGTTTTACCTGTTCTTGAGCTTAAAGTAAACAGAACCATACAGTATTTACTTGTGTATCTGGATTCTTTCACTGAACATAATGGTTTTGAGATTAAGCCATGTTGTTGCATGTATTATCTGTTCATTTTTTAAAAAATATTTTTTCTATTCAAATGTGTACCAATTTGTTTATATACGGTTTTGTTGATGGGACTTGGGTTCTTTCTAGTTTTTGGCTGTTCTGAATAAAGTCATGGACATACAAGTCTTTTTGTGGATATTGTATTTTCATTTCTTCTGGATGAGTACCTAGGAATAGAATTGCAAGTCATAGGGTAGGTGTGTATTGAACTTTATAAAAAACTGCCAAATAGCTTCTGAAAGTGGTTATATCATCTTACACTCCCATCATAAGTGTTTGAAAATTCCAGTTGTTCCACATCCCTCATACACATTTGGTATGGTAAGGCTTTTTTATTTTAGCCATTCTAGTGGGTATATAACAGTGTCCTAAAGATTTTGTTTGCATTTCTCTGATGAATAATGAAGTTGCATATCAGCCATTTGTGGTCTTTTTTAGTGAAGTGTCTGTTCATGGATTTTGCCTTTTTTGATTAGCTGTTTATCTTTTTCATGAATTTTTAGAGTTCTTTATATATTCTGTAATCAAGTATTTTTTCAAAGCTATATACATATTTGTCAGATATATGTAAATAATAGTGAATAAGAATGTTTTCTCTCAATCTGTAGCTTGACCTGTCATTTTCTTAGTGGTGTTTAGATGAAGAAGAATCCTTAATTTTGATGAAGTTCAGTATATCCATTTAAAAATTTTGTGGTCTGTACTTGTATCCTAAGAAATCTTTGCATACTCTAAGATTGCAAATGTTATTCCCTATGTTTTTAACTACAACTTTAATTATTTTAGATTTCATCTTTAGGTCTGTGATCCATTTTGTTATTATTATTAGTTCCTAACATGTGAGGAAAATTTTGAGAGTTTTTTTTTTATGGATATCGAGGTACAATTTGTTGAAAAGACTGTTCTTTCCTCCATTGAATTACCTTGGCACCCTTGTCAAAGATCAATTGGCCATATATGTGTGGATCTTTTTTTAGATTCTGTTGTTATGTTTGTCTGTCCTTACATTAATACAACACTGTCTTGATAACTGTAGCTTTGTAGTAAGTCCTGAAATCAAATAGTGTGAGTCCTCTACATTTTTGTTGTTGTTGATTAAGATTATTTCAACAATTTGAGGTCAAGTATATATTAAAGTAATTGTATCAATTTCTACAAAGAAAGACTGATGTTTTGATTTGGATTGTGTTGTGTCTATATATTTTAATAATATGAAATCTTCTCATTGACTTTTCATTTATTTATTTATTTATTTTGAGATGGAGTCTAGCTGTTGTTGCCGAGGTTGGAGTGCAATGGCGCGATCTCGGCTCACCGCAACCTCCGCCTCCCAGGCTCAAGCTATTCTCCTGCCTCAGCCTCCCAGGTAGCTGGGATTACAGGCATGCGGCACCATGCTTAGCTAATTTTTGTATTTTTAGTAGAGACGGGGTTTCACCATGTTGGCCAGGCTGGTCTCGAACTCCTGACCTCATGTGATCCTCTCGCCTCGGCCTCCCAGAGTGCTGGGATTACAGGCGTGAGCCACCATTCCCGGCCATACTTTTCATTTATTTGGACTGCTTTAATTTCTCTTAGCAGTGTTTTGTACTTTATAGAATAGTAGCACTGCACATCTTTTGTTAAATTCATTCCTAATGACTTAATTTTTATAGTATTGTTAATGGTACTAAAATGTTTTCTTTTTTTCTTCTAGTATATAGAAATACACAGTTGATTTTTATATATTGACCTTGTATCCTACGACAATATTAAATTCTTTTATTCTAGTAGATATTTAGTAAAATATTTAGGATTTTTATGTAAACAATCATGTATCTGCAAATAAAGACAGTTTTACTTCTTACTTTCCAATATGTGTAGTTTATTTATTTTTATTGTGTTGATGTACATACTCAGAACTCAAATGCTATACTCGGTAGAAGTACTCTACTCATCTACTGATCTTAGAGGAAAAGCATTCAGTATTTCACAGTGTTACTTGTCACTTTTTGTAGATATTCTTCATAATGTTCTTCCTTCTATTCCAGTCTCTTGGGAGTTTTTCTTAAAATCATGAATAGGTGTTAATTTTGTCAAATTTTTTGGTGACTGTGGTGACAATATGGCTTTTCTTCTTTATTACACTAAAATGTGTTACACTGATTCACTTTGACTGTTCAAACTTATTTTTTGAATAAATTCCACTTGGTTATGAAAGTTTCTTTTCTAACATTTGCTGGTTTTGGATTTACTATTACTTTCACCAGATTTGCTTTTTGATTCTTTTGGTCTATTTTTATGATGAATTCTGATATGTAACTTTTAAACATAAAATGGTTCTTTGGTTGGTTTTTGGCATTAGAGTTATGCTGATTCTTCTTGAATCAATGTTGGTAACTTGTATTTTTCAAGGAAATCTATTTCATTTACATTAGTAAAATTACTGGTATGAGTTGTGATATCTGTAGGATCTGTAATGACATATCTTTCTGACATTTCCAATTTGTATTATTTTCTTATTTTGATCTGTATTGATAGTAGTTTGTCAATTTCACTGATCTTTCCAATGAACAAACTTTAGCTTTGTTAGTTTTGTCTATTGTTTGTGCGTTTTCTACTTAAGTTAATTTGTATTACCTATATCATTTTCTTCTATTTACTCTGGGTCTAATTTTCTTGTCTTTTTCCATAGCTTCTTAAAAAGGAAACTTAAATCACTGATTTTAAACCTTTTATCTTTTCTAAGTATTTAAAACTCTACATTTCCCTCTAAGCATTGCTTTATTTACATCTCATAAATTTTGATATACTGTATTTTTGTCATTCATTACTTTCTATTTCCCTGTGATTTTTTTCTTTGATAAATAGGTTATTTACAAATGTGTTGTTTAATTTTTAAATACTTGGGCATTGCTAGATATCCTTATTGATTTCTAGTTTATTTCTATTGTTTTCCCATATTATGATCTATAATATTTCAACATTTTTGAAATTTATTATGTCTTTTATTGCTCTTTCTTGATTGATATTCTGTTTGCACTTGACAGAATCTGAATTCTACATTTCTGAATATAGTGATTTCTAAATGTTCTTCAAGTCATATTGATTGATAACGTTCAAATCTTCTTATTTTTTTTGAGACGGAGTTTCACTCTTGTTGCCCAGGTTGGAGTGCAGTGGCGTGATCTAGGCTCACTGCAACCTCAGCCTTCCAGATTCAAGTGATTTTCCTGCCTCAGCCTCCTGAGTAGCTGGGATTACAGGTGTGCACCACCAGGCCCAGCTAATTTTTCTATTTTTAGTAGAGATGGAGTTTCACCATGTTGGCCAGGCTGGTCTTGAACTCCTGACCTTAAGTGATCCACCTGCCTTGGCCTCCCAAACTGCCAGGATTACAGGCGTGAGCCACCATGCCCAGCCCAAATCTTCTAAATCCTTACTAATGTTTGGTTTGCTCTTGTGTGTTTGTCTCTCTGCCTTTAGTTCTATCAGCTTCTTTTATTTTGAAGTTCTTTTCTTATGCACATAAGTATTTATAACTGATAAGTATTTACAACTTATCTTCCAAAAAAGTTGACCTTTTAATCATTATGAATTGTCTTTCATTATCTACAATAATAATCCTTGTCTTAAAGACTATTTTTTGTTATTAACATAACCACACCAGCTTTCTTATGCAGATTATTTGCATGGTATATATTCTTCATCCTTTTACTTTGACCCCATATATATGGCTTTACATTTTATATTAGTCTCTTTAAGACAGCAAAATGTTGGATTTTGTGTTTTCATCCAGTCTGGCAGTGTCTGCTTTTTGAATAGAGTTTTGACTTACCTTTCTTTTCTTTCTTTTTTTTTTTTCTCTTTTACATGGAGTCTCACTCTGTCGCCCAGGCTGGAGTGCAGTGGCACAATCTCAGCTCACTGCAGTCTCCACGTCCCAGGTTCAAGCAATTCACCTGCCTCGGCCTCCCAAGTAGCTGGGATTACAGGCGCATGCCACCATGCCCAGCTAATTTTTTTGTGTTTTTCATAGAGATGGGGTTTCACCATGTTGGCCAGACTGATCTTGAACTCCTGACGTTAAGTGATCCACCTACCTTGGCCTCCCAGAGTGCTGGGATTATAGGCGTGAGCCAACACACCTGGCCGAGTACATTTTATTTAATGTTCTTATCGATTAATTATATTAATAATATAATTAATTATATTATTAATTATATTATATTAATATTACATTAATAATATTATTATAGTATATTATATTAATAATGTAATTATATTATTTATATATAATATAACATAATATATAATATAATATAATTAATAATATAATTAATAATATTCTTATCTACACTTCATGTTTAAGAATTTTTTATTATATAATTACATTTTACTCCCCTGGCTTTTGTGTTATGTCATATATTTTACTTCTATATGCATTATAAACCCTATACTATATGCATTATGAACCCTATACTATATGCCTTTAAATAGTTTTCTTTTAATGAAGTTAAGAGAAAAAGGGTTGCTTTTTATATTTGCCCACATATGCACTATTTCCAGTGTTGTTCTTTGCTTCCTATGTGTGTTCGGCTGGTATCATTTGCCTTTAGCCTGAAGAAATTTCTTTTTGTAGTACAGGTCTGTTGGATATAAATCTTCTTAGGCTGTGTTATCTCTGCAAATGGTTTTTTTCAACCTCAGATTTGAAGGATATATTTATTGGGTATAGAATTTTGGGTTGACAGTCCCCCCCACCCCGACCCCCAACAATATAAAGATGTTTTATTGTTGTTTGGGTCCATTATTTCTGATGAGAAGCCAGTTGTAATTTGAATAATTATTTCTCTGTCATTAATGTACGCATCTTTCTCAGGCTGCTTGTATGATTTTTTTCTGTATCTTTGATTTTTAGCAGTTTGACATTATGTGCCTAGTTGTAATTTGTTTTGTATTTCTGTATTTATGGTTCACTGAGCTTTTTTGGATCTATAGGTAGATGTTTTTCATCATATTGGAAAATATTCAGCTAGTATTTCTTCAAATATTTTTCTGTTCCATTGTCTCTTTTCTTTTTCTGTCAGCTAACAATTGCACGTTAGACCACTTAGTATTATTGAAGCTGTCTTCACTGAGGCTGTTTTTAAAAAATTTTTTTAAAATGCTTTCATCTATGTTCTTCAAATTGGATAATTTCTATTGATTTGTCTTCCAACTCATTGATCCTCTATGCTGTAGTCTTCAATCTGCTACTAAGACTACTTGCTAAATTTTTCATATTACTTTTTACTACTAGAATTGGCTTTCTTTTATATATTTCATATCTCTGCTAAGATTTCTCCATATGTTCATTTATATGTCCATATTTTCCTTTAAGCCCTTGAACATATTTATAATAACTATGTTAAAATCCCATCTACTCATTTTTACATCTGGGTCATCTCTTGGTCTCTGTATTGGCTGCTTATTTTTCTTTATTATGAGTCATGTATTTCTACTTTTGTATGACTTGTTCATTTTTTATTGTAAATTGGACATCAAGGATAATTCCTGGTAGGGAATCTGGGGTATGTTGTGTTCTTTGAAAGGAAATTGAATTTTCTTCTGGAAAGCAGTTAAATTACTGGTGGGTTTTCTTGATCCTGTTGGACTTGGTTTTATTCCCCTTTAGGTTGGCTCTATTTTAGGTTTTATCCTTATACCTACAGACACGACCTTTACTTTAGGGAGTGGTGTTTTCTCCAAGGGGTGCCCTTTCTGTGGTTTTAACTGAATGCTGAGGTGTTTGACATCTTTCCACTCTGACTGAACCAGGGCTCCAATGTCTCTCAGCATAGTTATGACATCTGGTGTTTTTGTTCATCTCCCAGGCTTGCAGTAGTTACTTTCTGCTAGGGCTGACAGAGTTTCACTCTTCACTTTTGTAACCCAGACTTTTGTCAAGGACTCATGGGAGACCTTCAAGCTAACTTCTAAGTGCCCTGTTTCCTCCTGTGGAATTGTCTTATTTCCAGTACTCTGCCCTACACATTCTGGTTGCTTCAGTGGCTGCGAGCTTCAATTTGCATCTCCTCAGTTCAGGGACATAGTTCTCTACTTGGGCTTCACTTTCCTTTGCCACAGTCTGGAAAGTGTCCTCAGGCAGAAAACCAGGGCAAACATGATTTCATCTTGACAGTTTCTCTTCTCTCAACAATTACTATCTTCCATTGCCTATTGTCCAATGTCTGAAAACAGGCCAGTATTCCACCAACTTTCTAGTTGTTTATGGCAGGAGGACAGACAGACCCAGTTCCAATAACTCTGTCATGATCTGAAGTTGAAGTCACATTCTTTGTGGAATGCATATTAGAGTTGTATGGTTGATTCTGTGTCATTTCACATTCTTTTTCTGTCAGATCTACACCAAACTCACCCTTTCAGAGACAGTGTTTACAGGCCTCTTCTTTCTTGGCTCTAAGCCAATTCTTTCTCCTTTATTTTCTCACTTTACCATTTTCAAATTCTTCCTCTTTTCACAGTTTGCCTGATTTTAAGAAATGGGACATTGTAGCACCCAGCATACAACATTCTGTGCATATAAATGTGGACTACTTTTGGGAGTGTGAAATTTTTCTCCTATTTAGAGCAGGACTGTAGGCCTTTTAAGTTTCTTTCCTGTTGTCTTTGAGTTTTTCGTCTTCCACAGAGAGCTGCCATAGGGTGTTTTAAATCATAGCAGAGGCCCTCTGGGGAAGCTTTGGGGTCTCTTTCCATCCAGTCCTTCTCAGAGGCTCCTTTACAGAGCCTGGCGTCAGCTTCACCCCTGAACCCATATCTTGGGATGATTGACAGTTTACTCCCCACAGCTGAGTAGGAGCACTAATGCCATGGTAATTATTCATTACAGAGGGATGGAGTAGACAGAGGTCTTCAGATTTGTGTGATGAATAGTTTTCTACCTGGTCACAGTCCCAGCATTTTTATTTGTGGCAAATTCATCATGACTCACAAAGCTTTATCTTCACTTCCCACCACTCCTTACTTAAAATTTCCTTTGGTTCTTTTTTTTTTTTTCCTTTTAGCATCAAGATAAAAAGGAACAGACACTTGTGTATTTCCCAAAGCAGAAAACCGGGAATGAATTACAATGGAAATCACTGTCAGTTTTTAAGATCTTCTTATAAATACAAACTAGTTTAATGTTTTTGATTGATACTTCATAAATAATGAAGTTATTATGAAGTAAGTTAAAATTAGTTATGTCTGCATGCATATTTTAGCCTCAAAGAGTGTGTCTAATTAGGTACTTTTGATGTGTGAGACATAATTATGTTTACCTTTAATTTGGCATGAAAATGACATTTCCAGAACCGAGTTTAGTGGTGTATTTTCCAACACACCGATAGAGAAATGCATTTCATCTCCTGGGGCCCTGTTGCTTCTTCCCACCATGCCCCCCCCACCCCAAAAATCATCATTAAAGTTAAATCAATATTTTTTAAAAAACAAATCTGTTTGTGCCTAAATTATACATCCTAAGACCAGAGCACCAAAATTAACACCATTTTCCTAGTCAGTGAACCTTGAAAATGTGTAATTTGGTGTCTACATTAATGGTTCACATGACTTGTGTTGCGGGGAGAAATCACATCTGCTCTCTGCAGTGAAGTGATAATTATTTCTAAAGGTCTGTGTACAGAGAGCCTTATGACCCTTTAGTTGCTGATAGTTTCACTAACATGGCAGTAAGAGTTTCAATAATGTAAGCAGAGGTGGCCTAAGTAGCACTAGAATGAGATAAGGACCTGGAGTGCTGACCCGGGTTCCAGGGTACAGGCAGAACTGCCCAAGCTGTAGTTAGCATGCCAAATGAAAGTATTCAGGTTCATAAGTCAGTAGGCAACACAGGACCCATGATTTCTTATTATCAGCTGACTTCAGATTCAGATTACCACTCTTTTTTTCTCTCTGTTCTTTGCATATGGATTTTTTTAATGTATTTATTTATTCTACCTATGCTTATTGGTTATTGTTTACTATTCAGTATGACAGACATGGGGATATAGGCCTGGCAAATAAGTTGTCAAGAAAATAGATCATCCAACATAGTGTAAGTATTCTGATAGGACTGTATGAACACTAGGGGATGCAGTTACCCCAGGTTGGGTTGAAGAGGAGCTCATGAAAGGCATCTGAGCCAAGTCTTGAAAGTTGAGTAGGATTTCATTGGGCAAAGGGGGTGATATGGGTGGTAGAAGGACATTATAACCAGAGGGAGCAGCATGAGAGAGGGTGGCACACTTGGGAGTCTATGTAGTTTAGTATGCTTGGAGCACAGGGTACAACAGTGGTAGAGGTGGCATGGGAGATTGTGAGAGGTGAGGCGGAGATGTAGGCATGGACCAGATCTTGAAAAGATCTCAGTGGTCATCCCTACCATCTTCTTTCCACTATTCATCTGCTTTCCATCTACTTTTTACAGAGTATGTAAACCTCATCTCTGTTGTCCGAATTGTCATGAGTTTTCAATTAATGAAGCTTAATTTAATGGTTTTATTATTTTTGGAGGGGGTATAGTTAAAGTCCACCAGGACATTCTGGTCTTATAAGAACACGCTGGCAGTAAAGTATGATATCTTTGTCAGATGGTTTCTATTTTAATACTTAATATTTTATATTTCAACTGCAGATCAAACTGAAGAACTTGTCTCTGGTACTAGGCTATGGGTCAAACCTTATCCCAGAGGGGTCGAGGTGGTGATTGTCCTGGTTCAAGCCAGACCCTCATTTCCTGCTATTGTCTGGTTCTGAGTTATTCTACAGTCTGCTGCTCTGCTCTGCCCTATTCTGGCCACATCCTTCTATAATTCTCTTCTTTTATTCTTGCATCAGTGCTGACATTTCAATTGTAGTGAGTCCTCAAGCTCTATGTCTGTAATCACTCAAAGATCAGTCTTAGATTTAAGCCATTATCTTTCTGTCATCCTAGCTAGTTAATTATTAACTATATAATCCATGTAAATGATAGAGGTGTAACATTTTTGCTAATACTAACATGGAATCTCTATTTTTTTCAGTCTGCTTTTTTTTTCTGGTTTTGGTTGGAGGGGCCCTATGAATATCTGTCATTTATAGCTGTGGGGGTGGGAAAGAGAACAGGCTTTTTTTGCCATTTCCTGTGTTTACAGGTGATCAAATATGCCTGATTCTGTGCCCCTCTACTATGGCAAATGAATTATATTTGTGTCCATGGTGAAATTTTGCTGTTTCACTGTTTCAAACTTAGCTGTTTGTTGAATCCATAGTTAATAACATCACTAGTGGTGATCATTTAACTATCTAGAAGACAGGCAGAAGAAGCAAATAGTGTAGATAATTCTGAAATTATGTAATCAAAACCCCTGGTCTATAGATAATTGATTTTTAATTATCATTGTTAATGTTTCAAATTTTATCACCAGCTTCTTTACTGTGAACCAAAAGGACATCTCTCAAGAAAACTACATTTGGCACTTTCCTCTATACAGTTATCTAGAAAATTGTTTCCAAATTCTATTTTGAGGTATACTAGTTTGTAGGGATGTTAATTGGCATTAGTAGAAAAATTGGCTCTTTTGCCACGAGCTTGGAAAATCTTGGGTTAAAACAAAGTCAGGTTTCCTTACTGTAATTCTTTTGGTGTCTTTAATATGCTAAAACACACTGTGGGTTTCCAAGCCAAAACCAGAAAAAGAAAAAAAATGTGTAGTGTTTTGCAGATTCATTTGACCATGTAACTCTTTTGGGGGATTATTTGAAGAACTTATGTTGCGGGTTATATGGCAGTTGCTATTGGCACAACTGATGATGAATTGTGAAACTTCGGTTTTTGTAAAATGTAAATGTATTCCTTTCTCATATAGAGGCAAATTTTGAGGAGTACACGTAGAATAATGAGAGAACTAAGAAAAACTTGATGTCTTAATCTTTGAGTAGAGGCTCAGTGACAAAAAGATGCATAGATGGATCTAACCATATTGTGGGTTCTCATTTATTCATCTATTAGTCAATCAGCAAGTACTGATGGAGACCTCCATTAGGAGACAGGCACTGTGCTGGGCACTGGGGTGAACAAGACAGCATTAGAGAGTGAGATAAAGGCATAATGGACTGAACATATCATTAGTTAGTGAAAAGAGCTGGTGGTAAGTGCTGTAAAGTAAGTGACAGTGGCTGCAGAGAAAATAGCAGTGTGGGGGCTACTATGGCTAAGGCGATTGGAAAAGGCCTCCCTGAGTAGATGATATTTAAGCTGTAGATTTAAAGGGTAGAAAGATACTGTTCCCTTGAAAATTTGGGAGAAGATCAGAGAGATCAGTAAGTACAAAGACCCTAAAGTGGGAAAGAATGTTTGGTGGGCTATCAGAGCCTGATGTGTTGGGAACTTTGTAGACAAAGGGACACATAGCATGAAAGGTTGGAAATGTAGATAGAACACGTAAGGCCCTGTAGGCTGAATTACATGTTTGGTTTTTACTCAAAGAAAAATGGGAAGGCTTTTTTTTTTTTTTTTTTTAGACTTTTAGGGAGAGGGAGGATGTAACCTGATTTACCTGTGAGAACGTTCACGCTGACTCCTGAAGGGAGAATTGTAGCCAGGATGAGTGGAAGTAGAGAGCCCAGTGGGAGGCTGGTGCAGGCCCAGGTGAGAGATGGCAAAGGCTAGCTTGCACTACAGTGGTATTTAAAGAGACAGATGGAGGGGATTAGGCATATTTGAGACATGTGTCTCAGTAAAACAAATGCCTGAGTTAAAAACATTTATTATTGCATCACAGGCACATTCTGAGATGCAGTATAATTTTCTTTTCGTTTTTTCTTTTTGAGACGGAGTCTTGCTCTGTCGCCCAGGCTGGAGTGCAGTGGCGCCATCTCAGCTCACTGTAAGCTCCACCTCCTGGGTTCATGCCATTCTCCAGCCTCAGCCTCCCGAGTAGCTGGGACTACAGGCAACCACTACCACACCTGGCTAATTTTTTTGTATTTTTAGTAGAGACGGGGTTTCACCGTGTTAGCCAGGATGGTCTCAATCTCCTGACCTCGTGATCCACCCGCCTCGGCCTCCCAAAGTGCTGCTATTACAGGAGTGAGCCACCACATCCGGCCTGAGTTGCAGTATAATTTTCAACTTGATAAAGGATACACATTTTCTCCTATTTCCTTTTGGTCCAGACCTTTTAGTTTTGGTCTTCACAGGGACCTATAGACCCCTCTGCCTTCCACAACCCTCTCTCAGTCTCCTGAAAAGAGGAGAATGATGTGATTATTTAGTTAGATTTAAGTAGGATGGGGAAAATAAATTAGTTTTGCCTGCTTTTAGTGTTGTAGGCCTCTCGTACCTGCCTCTCACCTAGGCAATAAATAAATACATAAGGAAATAAATAACTCTATATGATTCATTCTGGCTTACACTGGGACATGAGACCCCTGGATATATCATTTGTACATACTTCTTCTCAGAGGCCATGAAGACACTGTGGCTGTCATAGGGAAGGATTTTTGTTTCTGGCTGAGTATCATTCTATTCCATTATGGCCCATCATTGACATTTATGATATTGCTTATAAAAAGAAGCTGAACATGAGATAGTGTGCAAACCTATATTGGCATCACTTTCCTTAGATTTTAAAATAGAGCAGATAATCTTCTAAACCCAATTGATAGTCAAGTTGGCAGAAATCAAGGGGGTTTAGAGCACCATTCCAGCTTTTCCATGTCATGGCACACATAGAAATGAGAGCAGGTTTACAGTGCAGGGCAATGAGTGGACCAGGCTACCCCCAGCTGGAGAAGACCAGAGTCAGAGCTCATGCCCCCTGGGTACTGGCTGGCAGCTTTGATAGAAGGGGAGTTAACATCTGTGGCATGTATTAGGTCCCGTTAGCTGTCTACCAGATGTACTTGTTACAACATTCTAGGCTGGAGGATTCCATGTGGAGAAAAGCCAAAGTTATACCAGAGATAGGCCTGTAAAATCAGTTTTCCACTGGCTAGCCATATGCAGAAAATTGAAACTGGACGCCTTCCTTACACCATATACAAAAATTAACTCAAGATGGATTAAAGACTTAAATGTAAAGTCCGAAACTATAAAAACCCTAGAGGAAAATCTAGGCAGTACCATTCAGGACATAGGCAGAGGCAAAGATTTCATAGCAAAAACATCAAAAGCAATTGTAACAAAAGCAAAAATTGACAAATGGGATCTAATTAAACTAAAGAGCTTCTGCACAGCGAAAGAAACTATCATCAGAGTGAACAGGCAACCTACAGAATGGGAGAAAACGTCTGACAAAGGTCTAATATTCAGATCTACAAGGAACTTAAATTTACAAGAAAAAAACAACTCCATCAAAAAGTGGGCACAGGACATGAACAGACACTTCTCAAAAGAAGACATATATGCAACCAACAAACACATGAAAAAAAGCTCAACATCACTGATCATTAGAGAAATTCAAATCAAAACCACAATGAGATACCATCTCACACCAGTTGGAATGGCAATTATTAAAAAGTCAAAAAACAACAGATGCTGGTGAGGCTGTGGAGAAATAGGAATGCTTTTATACTGTTGGTGGGAATGTAAATTAGTTCAACCATTGTGGAAGAGAGTGTGGCAATTCCTCAAAGATTTGGAACCAGAAATACCATTTGACCCAGCAATCCCATTACTGGGTATACACCCAAAGGAATATAAATCATTCTGCTATAAAGATACATATACACTTATGTTTATTGCAGCACTATTTACAATAGCAAAGACATGGAATCAACCCAAATGCCCATCAATGATAGAGTGGGTAAAGAAAATGGAATATTGTGCAACCATAAAATGGAATGAGATCATGTCCATTGCAGGGACATGGATGGACCTGGAAGCCATTATCCTCAGCAAAGTAACGCAGGAACAGAAAATCAAACACCGAATGTTCTCACTTATAAGTGGGAGCTGAACAATGAGAACACATGGACACAAGGAGGAGAACAATACACACTGGGGCCTTTTGGGGGGTGGCAGGGGAAGGAGAGCATCAAGATAAGTAGCTATTACACGCTGGGCTTAATACCTAGGTGGTGGGTTGATAGATGTGGCAAACCACCATGGCACACATTTACCTATGTAACAAACCTGCGCGTCCTGCACATGTATACCATAACTTAAATAAAATTTTTAAAAAATCAGATTTCCAAGTCATGGCATTTTTATTCATTCTGTAGGAATGGTTAAGGCCAGTGTTATGCACTCACTGACCTTGATCTAGGAATGGCTTCTTGGAATTAGTTTATTTCCTTGTCCATCTCAAGCGTATAACTCTATTCAGAGTTGACAATTTGATTCACATCTTTTATCAGTCATTTCCTCTATGATTATGTAGGGACTGACTGACAATGACAGATAAAACACTTTGCCTAAACAGCATCAGAACTTAGAGATTTATGTATGAAAAAGTGATAATGTTTCTGGGTTGCTGGATTGCAGAGGAGAACTGCCAGAAAATATCACATTTAAAACTCTTAAGTCACTATAAGTCTTGGTGCTTTGAAGAGGGCTTTGGGTGCAAAGTAGTACATGGTAACTACTAAGGCCGGTACCTCTAATAGCTAGCTCCCTGAAATACCCAGGATGGGTTGGTGGTATTAGTAAGTAGTAATAATTATGACAGTGATTTTGGCAATTCTGAGGACTAAATACATGATAGCATGAACTAAAGTCATTGAATTGTCTGCATTATCTGGTATAAGAATCAAAACATTGTGTTTATGGCATCCAGATTGCTGAAGAAGTTTGTCAGATTTTAGTTGCTATGTATTTCTGTGCTTAGATTTTCACTGAATGGACCAGTTGTTTTGGATTTTTTTTTAATTTTAATGAATCAGACACCTCCCTAAATGCCCCATCCCCACTTCCCAATAAATCTTGTCTCAGAGCTTCAAAGAAAGAGGTCAATTCAACCAGTGTATTTATTGGACCTTCAAGTATTTACTTTTTGCTCACAGTTTTTAAGATCAATGTTTTTGAATTTTATAGCAGGGTTTTTATTCTTTTTTGTAGTGGGACTTAAATCAAGGTTTCCATTGACTAAGCCATGATCTTCCATGGTGAGTTGACTTCTTCACAAATGGGCAGATTTTGCCTATGGCATAAATATAATTGATTAATAATATGCTGATAGCTTTACACTGTTGTGATGTAGCAAATCAGCTTCCGCATGGCTAGTGGAAAGAAGGTTGATCTCTTTGTGAAAGGATGCCACTGGAGTTCACCACCAGGGCCCTCAGAGAGCTGAGAATAGGTGTGGGGTGTGCGTGGCAAGTGCTTGGCTCCTACAAAAAGAAATGGCCCCTCTGTCTAGGAGTGTGAGTTTCTGCCACTCACTATCATTCCAGATCATTTCTCTGCAAATTAAGAAGGTGGTATCTGTTTAGTGACTTCTTCTCTTGAGTGTTAGCATCATTATCTAGTGTCAGGAAACCCCTTAGAGGATAGACTGAAAAGGAAGTGCCTGGAGGAATCTCCCTCCCTCCCCTATCATAACAGCTTCTGGCTTCAGGCAAAGGCCAGGTGAGAAGGTGAGTTGCAGAGCCACCAGTATCACTGCCCAGGTGCTGCGTGCCTGAGGACTTCTGTGTCAGGATTCTGCAAATCTAGCTGACAGGTTTTTCTACGACTTTCTAATTAAGTCTGTAAGTGTTGACATCTTTCTTACATATGCGATAAAGAGAAAGGAGGCAGGCAGCCCTGAAAATGAAAAAAGAAGTCAGTTTTAAAAATGTGGAATCTACAGGCAGCAATTTTCCTTTCCTCTATGTGAAAATGACATCAGGAACTTTAGCACACTGGCAGGATCTCATGGGTATAGCTTTCATTGCCTCTTTTTATTCTCTTCCTCAATATTTCCCACTTATAGAAGCTTCTAAATATGTGTTTGATGGCCTGGGTACCCTTTTTTGCTATTTTAACAGCACCTGTGGTAAAGGTGTATCCCAAAGCGTCACTAATGGTTCAGAAGGGTTTCTTTTTGCCCTACTGTGCCAGGATGTTATGAAATAACTTAAAAACTATTTATAACATACCTACTGAAAAGTTTCTGGAATGTGGTAGTTTTCTTCTTTCCCTTTTCCATAAACAGCAAGTGAAATGAGAAGAGGACCTTTTGAAGCCTATGTAAGCCTGCAGAAGGAGCAGGCAGCTGAACCGTCACCAGGCGCCCTATTATTTTTTACTTACATGGAGGTGATCCCTAACCAGTGTGTTTTTCCTTTCTAGAGTAGGGAAAGGAATTTTGGCGGCTTTTGATGTTTGATGCACCTTAAGCAGGCATTATTCAGAAAGGCTTTTGTCAGGATTCTGGCCTGTTTTACAAAAGAGACATAGGACAGAACACCTGGGTTGTACATCTGGGGCATGAGGGAAGGAACAGTTTACTTTGAAAGGGAATTTTCCATTTTCCTTGGGAAGAAGTGAACTGCCTATAATAATGGAAAGAAGAAAGAGTTAGCAATTTAAACAATTTACATAGCAAATTAATAGCATAATAATTATCTATTTGCTTATTTAAAATAGGCCAGAAATGCCTACTTTTTTCATGGAAGATTATTTCATTCCATGTACTAAAATAGAATAACACCATATAGAAAAGCAGTAAAAATGAAATAAGACTTTTGAAAACATATTAATATATGAAATATTTATTATACAGGCTCAGTAGTGTTTGCATTTAATCATTTTTATTGTATATCGGGGTTAGTCATTTCATTCTGAGTTCTGAAAAATGAACATGAGATGTTTTGCAAGCACTGCTTTTTTCTGGAGTGTGCTCTCAGTGGGATTTACTGAGGAAATACTTATTCGTTGAGAGGTGGGGGCATGTGTCTGTAAGTGCATTACAAATGCTTCCCATAGTGGCACTAAAATGATTAGAGGAAATGAGAGGGAAGCCAAGAGCAAGGTTGCTTCTGTGAAATGGATTCTTACTGGTATGCTAAGAGGACTGTGGATGAGTTGGGGAAACTTACTCAAAATATCAGGGAGGCAGTACCTCTTTTCTAGCTCTGTGCTTTGAAGACCACATCTTTCTCTTAGGATCTTTGGATACTAGTCTTTGTACGAGCCTTTTTTTTTTTTTTTAATTGTGTGACCTTTGTGTGAAATAACTATATATTTTTTCTGTTTCCAGAGCATGTTTATATGATTTTCCAAGGATTAGGGCTAAGAGTTGGAACATTTGTGATTTAGCTATTCAGTAGGCAAGAGTTAACTGACTGAATGATGCTGTATTTCAAGTGGAATCACAGTGCAGGGCCATGGAAAGCGGCCCCTCATTGGTAGATTTTCTGTGTTAAATTGTGAGTTCTGTTGCAGGGGAAAGCCTTTTCCTCAGTAAGGTCAGTAAAGTTTAATAACAAAGGGCAGTGGACAAAGTATTTGGTCACTAAATCCAGGTGAGTGTCAGAGCTTGCCGTGTGAGGTGATGTCGGGGACTTGGATATTGGTGTGGAACTGGGTATAGGACTTCATTCTTTTTCAGGCCATTTGGCCAAAGTGGGTGGCATTTGGCAGATGGTTAGCTGGAGCTTGGCACCAACCACTTGGCAGTGTGTAGGGGTGTAACCAGGGTTGTGAAATGGTAGTATCTTCCAACCAGTTCCATGTTTGAGACACCATGATCTGCCATCAACAACATATTCGTCTCTGGAAATGGTTACAGCTATGATTCCTGGCAGTGCCATCCCACACAGACTGCAGAAGAGATTTATAAGGTCATGCCCCAGGCATCAGAACCATCTTGCATAGCCAGTGAACCTCCTGGGGTTGATGTTATGTGGAAAAATGATTCCATTTTAGTGTATGCACTGGCTGAATGGCAGTTTGTGCCAAGGAGGTTTTTTCAGGTCATTTGAAGCTGATAGAATAGCACTGGTTGAGAAATGGCAGCAGGAGAGGGAATGCGCGGGACTGAAATGATGCCCAATACTCTGAGTTTGATAGAAGGTAATTACAGAAGTGAGGGTTCTGGTGTGTGAATAAATGCTAGACAGACCCCTGCATTGCCTAGGAAGCAACATGGAATTTCATATTGGAAAGGAATTTAAATGAAGGAGAGCCCTCATTTCAATCAAATTATAGGCTGCGTTTGGAAAAAAAGTGATCTTGATCTGCCATTGGTTAAAGAAACATTTTAACACTTTCAATGAGTATTTAGGTCCTAAATTCTGTTTCAGGGCTCAGCTAAATTTGAGTCAAGAAATTCTTAAGAAAAAACTTTCTGTTGTATATGGTATCATGCATTTCCTGAGGATTTGATGAATTTAGGGAATCTTTTAAGCTTACTATCCCTTTTCTAGTTTCGATTTTTAAAAACTTTTTCTAGGATAACTGGAATCCAGGAGATCACTTAAAATGGTTTGTGATGACATCACTAATCTAGAGATCGGAGAATAGGTGGGAATTAGGAGAGGCAGTGATAGGAGGTTTGAAATTTGGGCTGTTAACTAAATAGAATGTATTTAACCATGCATACCACTTCTGTTTACTTTTGTGGCCTTTGAAATGCTGTGATTTTATTAGCTAGCCAAATTTCAAGAGTCTGGAGGGGAGAGGCCTGGGAGGAGGCTGAGACACATAGTGGGCAAGAACAGCTGGAGAGAGGCTAAGGACAGGATCAAAGGTACAAGTTTCTTCTTCAACCCTGTCATTCTCATTACCATTTGGGACACACAGGGTAGCAAATCTAGTCACCTTGTAGCAAATGCAGGGTTTAGGCATACAACAGTGTGGAAGGCCTGAATAAAGCTTTCCCCACCTGTAGTTCTCATGCATTATTTATTTCTGATACCTCCGCTGTTTCTCCTCTTACAGCTGCACTCAGTCTGGAAGAGTAAAGGCTACACAGGAAATCCTCAGCTCCTGGCCTAGTGCACTTAGAGAATATTGCCTGCCAATTTGGTAACTACGATAACTGCAGCAATATTCTTGGGTAGCTTGTTTTCAGGACATCTTTAATGAGAGAAGAGGATTTGAGGAGGCTATTAGCCTTGGCTGTACTAAGTTTAGAGTGCTGTCAGTGATCTACTGCATGGATGCCCCCTGCTGATTTCTTCCTTGATTAGTCTTTTCTAATGTTCTTGCCTGGATGCATCTGTGCTGCAATAAGAGAATTAAAATTCATAATCTCTGCTTGGGATCCTGAGGCTGCACTCTGTTCTGGAGCCCAGACGTCTTTTGTTTCCTAGCTTTGCCACTGAAAACAGATTTCCTGGCACGTTGGCTGATAGTTGGATGAGCAGCATTGAACATGAGAAAGAAAATGCTGGGAATGGAGGATGGTCAGTTACAGTCTGTCTGACTCAGAAAAGGGCATTCCAGCTGCTGGAATTACATTAGAAAGGGCTGTCATCAGTGAATACCCATACTGAATCAAGAAAATCAAGAAACCGGGTAAAGTAAGGGATAGGTCATTTTAAGCAAAAAGACGATTAAATAAAATCCTAAAGTAATATTACCCATGATTCCCTGCCACTGTCCTCAGGAAATCAGCTGGTGCTTACCTTCCCCTCCATTCATTTCTTTTTACAACTGTATGAAAAAGTCTGACATGGGGCTGAAGAGTGAGTTTTTACCAAGTAAAACTATAAGAAGTGAGCAGCTGTGCAGGTAACATGAGCTTTGCCATGTGTAGTAGGCCCTGTTCTAGAAAAAGGAGAAAGAATTGTGGGAGGTGAACAAGAGGCATCTGGGTGACAAAACGGTGTATGCTAGCAGTGGCCTGAGAGGCAGCCAGCATTCAGAAACAGAGAGTACACATAGATCTAGGCAAACTAGGCCCTTCCAAAGCAACTGAGATTCCCAAACCTAGAGGAGCTGGCCTGTTAGGTTATCAATGCACCTTAGACACTGGGGGAGTAAGATAGGGACACAGCCCTCCTATGGGGAAGGAATGGATAGAGTTGGACTTTAGTATCTAGACCATAAGATGATCCTTAAGGGTAAATACCATGTATCATGCAAAGTAGGTCTAAATTAATATTTGTTGAATAAGTAAATGAACATGGAAAATTATTTCTTGCTGCTAAGAATAGATTTCAGATATAGGCTGTTAGCAAAGGCAATTTAATGCTGATTTGTTGGTAAGTTGACTTAGATATGTTGGTGAGTTGACAATCCTCTCTCCACTTCTTTCCCAATAGGGGCAGTTTTAGTCATGTAGGGGTGATGCTGAACCTGGTCTGTGTAGAAGAAGCTTACTCTAGAATCTGATCCAGTGACACTAGTTAGATGCAAGAAAAACATAGGAGCAGAAAACATGAATGCCCTTGTATGCTTAGGCATGCTGCTGCCTGACTTTCAAGAAGGGAATACCTTGGAGTTTGTGAACTCAGTGAATTTATACCCTTCCTTTATTTTTCTCCAGAGGATTTAAGGAAGCTATCCAAAGTGTATACAACATAACCCCACATGATAAAAACAGGTAGCAGTCTTGGGCATGACAGCCAGTATGAAAGACTGGCCCACTTTTATAATCTCCCATGTGGGAACAGTGCTTTTACTGAACATGATTGCCTTTGTGATGTTTGCCTTGCAAGGTCGATGAATCTTGCTTTACAAACCTGGTTTGAGTCACATTTAATCATATTTATTTTTCCTACAAACACAAACTCCGAAGTTTAGTCTTAAGTATCATCTAAGTAATCTGGATTTTGAAACCCTGGTTCTATTATATAAGCAGTGATGAATGGAAAGAGTGATATTACACTTCCTTTTTGCAATCTTTCCAAGCTGCAAATAAAATAAATTTGCACCTGAAATATTTATTTAGAAAAAAGTCAAATTCTAGGTTTTGGATGCTTTTTTTCTTGAAATAATAAGAATTTTTCCCTAAAATCTTTTCTTAATCACAATATTTCTGTTGTATGAAGTATTTATGGAGCAAATCAAATCACTCAGTGGTCACTAAATATGTTGTGTTTGTCTGTGTGTAAATGTGTGGTGTGTGTCTTCTATGTGCCCTTTAACATGTGAGTGTTCAGAGTCCTGTCATAAGATGGATTTGTGGTAAGGCAATGTTTCTTAAAGTATGACCTTCTTACCACCTGTGACAGAATCACCTGGGTGCTGGTTAAAATGTGACTATTTTGGCCACTTGTTCTCAATCGTAATTTTTTGAGGCTAAAATCTGGGAATCTATATTTTATATAAGTGCCCCTCCAGTGATTCTGATACAGAGGTATATAAGAATGAATAATTATTTTTTTGATAACATGATTAATACCAAGTGAATAGGAAGTAAGAAGGGAAAGGTCATACTGTTTAAGATATTGGAGAAAAACTTTACAGAGAATGCAGAATCTGAAATTTTCTAGGTGCTAAGGCAGGAAGCAGACATTTTATGCATAAGGAATGGCTCAACAAAAGGTGGAGTTTAAAAGATCAGAAAACCAAACACTGCATGTTCTCACTCATAAGTGGGAGGTGAACAATGAGAACACATGGACACAGGGAGGGAAACATCACATGCCAAAGCCTGTTGGGGGTGGGAGCAAGGGGAGGGAGAGCATTAGGACAAATACCTAATACGTGCAGGGCTTAAAACCTGGATGGCAAACCACCATGGCACATGCATACCTATGTAACAAACCTGCACATTCTGCACATGTATTTCAGAACTTAAAGTGTAATTAAAAAAATCATAAATAGGCCGGGCGTAGTGGCTCACGCCTGTAATCCCAGCTCTTTGGGAGGCCGAGGCAGGTGTATCACTTGAGGTCAGGAGTTGGAGACCAGCCTGGCCAACAAGGTGAAATCCCATCTCTACTAAAAATACAAAAATTACCCGGGCCTGGTGGTGGGCGCCTGTAATCCCAGCTAATCGGGAGGCTGAGGCAGGAGAATTACTTGAACCTGGGAGGCAGAGGTTGCAGTGAGCTGAGATCATGCCATTGCACTGCAGCCTAGATGACAGAGTGAGACTCCATCTTCAAAAAATAAGAATAATAAATAAATAAAAAAAATAAGATCATAAATAGATCTGCCTCATTAAAGTGAAAGATTTGTTTCGCCTAGGGTAGTAGAAGGAGATATTTGTATGGGTAAGATGAATCAAGCTGTAATGAGGGGCTTCTGAGAGATAAATTTACTGGAATTGAGCTCAAGGGGAAAGCCACTGAAGGTAACATGTAATATTAGGCCCACATGAATTATTTTTCTGTCACCTGACAAAGACAGAAATGGGCATGATCTCTAGAATTTTGGAACAGAAAAATGAACCCACGTGATTATAGGAGGAAAACCATTTGGGAAAAATGTATTTGGTTTTATACTATTTGTTTAGCACAAGAGATATGGATAGAAATTAGTCTGTCCAGACACCATCTTTACAATACAAAGTCACCTTTCTTTATCTTAGTCTCATGTTGTGATTTCAACATAAAGCTCATTTTTACAAATATCTAAGTCAGAGTCACTGTGTGTATGTGTTCCATTTATTTGTATATGTTACATAAGGTCTTTTTCACCTTTCTTTTATTTCCGTCTCTGTAGCCAGTCTAGTGTAAGAATTGAGAATGGGTCCTTAGTAAATCACAATTTCTTCTTTTTCATCTCATTTGATGTACATACTAACCCTGTGAGACAAATCAACAGGCTTCATTAGGGCATTTTAGCTGTGAAAACCAAGTGGGGGGAAGTTAAGTCCTGTGGTGTGCTCAGTGTCATGCCTGGCTCCATGAAGCAGGTCGAGCCAGGTTTCTGGATCCCCAAGCCAGTGCTTCTTCTCTTTATACACTGTGGCTTCTTTGAATGGACTTGCTGATTTCTCCGACCTCATCCTCATCCCAGAGAGAATCTTGTACAAACCCATCTCGCTGCATTGCAATTCTTCGTTGACTTTTTTGTCTATGTGCTGTACTTGATTCGGAGTGCGCTTTTTGAGGCCTGGGGTTATGTCTCTTTCCTCTGTATCTCCCCAGTCATGGCACGTAGTAAATAGTTATGTTGTAATATTAAATGAAAGAGTGTGTATAATTTTGTGGTTAAAACTAAAAATAGTCAAAAAGACATAATACTGGACGATGAGAACCCAGGGGGCATCAGTTGTTATTTTTCTCTCTCTTGTATTCTCAATTCCTGGCACAGTACAGCACAGAGTAAGTGCTTAATCAGTATTTATTGCATGAAGAAATAGAGGAAGATGAGCAAGGACTGTCACAGGTAGAAAAGAACTTGATTTGAACCCTGAACCTGGTAGAATAAGTAGGCATTTCCTAAAGGGCACCAAGCAGGAAAGGGATTCTAAGGATAGTAATTGCTGTGAGTGGAAGACTTGGGAGAATGAATGAGGAATTGGTCCTTATGAGAACTAAATAATTATTATTTTTTCTCTCTGAATGGTTGCTGTGTGTATAGTGCAGATGAGAAACTACCAGATACTTTTTTTTAAATTGAGAGTAGAAAATTACCATATCCTTAAAGGTTTTGAAATGTCCTTGGTGAATGCAAGGATCAATTTTTTGACAAGTGTAAGGGGTGCTTTAGACTGTTATGTTCTGGCATCGTTAATGGACAAGCAATATGTTGGTTGATGTGAGTGTCTCCTAATGGAGATTGGTTAGGAGCTAACGGTCTGCATGAGCATTTTGGGAAACTGACACTAAAAGCTGATGAAGTTCGTCATCTCAGGTAAAGCCAGAAGGATCTGTGAAAGAGATAAGGATTGGAACAAAATGATGGAAGAGTGGATGTTGGATCTCTATGTCCTAGTGATTTTCATCAAATGAAAGTAGTTACATAAGTTATTTCAGTTAGGTGGCAACTGTGATTGTTCCTTGCATTTCTATGAATGAGGCTGTTGTAAGTGCATTCTTATTAGGAAATATGGCATGTTAACTAAAATCCAAAGCCATTTCATGACTAATGCCACTTACCATAAAGCTGACCTTTGACTGTGTAGTTTTAATTGGATATAGCACCTGTTATTTGGGCTTTCTTGACTTAATGGAGAATTCATAGAACTGGCATTTCAAACAAATAATGTTTCTGAAACGCTCTCATACTGAAAAATGGCACTGAAAATGTATTCTGAGTAGAATTTTAAATCTGAGGAATATGATATGCATAAAAATTTGACTTTTGTGCAGTGGCATCAAAAATTTTCTCTAGGACTGGTGTATTTATGTGAGAGTTCACCGGGCCAAGTAGACTTAATTATGAGACTAAGTGACTTTATTTGCATCTGTGCTGGTGGCAGAATAGGAAATTCTAATTGTGAGAAGAACTGTGGGACGGGACCACCCACAGTAACATTGTGATGAAAGTAAAACTGAGAAATATTGAAATAGTAAATGTACAAAAAATAGGGTTCACCTACTGCTCACTCTCTAAACTTTTATCCATGGGGGAATCTGGGAGATAGATTCTCAAATATTTTAAAGAAAATATCTGACCTCAGTATACTCCTTTTAATATGCTTACAATAAAACTGTATGGGATAAGGCTGGGCGCAGCGGCTCACACCTGCAATCCCAGCACTTTGGGGGGCCAGGGCGGGCGGATCACCTGAGGTCAGGAGTTTGAGACCAGCCTGGCCAACATGGCAAAACCCCATCTCTACTAAATATAACTAAAA
Source organism: Homo sapiens (assembly GCF_000001405.40). Classification (NCBI taxonomy): domain Eukaryota; kingdom Metazoa; phylum Chordata; class Mammalia; order Primates; family Hominidae; genus Homo; species Homo sapiens. The sequence goes on from NC_000002.12 coordinate 56,304,901, forward strand.
AAAACAAAAAACAAAAAACAAACAAACAAACAAACAAAAAAACAAAAAAAAAAAAACCTGGGCGTGGTGGTGTGCACTTTTAGTCCCAGCTATTCAGGAGGCTGAGAGAAGAGAATCGCTTGAACCCAGGAGGCAGAGGTTGCAGTGAGCCTAGATTGTACCACTGCACTCCAGCCTGGGCGACAGAGCAAGACTCTGCCTCAAAAAAAAAAAAATATAGGATATTATCCTCAGGATAGTTAGGAAAATAAAAAAAAGTATAATGGTGGTCATGATTATATTTAGGACATTATACTACTGGTACATGATCATTTTAAGGAATGGAGATGAATACATATGTTTACTAGTAATGGCTAGTGTTTACTGAACAGTTAGTTTAGCAAATACAGAATAAACTTATTTGATCTTCCAACAAGCATGTGAGGTAAGTATTATTTATTATCCCCATTTTACTGATGAGTACAATGAAGCACAGAGAGGTTAAGTAACCTGCCCCAGGTCAAACAGCTAGTAAGACATAAAGTGGAGATTTGAACTTGGGCAGTCTTTGGTTCCTGTGCTGTTAAACGCTGTAATCCCTCTGTGTTTATAGAATTGGAAGTTGGAAGAGTACTCTGTAGTATGCAACGTCTACTGCCAGAGTTATTCAGAAGGCAAGGGCACAGCCCATAGATAATAATGTTTTCAAGAGATTCTATAATTTGTATATTTGCCTCACAGGCAGCAGGATTAGGTTTCAACAATGACACAAGTTTCATTACAGGCAGAATCCAGCAAATTGTATCTCAGCATTCACTGATTAAAGTCATGGTCTTGGGTTTAATTGATTGGCTGGTTTATATGCTTAAAATTCAATATTGATATTTACAAGTGGACACATTGGCTTTGATTAATTGCCGAATTTATTTCAGTACAGCTTACTTCTGATTGTGTAATCAGCATTGCTGATTTAATAATCAAGTTCTCCTGCTTCCCAGATAATGACATTAGGTACCCAAAGTGACAATGTGAAGATTGACACATTTCTTTTTAATTGAACTATAAATTCACTCCAAGAAGTGATTCTCTTGTCTCTTGCTCTCTTCCTTCTTTCATTGCCTTGACAAACATCATATTAAGTCTTGCTAAGTGCCAGAACTATGCTAAGTGTAATGGCTACAGTGATGAATATAACAGGAAGGCTGTGCCTGTCTCTCCTTTTACTGTAAGTTTTGCGAAACTTCCAGTGTATGAGATCCTTTTTTTTGAGATGGAGTCTCACTCTTGTCGCCCAGGCTGGAGTGCAATGGTGCAATCTCAGCTCAGTACAACCTCCGCCTCCCGGGTTCAAGCGATTCTCCTGCCTCAACCTCCCAAGTAGCTGCGATTACAAGTGCCTGCCACCACACCCAGCTAATTTTTGTATTTTTAAGAGACTGGGTTTCACCATGTTGGCCAGGCTGGTCTTGAACTCCTGACCTCAGGTGGTCCACCTGCGTTGGCCTCCCAAAGTGCTGAGATTACAGGTGTAAGCCGCTGTGCCTGGCCCAGATCTTTTTAAACAACAGTTATTTTTGAGTTGGCTTGAAAATGCTTGATAGAAATATTCAAATTTTAACTCACATTATATAACTACTTATACAACCTTACATCCAAATGTCAGAAAAAAATGGGTTTCTCAATTAATGACATTTGGATGTATGGTTGTATAAGCAGTTATGTCATATGAGTATAAATTATAAATGCTTTATTACTGTATACAGTAGCCTCATGCAATTAACGACCCATACTATTTGCAACTGGAGATCTTCTAGGTATACTAAAATTTCAAGTAATTTTTCTATCACTTGGCTGGGCAATAGCTGTTTGTTGAACCCCTACTATGTGCCAGACCTAAGCTAGATGTTGAGTTACAGCAGTGAGAAAGATGCAGTGCCTTATCCTGTCAGACGAGACAATCTAGTAGGATACTGCCAGACTTGATGAGGTTATTGTCTGATATGAGTTAATTTTTTTTTTCTAGCTGTTACCATGTTAGGAAGACATTTTTTCTAGTTCAGGAAATTTTAGCCCATTTTGGAATGATTGATTGAAAATTTAGTATAGTGGTTTTGCTTCATCCAAAATTTATGTGACCCTCTACTAATTTTAGATAGAGAGAGGATTAAGCATTTTATAAAAATTCAGGAACTACAGCCCAAATCAGAAAAATCTAGGGGATTATCTTTATAATTTAGTTCCTATGCTTTGAATAGAAACAAGCCTTTATATAGAAATTGTTTCTTATAAATAAACTGCTTTCAAACTCATTTGTCATTTTATTGCACGATACAGTCTTATCAGTTAGGGGGATTATCTACTTTTAAGTATGCAAAGCAAGAAAAAAATGATAGATAAAGTTTGTCATGATGAAATATATTAATTCTAGAGTGCAGAAATTATCATATATGCTTTTTTTAAAAAAAAACTGTGTTCAAGTCCCAGTACAATCAGGTCGTTGTAATCAGGCTCCTTGCAGTCTCCCTACATTGGCAGGAGTAACACTAGTGCCTAACCCAGTGATAGGAGGTAGTGTAGAAATTTAATGAACTAATAAGTTTGTGTTGAGTAAATGGTTCTTTTTTGCATATTGAGTGACACTGACACATGAAAACGGGGTTTGCTCTTCTTTATTGATGTCATAATTAGCATATCATTAATTGAATGTTTATTTTGTGGCAGTTATTTAATTTGGTTATTTCTTATCCTTATAGTAATTCCACAAAGTATTCTTATCTTTATTTTACAGGTGAGGAAACTGAGGCTCAGGGAGATTAAAGACTGCCCAAAGTAATGTACCTGAAAATTGAAAACACCAGGATTAAAACGCATGTCTCCATGGCTTTAAAATTCGTGTCTTTTTCTCATGCTATGTCATTTTACTTAGCAAGGCAAGATGGTGGGTATGGACAAGTGGATGTAACTCATAGATAGGACTGAGTGCTTCGAGCAGTGTCTTTTGCCATTTAAAGTGAGCTAGGCTATGCATGAGAATGCAGAAAAGAAAAGCCTTTCTGAACACAGCTATGATGACATATTTTCAACAGTAAACACTTAAGTGTCTTTAGGAAGTGTGTTTTACATGTGTCACTCTAATTCTGAAGTTTACCCCAATAGCTTCCTATTTCTACTCTCATAGCATGAGTCGACCTTTAAGGAGAATATCTGGAGACTTGGTGGTTTGACAGTACCAAATCATTTCAGGCAACTCTTGACACTTCCTCAAACTAGTTGTGAGAAGCCAGTATAGTTCACCATTTTCAGACATTTTGTCAAACAAGACATTTCATATTTATCAAAATATTTCTGTTCTGAAACCCAATCTTTGAGCTGTCTGTCCCTCTATAGAGACAACTCCTCCCTTCCTCCCACTCAAACTATCTGGGACTAAAATGGAAGACAGTGTTGGGGGAACGTTCATCAACAAATTTATCCAAGAGGTCTGGACCCATTCAGTGTACATTTGAGGGAGTGGGTTTTATTTCGGAAGCTGCTGAACTTAGAAGATCAACTTAATGTTGGAGGTGGCAAGATGAGCTTTCTTTTGGATTCAGAAAAGCTGAAGTTCAAAATCTGGCTCTGTTGCCTTCTAGGTAGGCAGACATGGAAAACAACAACAACAACAACAACACAATTTCTATGAACTTTGGTTTTCCTCAACTGAAAAATAGGACCTAATAATACCTACCTTGAATATTTGTTGGAAGGTTCTGTTTCTACTTGATACTGACATTCCCTGAAATTTAAGAGGAAACTTCATCCCAAATGGCATTTGTTTATGAGGAGGAAGAAAGAGAACTCATATGTATTGAAAGTCCACCTGGCCCGACTTGTTTGGCAAATCTGCTGCATACACTTTCTCATTGACCGCTGCGCTGTAGTAGAGACAGTGTGACTGGCTTTGGAGTCACATAGACTTAGGATTGAATCCTGGCCGTGTAAATTCCAGGCTGTTGGATGAAGAGAAGAGAAGGTGGTGACAGTTGCACCTTTTGTCAAGAGTGAGCTGGGAAAAGTGAGGGGCAGCTCTTCTAGAAGCCAGAACTCTGTTTTGGAGGAAGGGAGATCTGTGGGTTCCTCAGCTTTCAAAATTCTCCAACTGGGACTTGGGATTGTGCTCTCTATAGAAATAATAGGAAAGTACCATTATTAATACGATAGTTCTGCTGTACTGAGAGTTAAATATGATATGGGAACATGGGCATTATTTCTATGTAAAAGAATTAAACTTTTTATAAGAAGGATAGCCATCTATAGAGTAAAATTTCAGAGTTGTATTTCTTGTTCAAGGAGAAAATAATCAATTTATGATATGAGACCTTTCTGTGATGGTTCAAATTAGATTTCTTGACATCAGACCTAGCTCTTAAATCTAATAAGCAGCTACACAGATCGTAGCAGTTTTGCAGATGTGTTTTATGGACTTCAGCTTGCAGCACATTAAACGACACTGCCAGCTTAATTATAATAAAAGCTTCACAGACCCTAGTTGGCATTACAGACTAGGTTTCTAAAATATTTTATGGTATAGTGATAGTTTATTTAATGTCACAATGTAAGATATTGCTCAGAAAATAATGGTGATCCTAAGTGAGATGTGACAAGATTGTGTATAGTGTTTGGTGAACAGTAAAAGTGATTTTACAAATAAAGTTTGGGGCAGTTGGATGAACTAGGACAGATAAGTAAACTGGGGAAGAGGAATCTCCTTGGTAATGGTTCATCTTTGGACAGTCACATTTAGAAAACAGTTTTAGGAAGGTTTTTGAACAAATTAAAGAAGCTACTGTGTATCCCAATGTAAAAGGTTGTCATTGACTTTGACTATTGTGCTGAGGACCTAAAAGGATGCGTGCTGAACATTTGAATGCTTCTGAGAATGCTCTGGGGTTTTGGCAGCGGGGTTTGAGGCTGGCTGCATCACAGCATGGTTGGCTGAATGTCAGCTTCATGTACAGACTTTTTATGGCTGCATCTTAAGTGATTATAATATAATGTGCACTTTGCCCGAGAGAGAAAAATATTATTTTTCCTTGTCCTTCAGTTCTTTGCCCTTTATATATTTGCACAAGGCCCTGGAGGAGTCACACTATTCACACCATCACCTTTTACCTGTTTGTTTCATATGAGATGTGAGGAACTAAAGACCTAAATAAATTACTTTCTCCAGGTCTCGTCCAACTTGTGACAGGAGTAGAGCCATTTTCTGTCTCCATTTTTAACCACTGTTTAACCTACACTTAGAGTTTACAGTGAGACAGGGACATACCTCGGGTAAAATGTCATGACCGTGTTGACTGATGCAACTGATTGCTGAGTGGATGCTGGCTTATTTTGACAAGGGAGAAGTCTAGGTAGGAGAGCTGTACCCTAATACAGGACACAGTTTTTGACTGACAGGACCAGCTTAGGATACTGAGGAGGTTAGCTCATATTCTTGCAGGAATTTAGTTTTCTGGTACTCAGTCCTGTCAATTGCAGCTACCAGAAGCAACGAGAAATCCCAGTGTTTATCTTGGATGTGAAAGACATCTCAAAATAATTCTTTTTAGACAAAATGGCTTTCCTTTATTCCAACTTATAACGTGGCCTAAGCAAGTTTGGACCACAGTGATGATTATATATTAGGAACCAAGTCAGTCCAGACCAGACCAGTCAAGCAAATGACAACAAAAAATTTGATCTACTTCAGCATTTGAGAATGCCCATTTAAAGATGTGCCCCACAGATGACAAAAGAAAAATGGGATTTCTGTTATCAGAGCTGTTCCCCTGACATCTAACTATAAGGTCTACAGAACTGTGTATTGCTAAGAAAAAAAAGCACCCAGAATTTTTCCAGGATGCTAGATGGAAGCAAGGTTATATGGACAACTGCACGTGCTTTTCAGAAAGTGAGGATTAGTTCCATCTATTTTCCACTTCAGTTTGGTAGATGTGAATTGACAGAAACCATGAAGACTGGCTAAAGTCCTGTTTTTCCCAGAGCTTGAGCCATTTGTCTCTCTTGAATTCAGATCGTCAAGGAACTCTTAGTCCTTGCAATGCTGGTGACTTTTGGGGAGAAAATATATAACGGGACTTTTGATATTCACATTTCCCCTAAGTTCAACGACAGTGTCCTTAGACCTTTCCATGGATATATTATTTCTACATGCTGGTGTTTTGACTTATGACATAAGCTAGAAATAATGATTTTGATTCCTATTTTGTTCCAGTTTTAAAAATTCTTTAGAATTCTTGGTTCCCTGGTGATAAGGCTGACAGAGAGGGAAATACACACACTTTCATGTCTCAAATTCTATAGTCAATTATTTGGAGCAGCCTTCCTCTTCCACTGCTTCCTATTTCACTCCTGCCCTCATTAACATTGCATAATTCATGACATTCCTCAGGTCTCAATGCCTCAACCTGTTTATTTGACAGTTTCCATCAATGCTCAAACATAGGATTTTGGCTTTTGCTGTTTTTTAGCTATTCTGGTGAGAGTTGTTTTGAGACTGCTTTTAAAAGCTTAAGCTAATGATCTGTTCATCGTTGTTTTTTTTTTTAATTTTATTATTATTATACTTTAAGTTTTAGGGTACATGTGCACAATGTGCAGGTTTGTTACATATGTATACATGTGCCATGTTGGTGTGCTGCACCCATTAACTCATCATTTAGCATTAGGTATATCTCCTAATGCTATATGACTTTGCAGTGGAGAGAAAGTAACTAACATTTGGTGAGAATCTAACCGCATGTTCAGGCACTGTGCTAAGAGCTTTCCTATGAGTTTAATTTATCTTTATAATAATTCTCCCAAATGTAGCAATATAATTTCCCTTTTGCAGATGTAAAACCTGCTCTAAAGGCTGTGTAACTTGCTCAAGGTCTCACCATCGGTGCAGGGATTCAGGGTTTCATAGCGCTCTATTTCTGCTCCTCAAAGGGTTGTCCATGGAAAAGCAGCAGCAGGAGTTACATCCCAGCACAAACCTCCTGAACCAGCATCACATTTTAACAAGATCCACAGGTGATTTGAGTGCATATTAAAGTTTGAGAAGCCCAGCTGTCCTTGGAAGCTCAGATAAACTGGAGGCTACAGTAGATAAGGACGGTCGGGGCACTTGCTTCTGAGTGGCACTGTTTGGCTGTGATATTGGGCATCTGCTTTTCTATCTTTGAATGAAGCGAAGGATAAGAAAAAATGATTAAGAGAAGCACTGAGTGAATGGTAACTTGCAGACTAATTTTTGAGGTGTAGGAACGTGACTGTCACTATGATTAATTATAGCAAACATCTATCAAGCACCCTGAGGGCAGCTCTCAGTTTATGGAATGATTTAGAGTGCCTGTTTGCACTCTAAATTTATGAGGAGAAAATGTGACCTAAATTAGAATTTCGTGGACTGTGTTGGAACGCCTGGAGACAGTGCTAAAAATGCAAGAAATCATTAATAATTAAATGTTTAATGTTTATTATAGTGACTCCAGAAGTTTAGGTTTGAATGTATAATGTAATAAAGTTGTATTTTGTGATGTAGTTACAATTTATGATGCATTAGGGCCCTTTGTATAATCAGTATGTACCATGTATGCTGCCCATAATACAGGTTTTGAAGAATAACTTTACTATTTTACATGATTATAAAGATTTATGATGATTTTATTTTTGCTTTTATGACATTATAGACCATATCTGTGATACCTATAATACCAAATCCTTGGTCAGAAACAAACACCCAATTACAGTACAGTCCCAGTAGGAAGACATGATTGGTTTTTGAACATCTACTTTATAAAATGATTTTTAAGGATTTTAACTTGGCAAAAAGGAAATACTTTCTGTGCAGCACTTTCATTTTAACATTCGTTTATTTGGTAGTTATTCAGCACCTATTATGTACTAAGTAAATTGATCTCTAATTTTGCAAATCTGACTATTTATAAGTCTTAAAACTGATTTGATATATTTGTAGTTTTATATATCAAGGATAGACTTGTTAGTCTGTAATCCTGACATACAAAAGCAGGATAACTAAGTTTGTAGAGAGCACTTTATGCTTTTAAAAATGCTTCTATATGCATTGTCTTATTTAATTCTCACATTGGTTAGGTCTTAACATGCTCATTTTATGGAAGGATAGATGATGCATTAGATGAACTTGTTGCCATTTGCATCCTGAAAGTCTTTTATTATGTTTATAGATGAGGAATTATATTGTCCTGAACATTCATGGCTGTTACTCTTTGTACAATCCAGTTGGCGACTAGTCATGTTCTTTTTTGTTGTAACTCTGTCTTCTATTTTTATCTTAACAGTCTTTATGTAAGACTTTAAGTAATATTTATATTTTTATACATTTCAGTTTTATTTTCCCAACTAGCCTGCAAATCTCATGTGTGCTATATCTCTTCATAATTATAAAGCAGTATTAACTATTTTTTATAGTCCTTATAGTACCTGGCACATTGTAGGCCTTCAGTAAAGGTAATTGAATCTGAAGTGGGAATAAGGAGAACTGATACCTTGATTTGCATCCTACCTTCATTTGTTTCATTCTCTGGGCAGTATTTTTGATTTTAGGCCAGTCAAGCTTGGGGCTTCCCTCTCTTTTTCCAGGCTCTTGCTTTAAGCCATGTCATTGCACAGCAGACCATGGTGCAACAAAGAGGATTTGGAGCCCTGTATACTCAGTTTTGCCAAACGTTTACTGCTCTAATAAATCATCTATTGGCTAAGCTAACTTTGGGGAATTGCCTATGGACTTTACTTCTATTTGCCAGCCCCATCTGGTTGCCATGGATACTTGCTGTGGCAGAAGGTTGTCCTACAGGCACTGGAACATGATGTTGCCTGTGGCAACAAATAGCTCAGTGGGCAGCAGAAGGAACAGGGGTGGGACAGGAGTACCAGGTACTCACAGGGAGGGCAGGGACTTTGGTTGGACTCAGCAGAAGCTATAAGAGGCATTCTAGTCAGATAGTCAGGGCTGGGCCTGGCCTGTTCAGGGAGCATGTGATACCAGGAGATAGTGTTGTTGTAAGCAGGTAATAAGCATTGAGGAGGTCCATTAAGGGCAACAGGTGAAGTTTTGGCTGGTGATCAGCCATGTTGTCAGGGGGATTCTGGAAGCAGGTAATCTGCAGAGATCAGGTGAGCTAGGAGTTGAGATTGGATCTAGTATGAAGCAGAAAAGACCAGGGACGGGAATCAAGGGCAGTCTTGAATGAGCTCGGGCACTTAGCCATAGTGGGAGGGTGGAAGCAGAGCCTCAGGATTGTCAGGAGAGAAGGCAGGGCTAAGGCATAGCTGCCGAGCAGAATTGAACCTGTGGTCAGAGCTGGGGTCAGATGTGTGATGGTATAGAAGAGATAGTACTGACCTAGAGTAGAAAATTTTGACTTCTGATCCCTGCTCTTCCACATACTAAGCCTGCAATCTTTAGGAAGTTTTTTTTTCTTTTTGCTTCTCTAGGCCTCAGTTTCCTCATCTGTGGAATGAGAAGGGTGGGTTGATGTGTATTTTGCAACGTATGACTTGTGTAGAGTTTTCCTTTCCAAAAAGCATTTTGTGTTAAAATAGTTTTGGAAGTGCTGCATAGTGTATGTTCCCCCATCATTGCCAAGATTTATAATGCTCATTATTATCTTAAAATAGCCAGTGATGCACTATGATTTTATTTAGTCTAGCAATTCTGAAACTGATTGACCATGGAATATTTCTTCCCCCAGTTTGTTGATTTGGTGAGGGATTCTGGAATTGGAAGGGATATAGCTTGGAAAAGACTGGACTCACTGATTTCTCAGATGCCTGCCATTTGAGCATACCCATGCATTTATGAGGCTGTCCAGTTGGGTGGCCACAGAAGGTTCCTTCCCTTCCCACAACTTTAACTTGGTATTTCCTTCTCCTTTTCCTCTTGAGAGTTATAGTATAGACGCTACTGCTGTTTGGAGTTTCCTGTCTCCCAGCACTGGAGCACTTGGTCCCTGGTTCCCAGATCATCACTTAGAGGAAAGGGTGTGGATAGAGACTGTAATTGTTCCTCCTTCCCTTCCCAGAGCCTGGTGTTGGTCTTAAAGTCAGCCTCCCCACATCTGCTTCTATTGCCTTACTAGAAGAACTTCTCTTTCTCCCATCCCCCTTTGCTTCATCTGTCACAGGCTTCTGGAAAACTAACCTCCACACAGAGCATTATTTTCGCCACTGGGAATGTGTTTTCCTCTTTCAAAACAACTCATTTACAAATAAACTTTTGGAATTCTGCCCATCCCATTCCACCTCCCATGAGATTGACTGAGGTAATTCCTTACATACAATCTGTTTAAACATTTTGTTATCAAGAGTAGGAAAAAATACTAATTGTTTTGCCAGCCTGCATTTTGGATAAATAACTAAAGAACAGCTCACTTTTTCTCCCCCTCCCAGCGGCCTTTTGGGAATGGGAAGATTTTATAAAATAAACTTGGTGCAAATAAAAGTGACTTTTTTAGTGGTTGAATCAAGTTATGGTAATAATTTTGAGACTGAAAATATTTACTCATATAGCAAATACTTATGCAGTTTTTACCATGAGAGTAATATTGTGCCAGACACTGTGGGATATCAACCAAATGCCCTCAAGTAATGCATGTAACTGAGTAGGTAAGACCACCATATGGAATCAATTAGAATGGGATTCAGTGTTAATCTGTATGCTATTCCATTGAGTTAAGGGAAAGTATGGTATGAATTCAGAGATGGGACTGACCCTTACAGGCTGATTTAGTCAGTGGGGGCTCTGCCAAAATAGAAGGCTATAAGGGCCAGCTCTTGAAAGATAGGTGGGATTTGTAAATTTTGCAAAGGGGTAGTGTTTAGATGGATGAATGCACACAAGCAACTCAAACCTTCTCAAATAAAATATATTTGAGACTCTGCTGTGTGCTAGGCAGTGTATTTCATATTATGGATAACAGTGAGAATTCCCTCTTTGAGGCAGGCAGTAGGTGTATAGGACCTGTGAGAATGAATGTATGTAACTAGAATAACTGAGGGAGCAACTAATCCCAACTTCCCTCCTTAGTTTGAAGTCAGAATTTTCCCAGCTTGGTGAAATTCTGTAGGCCAGCTACACTAGGGGGTCAGCTTGGTGTTGGGACACCTGGATTCAGACGGAATGTTGGCAAGGAACATAGTGTCAAGGTTATCCCTGAGACATATTTGTCAAAATAACTTAAGAGATTTGGGTTAGTTAACAGCTGAGATTATACATTTCAAATACAGTGTTGGCAGTTTTCATGTGGAATCATCCTAAGAACTGCTCCAGCGTCAAATTTGGTTTGGACAGCTTTTAACCATTAATCTCTGGCAGGACACAGTTGGCTTATATAATTCTCCTATAAGCTATTCTTGCATATTAGTGGAAAACTGATTTATATCTTTTTTGGATTTTTTTTCTCGTATATATTTAGACAAAACCTCAGAATGTTCTGTTTTATACTGGGTCTGAGGACCCACACAAAGGAACTTTGTTTCTGTTGAGTGCATAGGAAGATCAGCCCAGTGACTTACCTGAATTTTATTTTTAACTTTGTTATTTACAAAATTGACAGGTTATTTTTGAAGCTCAGTGGTCAATTCTTTTGAAGCCATTGAAGTGGTTTACTGGTGTAGATATGATCTTAGTACTCGAAAAAACTCACTTCACTTAGCTAGATCCCATCTGCCCTATCAGTTGAATAGAGACAATAACTATTGTAAGGATAAAGCAAAAAGTGTTGAGAAATTTTTTAGTAAGGGGATGTTCTGTGAAGTATACTCTTAAGGATTTTTATTTTTGTACAGACACATAGTTGACTGCCCATAAATGTTTGCTGAATAAATGTGTGACTGAAGATTCCCACTTCTGTTTCAGGCAGTTATTCACAAAATGGCAAAATGTCACTTTTTTATGGTAAGCAGGCATCATTGACATTTATTAAATTGAAAGTATTAACAATAGTTGCCACAGAGATTTTTAAAAAATGTCTTTTTCTTTTTGTATGTCTTATCGTACATGGCTAGAAAAACATCCCTAAACCAGAGTTACGATTTTTCTTCTATTTTCTGTTAAAGTGGACTTTCTATTCAGACGGCAAATTTTAGCTTCAAATATTGGGAAATTAACTAAGGTTATCTCATGTTATAAGAGATGTACCTGTAAATGGAAGATGGCAAAGTGGAAGATTTTTCTTATCATTAAATGCCTGTATTTCTCATAGCCAAGTCAATTCAGCTAAGACTTGAAGGCACCAATTATTTCAGATTTTTCTTTCAAGCAGCAAACTTTAATGAAAATATGTAGTTACTCTGATTTCCTTCCTATCAATTTAAGCAATTTATCTGTAAATATATTTTCCACAAAATAAATTCCAAGTTAATTGGAGATTTACTTTCCATATTAAGGAACACGCTCACCCTTGTATGGAGTGATCCAAAAGTCTACACTGGCATTGCCAGTATAGCATTTCTCTGAGATCTTCTCTCCAAATGAAACATTATGCCATTTTTCATAAATATTAATGTATGAACTAAGGCTGTCTCTCCTGTCTTGCAAAGCTAAGTGGAAAATTAAACACTTAACCAGGCAACTCAGTTCATCTGTCCCCAGACTCTTCTTTTTCCTCATTAAGAGGAAATTTCACGTGAAATATTGGAATTGTATTCATAATTGGAAATTAGTTTTTCAGGAAGGACTGAAAAAGGGTGCTTATTTCAAAGCTCCCCTGCAGATTATTTTGATTGATGCCCTTGAACAATTCTTTGGAGTTTAAACTTTTAGAAGTCTCCATTTTGGTTTGGAAAAAGGAATGAAAATGATTTTTTAAACTCTAAGTTGTTCACAGATCTGCTTGCCTGTAGCTATGTAATCTCCAGTTCCCATTTTCTCTATCCACACCACCTCCATTCTCAAGTAGGAGCCTTTATGTATGAAGTTGGGGGATTACCTATGATCGCTTCACTCTCTCCTTGACTAACCAGATTACCACAGAGTATCCAAAATCCAATCCATCTTCTTTATTCTTGTAGTAAAGGCTGATGTCTGCTATGCATTTCATCTACTCAAACACCTTCTTTTAGCATTTTTGTGTAGTCAGTCCAAGATGTTAAAGCCAATATAATTTGTCTTATCTGTGCCTATCAATACATCACTTCCTACAGAGACTTAATAGAATTTTAGAGCGAGAAGGAATCACATGACCTTGATCACTCAGCTGGTTTGAGACATATATAAGACTTAATGCTTAATATTCTTCTTTCTTATTGTGTTCTCTATTTAAAAAATACTTTGCTGTCCTTCCATCGATGGCCTGTGACACTCTGCGTGACTTTTCTCTGCTTGTTTCATAGGCTAGACCCTAATGAGGAAGGCTGTTTTTCAGTTCCTTCATCGTGCTAAGCTCATCCACACTGCAGGGACTGTGCATGAGCTGTTGCTTCAGTGTAGAATGCTCATCCTCTAACCACGACTGGCTTTCATTCATTCATTGGTTAACAACTTAAATTGTCATTTCTCAGAGAGGCCTAGTCTGATCATCCAGTCATTCCTTCAGTGCACTTAACACATTTAAAGATATTTTTGTTTATTTTCTTGTTTCTTATCTATTATTACCTGTTTATTTATTCTTCATTATATTTCAGCATCTGGAACATTCAAATATTTATTGCATAAATATACTGTTTATTGATGAAATTTTTTGGCCCAATTTAAATGTTTATTAACAGCTAGAGTGTAATTAGTCAGTTTACTAACACTAATTGAACAAATTTTGTGTGCACAGTAATTTATTCAATGGTACTCCAAAACATAAGGCATTCACTTCCCTTTGAATCTTTGTATTCATTTGTATTTATCTGGTTTTCACTCCTATTTCAGATTCCCAATGCTTATGTTTAGTGCTCCATGCAGTAGTCAGTGCACTCAATGAAAACTGCTCTTTCTTGCTGGTGTTAAGTATAGATGGCTGAGTGACACAGCAGCCCATGAAAGCCAAGGACAGGAAGCTAGTCTGAAGACTCTGTGGGCTGCTATAGGTAGAAGATTGTGCACCAATGATGATTGTAGTCCTAGATCTGCCGTCATGATGCTGGAGCAGGAGCAGAGTAAAGCAAGCAACCATCTCTGCTGGAGAGAGCCAGAAATGGGGAGGTGAGGCGTGGGTGGTGATATCAAAACTGTAGTTAGCACTAGAATGGAAGCAGGTAATAATAAATAGCTAGAAGGAGCTAAATACCAGGCAGTGTCTTTGGTGATTTACACATAGCAACTCAATCTGTACAACAACCTTGTGGTGTAGGTACTGTTATTAACCCATTTTTCAAATGGGAAAACTGAGACACAGGAGTTTAATAATGTGCCCAAGTCCACAGAGTACATACTGGAGCCAGGATTCAAACCCAGGCAGTCTAGCTCTCACATCAATGCTTGTAACTGCTAGTCCACAACACGTTCCAGATGATGTTTTCAGGGAGCTGGTTCTTAAAGAAGCATAAAGGGAATATTGGCAAAAGCAGGGTAACTCTTAAGCACCAGAACAAATTTCAAAAAGAACTCACTAACTCCTGGTAAATGCTGTTTTGCAGTAAATAAATGTTTCGCACTCTTTTTCGATGCTGATAAAAGTAAAATATAACATATGGAAAAGACAATAGAATAAATAAACAATGAATATAGCTGACACCACAATGATGCTGAATGTATGAGGAATTGATACCAAGTAAATCTGCATTTTATGCATGTACCAGCGATCATCTCAAGAGAGACCTCTGATTTTTCACAGTTTCAGCAGTTGAAGTCAAGTAAAAGACCCAAGCTTCACAGACCAGGACCCTGTGTAATGTCTTGGAAATTGACTGGGGAATTCATTGGGCACCACACACAAAGTGACTAGGCAGTCAGCTTAGAACTCAAGTGCAGAGACCACATCACACTTATTCCAAAATTGACCACATAGTTGGAAGTAAAGCACTCCTCTGCAAATGTAAAAGAACAGAAATTATAGCAAACTGTCTCTCAGACCACAGGGCAATCAAACTAGAACTCAGGATTAAGAAACTCGCTCAAAACCGCTCAACTACATGGAAACTGGGCAACCTGCTCCTGAATGACTACTGGGTACATAACAAAATGAAGGCAGAAATAAAGATGTTATTTGAAACCAATGAGAACAAAGACACAACATACCAGAATCTCTGGGACACATTTAAAGCAGTGTGTAGAGGGAAATTTATAGCACTAAATGCCCACAAGAGAAAGGAGGAGAGATCTAAAATTGACACCCTAACATCGCAATTAAAAGAACTAGAGAAGCAAGAGCAAACACATTCAAAAGCTAGCAGAAGGCAAGACATAACTAAGATCAGAGCAGAACTGAAGGAGATAGAGACACAAAAAACCCTTCAAAAAAATCAATGAATCCAGGAGCTGGTTTTTTGAAAAGATCATCAAAATTGATAGACCACTAGCAAGACTAATAAAGAAGAAAAGAGAGAAGAATCAAATAGATGCAATAAAAAATGATAAAGGGGATATCACCACCGATCCCACAGAAATACAAACTACCATCAGAGAATACTATAAACACCTCTACACAAATAAACTAGGAAATCTAGAAGAAATGGATCAATTCCTGGAAACATACACCCTCCCAAGACTAAACCAGGAAGAAGTTGAATCCCTGAAGAGACCAATAACAGGCTCTGAAATTGAGGCAATAATTAATAGCCTACCAACCAAAAAAAGTCCAGGACCAGATGGATTCACAGCTGAATTCTACCAGAGGTACGAGGAGGAGCTGGTTCCATTCCTTCTGAAACTATTCCAATCAATAGAAAAAGAGGGAATCCTCCCTAATTCATTTTATGAGGCCAACATCATCCTGATATCAAAGGCTGGCAGAGACACAATAAAAAAAGAGAATTTTAGACCAATATCCCTGATGAACATCAATGCAAAAATCCTCAATAAAATACTGGCAAACCGAATCCAGCAGCACATCAAAAAGCTTATCCACCACGATCAAGTGGGCTGCATCCCTGGGATGCAAGGCTGGTTCAACATATGCAAATCAATAAACGTAATCCATCATATAAACAGAACCAAAGACAAAAACCACATGATTATCTCAACAGATGCAGAAAAGGCCTCTGACAAAATTCAACAACCCTTCATGCTAAAACCTCTCAATAAATTAGGTATTGATGGGATGTATCTCAAAATAAGAAGAGCTATTTATGACAAACCCACAGCCAATATCATACTGAATGGGCAAAAACTGGAAGCATTCCCTTTGAAAACTGGCACAAGACAGGGATGCCCTCTCTCACCACTCCTATTCAACATAGTGTTGGAAGTTCTGGTCAGGGCAATCAGGCAGGAGAAGGTAATAAAGGGTATTCAGTTAGGAAAAGAGAAAGTCAAATTGTCCCTGTTTGCAGATGACGTGATTGTATATATTTAGAAAACCCCATCATTCAGCTCAAAATCTCCTTAAGCTGATAAGCAACTTTAGCAAAGTCTCAGGATACAAAATCAGTGTGCAAAAATCACACGCATTCCTATGCACTAATAACAGACAAACAGAGAGCCAAATCATGAGGGAACTCCCATTCACAATTGCTTCAAAGAGAATACAATACCTAGGAATCCAACTTACAAGGGATATGAAGGACGTTTTCAAGGAGAACTACAAACCACTGTGCAGTGAAATGAAAGAGGACACAAACAAATTGAAGAACGTTCCATGCTCGTGGATACGAAGAACCAATATTGTGAAAATGGCCATATGGCCCAAGGTAATTTCTAGATTCAATTCCATCCCCATCATGCTACCAATGACTTTCTTCACAGAATAGGATAAAACTACTTTAAAGTTCATATGGAACCAAAAAAGAGCCCGCATTGCCAAGATAATCCTAAGCCAAAAGAACAAAGCTGGAGGCATCAAGCTACCTGACTTCAAACTATACTACAAGGCTACAGTAACCAAAACAGCGTGGTACTGGTACCAAAACAGAGATATAGACCAATGGAACAGAATAGAGCCCTCAGAAATAATACCACACATCTACAACCATCTGGTCTTTGACAAACCTGACAAAAACAAGAAATGGGGAAAGGATTCCCTATTTAATAAATGTTGCTGGGAAAACTGGCTAGCCATACGTAGAAAGCTGAAACTGGATCCCTTCCTTACACCTTATACAAAAATCAATTCAAGATGGATTAAAGACTTAAATGTTAGACCTAAAGCCATAAAAACTCTAGAAGAAAACCTAGGCAAAACCATTCAGGCCATAGGCATGGGCAAGGGCTTCATGTCTAAAACACCAAAAGCAATGGCAGCAAAAGCCCAAATTGACAAATGGGTTCTAATTAAACTAAAGAGCTTCTTCACAGCAAAAGAAACCACCATCAGAGTGAACAGGCAACCTACAGAATGGGAGAAAATTTTTGCAATCTACTCATCTGACAAAGGGCTAGTATCCAGAATCTACAAAAAACTCAAACAGATTTACAAGAAAAAATCAAACAACCCCATTAAAAAGTGGGTGATGGATATGAACAGACAATTCTCAAAAGAAGATGTTTATGCAGCCAACAGACACATGAAAAAATGCTCATCATCACGGGCCATCAGAGAAATGCAAACCAAAACCACAATGAGATACCATCTCACACCAGTTAGAATGGCGATCATTAAAAAGTCAGGAGACAACAGGTGCTGGAGAGGATGTGGAGAAATAGGAACACTTTTACAGTGTTGGTGGGACTGTAAACTAGTTCAACCATTGTGCAAGACAGTGTGGTGATTCCTCAAGGATCTAGAACTAGAAATACCATATGACCCAGCCATCCCATTACTGGGCATATACCCAAAGGATTATAAATCATGCTGCTATAAAGACATATGCACATGTGTGTTTATTATGGCACTATTCACAATAGCATAGACTTGGAACCAACCCAAATGTCCATCAATGATAGACTGGATTAAGGAAATGTGGCACATATACACCATGGAATACTATGCAGCCATAAAAAAGGATGAGTTCATGTCCTTTATACGGATATGGATGAAACTGGAAACCATCATTATGAGCAAACTGTTGCAAGGACAGAAAACCAAATACCGCATGTTCTCACTCATAGGTGGGAATCGAACAATGAGAACACATGGACACAGGGTGGGGAACATCACACACCAGGGCCTGTTGTGGGGTGGGTGAAGCGGGGAGGGATAGCATTAGGAGATATACCTAATGTAAATGATGAGTTAATGGGTGCAGCACACCAACATGGCGCATGTATACATATGTAACAAACCTGCACTTTGTGCACATGTGCTCTAGAACTTAAAGTAAAATAAAAAATAAAAAAAGAACTCAGTTGCAGAGATATTGAATAGCAAGACAGAATTTAGCTTCTGAAGGTATAGGAAATGGGGGTGAATCTCACCACTGCGAGAGTGAATGGGTTAGGGCTCCAGGGAGGTTTTATTTTCAAGATAACTTTGGTGCTACTCTATCATCTGCTTGCTATTTAGGTTCGAGTGAACAGAAGATAATGACAGAAAGTTTCTGACCCTGTGGGTTTGAGAAAGTTCCAAATGCCCCCCTTGTTGATGCTCCTTCCTGGGGAAGAACCTTCTCTAAGCTTATGTGGATTATTTGGCTGAGCTTCTGAAACCTCCCTGTAAATTTATCAAATACACAATCATGTTGGTTATCACAAAGCAAGTAGTTTTCTAAACCTCTATACAAAAGGCTGATTGACTGTTACTAGAACAGGATTGAGGAGCTGTAGCTTCAGACTTATTATGTGTACCCCTTCCAAGCAATTCATTTTTCACCATATGTATTAGGAACTAAATTCTTAGCTTGATAGCAATGATAGGATATGAAAAGTTGGTGTCTCTTGATGATAAATTGACTTCTCAGTCACCCCCACATAGAGAACAAATAGAATACATTTCAAGTGAATTGTTATTTAGGGTACGAAGTTTCATCTCTTTATAGATCAGTTCATTAAAATGGTCGTTTATGGAAAGATATATACGTTTATAAATTGTAGGAGGTGTCCATCATTTTTCATGGATTTGAATTTACAGGGGCCATGGGCCTATTGCTTTGTTCCATCTTAATGTTCTTGGGTACTTCTTAAGGACAAACTGCAAATTAAAAACAATTCATCTTGTCCTATTCCTGTGTATAACATGTTGATTTAAGAAGCCTTTCTCAGTAAATCTGCTAAGCCAGTAGCCTCAAAAAGAAGCCCCAGTTGGGTCATTGGTGCTAATGACAGAAAGCTGAGCTGCCAACAGAGGGGAGAAGGGTGTATTTATGGACATTTCTGTTAGCAGACCCTCCATTTCTTGCATTGTTTAAAATCTTGCATGACTTTGTCTTCTGTCAAGGGGGAAATAGATTCATAATTCTTTTTATACAGTGGTGATGCTCCCTATAGCTATGTACTCCCTGAGGAGACAGGATAGAATAATGTTAATTATTAATTAAAGAAATACAAGCAGAGACACTCCTCTGGCCAGTCTCCCTCCACCTAGCATGCCCTGAGATATCTTATTAGAATGGAATTTTCCCAAGTGTATTAAAACATCATTTAATTATTATTATTTTTAATTAGAATGTCTCACTCAAACCATGTGGGACCAGGTAGACTTTTTAAAAATAATTTTAATGTGTTCTAAAGGGGAATGTTTTTGTTGTTATTTGCACTTCTACATTATTCACAATTGTGTTTATTCCATAAAGTCAACTGCTTGTATTTTCTTTTAGCTCTCCTAGTCTTGAATTTTACAGAGATATTTTTAACTCTTTAAATACTCCAAGGTAGTATTTTTATGTCCAAGAGGCATGTACCTTAGTTTAGGGACTCTTTGGGGTTAAAATATTGGTGTCAGACTTGGGCTTACAAACATGAATAAATCACAGTTCCTTCCCCATGGGACATGGATTTAATAGTCTATTCATTTCTTCACTTTTTATTGTTATTTTTCTTTTTCATTTATAATTTAAAGTTTCCTCTAAACAGTTGAAATGACCATGCACTGAAAAGAGATAACTAACATGAAAACTTAAAGATTTTCAATTTTATCTTCTTTGAAAGTTAAAGAAGCACTCTTGAATTTTGTGAGGGTGAATAAAAATTATTGATTTAATAATGCGATTTTATAATACAGCACATAATATTTCTGTGATAATATAAAATTAATCTGAAAATTAGTGTAAGCAGAATAAAATTTAAGATTCATTTATGGCCAGCATGAATTTAAAATTTCCTTTTGGTCATTATATGTATAATTATAGGCTATATGGAGATGTAGTTAGCCTAAGAAACCATCATTTGAAGATAATAGTTACTTTAGGTGTAGAGAAGTTTATTGTATTTACCCTGGTTTCTCAGGAAGCATAAATATTGATATATATTCTCAGAGCCCATAAGATTTTGTGAACAATGATGGATTACTTTAAAATTAGTGCATTGAGATATTTGATTTGTGGGGAATAAGCAATTTCTGTTCTAATGTCTGTGATGACTTCTGTAGGTGACATACATCAAATTATCTTTTGTTATCCACCAAAAATAATGTTAACAGTATTGATAGTCATGACTTTAAATTGAACAGAGTGAACATTTCCTTGGATTCCTCAGTTTTCCAGAAGAGAGAGAATCCAGGAGAGATTCAGGAAAGCAGCTCATTTGAAAACTAAAATTGGACATTTACAAGCCAGAAGAAACTGCACTTTGCCTGTGTGTGTGTCATTGTCTTCTGTCTACCTCTGAGAGTTGGGTTGTAAGAAGCTTGTGAAATTTTTTGCACACTGCATTGTGAGTGGCATCTGTATTTCTTAAGCCCACTAATGACTTAGCAGATTCAAGCACTTTGCTTTGGATGGCTTGGTTGTTGACTGAAACTGGCCATTTTCACTTTGGCTGACTCTTGTTTATTTAAAGGCACCACTGAACTGATTAAGGAGATAATGCAGTTATTGTGTCTTAGGCAAAATACGGTTTTCATTCCTTCAACAAATGCATCAACTAAGGGATAGTGTTGCATTCAAGTATAATGATAAGGAAGAGGGTTTAAATCAAGCAGACTTGGTGCCGATCAAATTCTTTGAAACTTGCTTAATTTGGCCTTTACTTTGTCTCTCTGCAGCATCTATGTTCTCCAGCAGTGAGGACTATTTATAATGCTGCAGAAATGGGCTTTGCTGGGCACACCTCAGGTTAAGTCCAGAAATTGCAGCCTACGTGACTTTGAGGAATTACTTAACATCTCTAAGCTGTCAATCTTTTATCTGTAAGATAGGGATAAGAATATTTGCCTCTTAGTTTTGCAGTGAAGATTAAATACATGTAAAAAATGCATGTGCTTTTAGGCAAAGTGCTTGATACATAATAAATCAAATAAATGTCATTAGCATTATTTTGTGTCATCTGATTTGCTTGCTTGACCAAATTGACTAGTCTGTTGTTGCCTAGTAAGTATTTAGTGAAGAAAAAATGATAGAATCCTTGTGAAACTAGAAGGGCCCAAATGAACTTCAAGGTCAGCAGGAATTTTCCTGACCAGAACTTTCCCTCCGTACTACACTATTGTGAAGTGTTTCTAAAATTAAAAGGCATAAAGAACTGGGTGAACACATTTAGGTTGCCCTGTGTTGGCTGGATTTAAGAGGACTCTTGAGATTTATTTCTTATTTCAATTTTACTACCAAAAGTTAAAAAAAACCCTGACACATTGTTTAGTTAGAATAGTTTTATCAAATAAAATGCTTACAGTATGTCATTCTTTCATAACTTTTTGACTGTTTTTCTGCAAGCATTCAATAATTTGTTCTTACTGGCATCAAGTAATATTCCTTTACACTAGGATTAAGGTGAAGTATTTTTTTTTTTCTTAATCAGGTAATTTTTTCAGTGCAAAGAGTTTTTAAGCATACAGAGTTTAGGACAGAAATCTTTAAGGAAGTACTTTTAAAGAAGAGTGTTTTGAAGTGTAAACAAGCCTCAGCTAAGGATATTTAACTACCATAATCAGAACTGGTATGCATCTATCACATGGATGTGCTTTATTCTTTTTCTCAGAACATTGTAACATTGTCTTAAATATTTTCTGCTTTCCCAAGGCCTTATATTATACATGGTAGATATTCCACAAATGTTTGTGTAATGAAGAAATGAAAGAATTGCAACGTAATATACATATGCCTTTAGAAAGACTATCTTAGCTGCCTTTAGCAGTTAAACCACTAATAAGGTTTATTGTAAAATGCATGGCAATTGTAACCCAGGAATTGTGGGTGTTAAAGAGTCTGAAAGATCATCTACCTCAGTATTCATGTTTGATTACTGAAAATTAAAACCCAATGATGCTAATATGCCTGGACAGTCACAGAGTTTGAATTAAAAGGGAACACTTCCAACCTAGAGCTGTTTGAACTGGTAAAATCCCTTCCTGTGGTGAGTATGCATTTGGCCTTTGGTCCCTTAAAATGCCCCAATAAAATAACTTCTTCTTTCCTTGTGTATATGTTCAGTTATTTAGAATCACTCCTAAAGATTTGTCATATTCGCCTTTTATGCTAAATCAGTATGGTTGTTACATTTAAAACATTTTTAAGCTGTGACAAATGATATCCCAGCCTACGGTGTCTTAGTAGTATAGTTATTCTAATTTTAGTGGACATAATATTCAGCATGGTATAGTTCACCCACTTAGTATGCCCCAGTTCCTTAACATAGAGATCTGTAGGAATACATGGAATAAAATGTCTGTATGCTTGAAAAGAGTTTTGTCTCTCCTTGATATAAATCAGGAAAGGCAAGGACCAAGTACTGAGAAATATTCAGTAATTACTGGGGATGAGTAGAGTAAGGCAAAAAAAAAAAAAAAAAAAAAGATTTTAAGCATTGCCCGGCTCTCACTTTGACTGCTTAGAAATATTTACTGAATGCCTGCTCTGTGCTAGTCCTTGCTTTAAGAACTTTTCATTATTAATTCACTTGATTTTCACAACAATCTAATAAGGAAGATACTGTAATTATCTGCTTTATCCGATGAGGAAACTGAGGTTAAAACACTGGCTAAAAGTTACAAACTGGCAGAATTAGAGCTGTCATCTGAATCCAGGAAGTCTAACAGAACCCACACTCTGTCACTGTGCATAATTCACTCTTTCCAAAATCTCCCTTGAAGAGCAAGGGGTCCCAGATGAAGAAGAATGAGAAAAGCATGCTAAAAGGAAGCAGCAGGAGATAAGCAAGACAACGAGAGGGTTGGATTTAGGAATAGAACAGAGGTAAGAGTGAAGGATAGAGAGAACTCGCTGAAATGCACCCAAGAGGAAGACATAGGAGATTTGTGTCTTTGTCTATTGAGGGAGGCTGGATACTTGCTCAGCTTTCTAAGGTTCAAGGCTGGGGACAAGGGGATAAAGTGAACTGGGGAAGGGTTTCTGCTTTGTAGCTCTGCCTCTTCCACCTGACTTCTGTCGTCAGACCCTTCTCCATCCTCATACTTTCTTTCAACAGCTCTTCGCTGTGGACTTCACATTTAAACCAAGACTGCCGGTCTCTTCTCTGAGCTCCAGACCCACCTATGTAACTGCTTATTCTGCATCTTCCCTTCCTCGTCTGGTGGAAATGTTAAGCCTAACATGAACAAAATAGAACTTTTGGTTTCAAACCCCAGTTGTGCTCCTTCTCCAAGCCATTGCATGATATTCGTTCATGCCAAAAATATAGCGATGATCTTTGATTTCTTTTTTTCCCTTAATACGTCACATCTACACTATATGTATGTTTTGTTGGCTGTACCTCCTGGAGACGTATTGAATCTGGCTGCTTTCTGCGCCACTGCCCTGGCTCATGCACAACCCACAGTCATCTCTCAGTCCAGTCCCATAGCAGCTCCCTCAGTGGTCACCCTCTCTCATTCTTGTTTCTTTTCTCTCTGGGTGCCATAAGGCAGCCAGAATGATCATTTTAAAATACAAATCAGATTATGTTGCCACAGTACACCACATCCGCCCTTCCTCAGTGGGCTCCTCCTGCAAGCAGTACACAATCCAAGCTTCTTATGTTAGTTTACTGATGCCCTGGGACTTGTCTCCTTTCCAGGAGACAACTGCATCCTCCCTGTCTTCTCCCTTCCCCCCTCATTTCCTTCACTTCACTTTGAGCATTTCAGCCACTACTCTTCTCTGAATCTCTCAGGCTCATTGCCATCTTAGGGACTTCTCAAGTTCTATTCTTGCCGCTTGGAAAGCTCATTCCCAAATGTTTGTATTTACGTCTCAACTTGGATACTTCAGATCCTCTCTGATGATGTAGATCTAAGCTAAAGTGGTGTGGTGGGACATACAGGGCAGTGGTGTGCTTATTTATGTACCTGTTTTCCCTACTAGAATGTTCCTGGAGAGGAGGAGTCTTGTTTGCTTATTTTTCAATGGAGTACCCCTAGCACATAGTTAGTACTTAATAAATATATGTTAACAGAGTAATTATGAAGTATTTGTTGACAAATATATGAAAAATTCCAACGTACAAAAAAGTTCAAAGTATGTGCTAATTTAGATTATCTAAACTAACTGGATTTATTTGAAATAATCACTTTCTGTACAGATAGATAATGCTAAGTAAAATGTGAGAATGTCGCTTTTCTTATATAAAGGAACATTTCTCGATTGTTACATTGTGTATGAGTTTGTTTTGCCATCTGTTGTTTCATAGCCAGTACAGAGTATATGCTGGCTAAATTCAATGAATTTATTTATGAATTCCCAATTGATTAAGTTCAAATTAATGATGCTTTGCTGTATAATTTGATAAAAATTATTTTTGTTTTTCTGAAGAGTATAACTAAAAAGCCAACCATACATGGGCTTTTAAAAGCATTTAAATATGCATAAAAAGGCACGCTAATTGTCCTAAGAGAAAATAACATATTTATAGGTTTACTTTCTTGAAAATTTGTTTTTTACAGATTTCCTGTTTTTTTTTTTTTTTTTTTTTTTTTTTTTTTTTTTTACCAATTTCCTTTTTTGTGCATTCATTGACAATACCGACTAGATGCACTTAAAGAGGGCCACATACATTAAAGAAAGTTGTTACATTTATTAAAATGGCATCCACTTTTATCCTCTGGCATTAGGAAAAGGCAGTTATTTTCTCTGGGAAATGACAATAACAGCAGCAACATAACAGTGGAAAGTAAGACACATTTTAACCCTGAATAGCTGTTATAATGGTGTTCATGCTAAATAGCTCTTCAGAGATTGAAATATTTTCCGTATAGTCCCCAGTTCTGTCGCCCAATTTATTGCCACCTTCCTGGTACCTCCTTTGTGGGGCTGATGCTTTCAAAGGGAAGAGTAAAAGTGAAGGCAATTTTAGGGCATAAAGAAGTTCCTCTGAGCCAGACTTCTGTTTAGATTGCTTGTATTGTGTGTTTTATAGGTAGAAATTTAACTGCATCTTGAATAATTGCTTCAAACTGTCCTGGGAGCACAGAACTTTCAGTAGCATCTGGGAACAGAATGATGAGGGCCTTCCTCCCTCCCTCCCTCTTTCCTTTCTTCCATTATTCAGCATGTAGTAGCACATAGCACTGTGCTAGTCATAGGGCAGCTTGGAAACAAACTGTAAGGCAAAGTTTCACCATATGGAGCCCCACATATAGAGAGATGTGGAAGCTGAAACCACCAGGTACCAATTCCCAAGGAACAAGTAAATAGGTGAATAACGGCACATATGTGACAAAATG
Source organism: Homo sapiens (assembly GCF_000001405.40). NCBI lineage: Eukaryota > Metazoa > Chordata > Mammalia > Primates > Hominidae > Homo > Homo sapiens. The sequence continues at coordinate 56,330,718 of NC_000002.12, forward strand.
CCATTTCCCCCATTTGAAAAACTCTTTCCTTTGGGAACACTTATGTACTGTTCGTGGGAATGTAAATAAGTACAACTTTTATGGAAAGTTGTATAGAAATTTCCCAGAGAACTAAAAATAGAACTACCATTTGATCTAGTACTCCCACTACTTGGTATCTCCCCAAAGGAAAAGTGATCATCATATCAAAAAGGTACCTGCACTTGTATATTTATAGTAGCACATTTCACAATAGCATAGATATGGAATCAACCTAAGTGTCTATCAGTGGATGATTGAATAAAGGAAATGTGGTATATGTATAGACACAATAGAATACTGTTCAGCCTTAAAAAAAGAATGAAATCATGTCTTTTGCAGCAACATGGATGGAACTGGAGGCCATTATCTTGATGAAATAACTCAGAAACAGAAAGGGAAATACTACATGTTCCCACTTAGAAGTGGGAGCTAAGTAATGTGTACACATGGACAGAGTGTGGAATAATAATAAACATTGGAGACTGGGGAGGATAGGAGGGTGGGAGAGGGGATGAGTGATAAGAAGTTACTTAATGGGAATACCTAATGCATGCAAGGCTTAAATCCTGTATGATGGGTTGATAGGTGCAGCAAACCACCATGGCACCTGTATACCTATATAAGCTCCACGTTCTGCACATGTATCCCAGAATTAAAATAAAATTAAATTAAAAACAAATTACTTAATGGGTACAATGTACATTATTTGGGTGTTGTTTACACTAAAAGCTCAGACTTTAGCACTCTGCAATATATCCATGTAACAAAACTGCACTTGTACCTTTTAAATTCATACAAAAAAACCCAAAAAACTATTTGCTTTGGGAAGATTGGGGGGTTGAACACGTTTATGGTGATTATCTTCTGGTACAATAGACCCTAATAATTTTTTTCTGGTTTCTAAATTGATTTATATGCAAACCATCAGTTTTAGATGTTCATTTATTTATTCTTTTATAGAAAATACTAAATGAAACAAAAATCACTGCTGTTTCAGAAAACACAGCACTTGCATGGCAGTAAAAGAACAGCACTCGTGATTTTTTCATCAAACCCTTCCTGGAAAATGATTCAGTATTTTCAGCCTTCGTTATAATTATACAGGGCAACACATAGCTTTGCTTTTCCCTTCCTTTGAAAATTTTAGATTTTTCTCTTCACAAAAAAATGCCCTTTTGATATGGACTGCTGCCCCCTGCCCCCTCCCCGCCCCCCAGGCTGCTCTCTGGCGGTGCAGAGCCTCTCATTCAGTGTCGGACACCTGCCCCGCCGTGCATTGCACACAGCTGTGCCTGCTCCTGCTCCGTCAGTACCCCTCCACTGGGGTGGGATGGGAGGTGGGGTGGGGTGAAATGTTCAGGTGAAGTTTAACTTCCTTCCAGTGGGCATATGTAACCAAAAGAGAACCTTATTAAGCAGATTTCTAGCTGAGGGGCATTTAGATTGTATTCTAAGACTTTAGTGGTAGAAATAGTCCATATTGTGTAGACCCCCCCACACCTAATTCTGTGTCTCCCTCTCTTCTTGCCACCCCTTCATAGTCCTTTTGGGCTGATACAACAGAATACCTTAGGTTGGGTAATTTATAAACAACAGAAATTTATTGCTCACAGTTTTGAAGGTTGGAAAGTCCAAGACGCAGGCACCCATAGATTTGGTGTCTGGTGGAAGCCCATAGGCAGTGCCTGCCATGAAGGGGAAAGGGATCTTTCAAGACTCTTTTATAAAGGTGTTAATCCTATTCTCTCATGAGTTAGCCATCTCTTAAGGGCTCCGTCTCTTAATACCCTCACCTTGGAGGTTAGGTTTCAACATACTTATTTTGGAGGGACACAACACTCAGGCCATAGCACTCCCCAACAGGTGCTCTTTCTCCCTTTTTCTGTCTCTCACTGTCTGTCTCTGTCTCTCTATCTCTCTCTCCCCCTCTCTCACTGCCCCCCCTTTTCCCCCCTCTCTCCCTCTTCTCTCCCTGCTCTACCTTTTTGAGCCTGGTGAACACTTAAGACTTTTTATTGAAATTACCCACCACTGGTTGAATCTGACATCATTTGAGAACCTGTCCAAAGTTTCCATCCAAAGTTTAATGTTCCATAGAGTGACTTTCAAACGTCATTACAGAATTGGAATTAGGCCCTATTTAAATACAAATCCTGTTTTGGCTGAAATAATGGAAAAGTATAGGTCTGTATAATGAAATAATTTCCTTAAGGGGAACTTCTACATTACTGGTTGATTCCTTCAATAGAATTTTATTGTGCCAAACACTATTCTAGGCACTCAACTATGTCAGTTAACATGATAGACAATGTGGAGTTTACATTTTGGTAGGGAGAAACAGGCCTTATATAATACACATAATATATGAACAAGCTAATGTATATGGTAGAAGGTGTTGAAGTCTTTTGATGAAAATAAAGTTGGTACAGTAATACAGCAGGATAAAGCAGATCAGGAGTGTGGGTTGGAGGTGTGGCAGGTGGCAGGATCAAATGAGAGGACTGGGCACGTCTCAATGAGAAGTTGTGATTTGGACAGAGACTTGTAAGAGGTGAGGAAGTTAGCCAAACATTTGACTGGGGACAGAGCATTCCAGGAAGAGGGTACAACTAAGGCAAAGTTCATGAGGCAAGAAGACATCTATGGTGTTCAGGAACAGAAAGGAGGCCCTTTGGCTGGTGCAGAGTGAATGAGGGCATGAAGTCAGAGAGAAAACAGTCAGATCACACAGGGCCCTGATGGACTTTTTAAGAACTTTGGCCTTAATTTGGAGCAAAATGGTGAGGCTACTGCAGGGGTTGGAATAAAGAATGATGTGATCAGAGTTAGCGTTTTAGAAAGAAAACCCTGGCTGCCATGGGTTTGGAATAGACTGTGGGTGAAAATAGCACTGGGGGAGGAGGAGGCAAGAATAGAAGCAGGTACTTTGTAAGCAACTATTGTGAGGTTGGATTCTCAAGATATTTTGGAGGTAGGGTCAAAAAAAATTTCCCAATGGAAGGGAAGTGGGGTGTGAGAGAGAGGAACCACGCATAATTCTAAAATTTTTGTTAAAAGGAAAGCATAATACTTGAAGAGTCTAAAACTAGGTCTAAATATAAACAGCCAAAAAGAGCACAAGGCTTTAAAAATTTAAGCAGTGGAGGAAGGTGACAAGACAAACAGATTCCTGTCTCAAGCTGCTGTCACTTCCCTCTCCATGACTAGATTCCAGAATATGGGTCTTCCCAGCCAGTGCTTCTGAGCACCACCTTTCTTTCTGCCTAAAACCCTCTTCTCCAAGATCTTTGCATAGTTGGCTTTTTCACATGCAGATCTTAGTTCTCTGAGAGCTCTTCCCTGACACTGCTTCCTGAAGTAGCTGTCTTCCCCAAATCTCTCTATCCTAGTATTCTGGTTTGTTTTGTTGCCTTTGTTGTACAAATCACCTTCATAAAATATTGTATTTGGTTTTTACTGCCTGTCTTCACCGCTGGAATGTGGGCTCCATAAACACCCAGATCTTATCATTCCTGGCTGCTACTGTATCCCCGGGACCTAGAACAATACCTGGCACATAGCAGATAATAACTATTGGGTGAGGAAGTGTTGTAATATTAAAGTAAATTACCAAATATTCATTAAACTCCTGCAGGGAACACAACTAGTCAGTGTTTGAGGGTTAGTGAAATATTTTCATATAGCATTTTTGGGCAAAAATTGAAAACAACACTATGAGAAATAGGTAGAGAAATCACAAGACATTCAATATGTGATTCACTGACAGATGAGTTGAGGAAAAGGAAAATTGAAAGAGACTTGCAGAATGGGAAAATTTGATATTGTAGAATTATTGGCCTTCAGAATTAAAGGGATCAGCCTAACAATATACACAGGTAGAGAGCTTTGCAATATCTCATTGAGCTTTCTCTGAATACCTCCAACAACAAGAGCACATTATGGTACAAAGCAGTATATTCCAATCTTTGGCATTTCTGATTATTGGAAAGCTATTTTTCATTCCATGAAAGGAAGAATAGGGAGTATTTGACTAGGCAGAGAAGAATGAGGAAAGTACTGCTGGCTAGGGGAATGTGTGGGCAGAGACACAGAGCTAAGAGAGCTCTGGGCCAAAGACAAACTGAAAGGATTTCTGCATGGGAGGAGGGGAAGAGGAACTAACTGTCATCTCTTTTGGGTAGGCAGAGAGAAAAAGGTCTGAGAAGAGTAGAATTTGCTTCATAAATAGTGGACTAGGGCAAAATCTGATATCAATTTTAGATTATTTAGGGCAATTAAAGCCCCATTAAAAATTCTATTTCTGTTAATAAGGCAGTATGAATTAAATATCCAGGCAAATCTGAAAGTGCTGGTTCCAACAAATTTTTTTTAAAATAAGAAAAGCGTCAAATTTTAGTGAGAAATATAATCACTTATACTTGTGGAGTTAATATGGATTCTAAGTAGGAGGCTGACCTTTGCTTGCCTGAAGAAGAAAAACACTTTGTTCAGAACAGTAATAATTTTTAAAATACACAGTTCTGACGTAATTTCCTTAGGGATGTGAAAAAGCCTGTGGATAGTGGGATTCATATGGAATGAGTGCAAGCCATGCCTTTAGCGCTTGGGGTTTATTGAAAAGTTTGTCTGTGAATTGGAAAGCATGTGGCTATTGGCCTCTTTTGCTGAGAGAGACTATCTTAGTCCACTTTTTGCTACTATAACAGAATACCACAGACTGGGTGATTTATAGTGAACAGAAATTTATTAGCTCACAGTTCTAGAGACTGAGGAATCCAAGATCAAGGGGTTAGTATTCAGTAAGGGCCTTCTTGGTACATCATGTCATGGCTGAAGGTAAGACAGCAAGAGGGGGCCAAACTCATCTTTTTTTTTTTTTTTGAGAAGTAGTCTTGCCCTGTCACTCAGGCTGGAGTGCAGTGGCACAATCTGGGCCCACTGCAACCACTGCCTCCCAGGATCAATCAATTCTCCTGCCTCAGCCTCCTGAGTAGCTGGGATTACAGGTGCCTGCCACCACGCCAGGCTAATTTTTGTATCTTTAGTAGAGACGGGATTTCACCATGTTGGCCAGGCTAGCCTCAAACTCCTGACCTCGTGGTCCGCCTGCCTCAGCCTGCTAAAGTGCTGGGATTACAGGCGTGAGCCACTGCGCCTGACCCAAACTCATCTTTTTATAAGAGCACCAATCCCACCCATGAGGGTGGAGCCCTCATGGCCTAGTCACCTCTTAAAGGTCCCACCTCTTAATACTGTTACAATGACAATTAAATTTCAGCATGATTTTTGAAAGGGATAAACAGTCAAGCCAACACAGAGACTAATTCTTAGAGAGCCACATAAAAGCTAACATCTATAAACTCATGGCCACTATAGTCTTCCAGATAATTTTCCTCATATACACTCTTTATTTATTTATTTATTTATTTTTTCAGATGGAGTTTCACTCTTGTCCCCCCAGGCTGGAGTGCAATGACACTGTCTCAGCTCACTGCAACCTCCACCTCCCAGGTTCAAGCAATTCTCCTGCCTCAGCCTCTCGAGTAGCGGGAGTACAGGCATGCACCACCACACCTGGCTAATTTTTGTATTTTTAGTAGATACGGGGTTTCACCATATTGTCAAGGCTGATCTCGAACTCCTGACCTCAGGTGATCTGCCTGCCTTGGCCTCCCAAAGTGCTAGGACTGTAGGTGCAAGCCAGTGTGCCCAGCCTCCTCTTATACACTCTTAAAAATGCTGTAGTTTGTGTCAGAATGGACCATTACCAGATTTTATTTTCTGCCCTGAGATTTTGGAGAGATGACATCACTTCATCTAATCAAAACCACTCAGAGGTGTGACAAACCTTAGACAGTTGCAAATACCAATAATAAACCTTTTATATACAATCATCAGTGTAATTTGTGGGTGATTTCAAGGATAGGTGTTCTGTAGGGTAACACTGCCTTAGAAACAAAAGGGAAGTAAAGAGGGTTTCATATTTTTATCAGAGTGTTTTCAAACTAACAGAGAAAACGAACAGAGCTCCTTTATACAATTGAATGCATTGCAGGTTAGCTGAAGTGAAATCAAGTCAAGAATATTGTCTGAGGAAATATCAAGTTACTGTAAAGGTAAATCCATCAAGAATATCTAAAGTCAGGGAGGAAAAAAAAAGAATTTAGTATTTATCTATGTATGTTACTTCATGATTAGTAGATCCAATATGAGAATTAATGTGGTGCTCGAGTAATGAAACACAATTGTTTGAATATATTTGACTAGTCCCCATTGTTAGCAACCAAGTTCATCGCACTCTGAGCTTTAGTTCTCTTATTTGCAAAACAAGTCAGAGGATTGTGGCAGAAGTTGAATTAGAAAAGCTCTAAGGTACGTAGTACCAGTAAAATTTGAATTTAGAAGATGCGGAATTTAATGGAATTTTTATGCATGTTTCTTAATTTGTTTTTCTTGCAACAGATGCTGTGAACTTTTACACATAGGTTCAAAGAATAGTTCCTGCTTTGAAAATGGGCCTGAGATTCACCCAAAGAACATCTTGAGGATGTCATTGGATTTTCACATCAATATCGTTTGCTTCACCTTACTTTTCTAATGTCTAGATGCCCATAGGTTTCCCAGGGTGGAAAGAGAAATAAAATAACTTTTGGGAGCTTTAAAGCAAATTGCCACTGGATTATCGTGATTTGATATTTGCTTTTCCAGATAGGTGACTGTGGGAAATAATCTGGCCTCTCCTCCTGTACCTGCATGTCCCTTTCTTTTCCGTCATGTGATTCCTTTCTTTCTGTGTTTACAATAGGATCATTTTTGGCTTCTGGCCCAGGTCCATCTGTGGCTCCACTCATATCTCTCTGGCCTATCAAAATTCTATTGATGCATTTTAAGCTTCAGTTTCTCCTTCGTAAGAACTACTGCCAATGTTGATTTTTTTCTTTGCTCCCCTTTCACAGGATTTAGTACTAAATTTCAAATTACCTTATTGTTTTTTCCCTTTTATTTTCTCCCAACTGCTTATAAGTTTCTTGAATATAGGCTCCTTTTTTTTTTCTTTTTTTTTTGAGACAGAGTATGGCTCTGTCACCCAAGCTGGAGTGCAGTGGCACGATCTCCGCTCACTGCAACCTCCGCCTCCCGGGTTCAAGCGATTCTCCTGCCTCAGCCTCCCGAGTAGCTGGGATTACAGGCAGCTGCCACCATGCCCGGCTAATTTTTGTATTTTTAGTGGAGACAGGGTTTCACCATGTTGGCCAGGATGATCTCGACCTCTTGACCTCGTGATCCGCCTGCCTCAGCCTCCCAAAGTGCTGGGATTACAGGCTTGAGCCACCTAGCCAGCTCCTTTTTTAATGCATTATATATTTATGTACTTTGTAGCTGAGAATTTGGCTGTTTTTTGATGCTCTTTTGGAGCCTCATTCTCAGAGTTCTAAAAGCCAAAAATGGCATTCTGAAATCTCAGTTTTATGAAGCTGTCAGCCAGTGGTATAAAATGTAATGGTCAATTTAAATTATGGTACATTCAAATGCAGCTTTCTATTAATGACTTTATGATAAAATGAATGCCAGTTTTAGACACTTCCCTTAGGTACAGCTATCCATCATGTTCCCTGAGTGTACCGGGAGATCACCTTATATTATAGTTGACACCCTTGAAAAAGGACAAAAAAGGGAAATAGCAGCATGGGGAAGGGGGTTGCAGCGGATGTGGTCAATGTGTTCCAGTACCCAAAAGGCTTCTTTCTTCTCTTCCTCTCACCATGAGAAGTTTCTATCAATTTTTCCTAATGATTAGCTATGACTGAGATGTGGATTTGGATGTGACTTTTTTTAAGAAAGTGTTGAGTTTCTTATACTTTATTTTATTCTATTTTATTTAAAATATAGCTTACATTTTAAAAAATTTAATTATTGGTTATGCACTACTAGTCAGGCTCAGCTGACCTATGGTAAGTAACAAACCTCAAAATCCCAAGGGTTTAACGAAACAAATATTTCTTCTTTTTTTCTCATGTCACAGTTGGGAGATTGGATTTTTTTTTTAATGGCTTTTCCTATAGGGGCTTGGGGACCCAGTGCTGATCTCACAGTATATTCCAGAAAAATATTTTTCTACTCCACTCCCATTAAAGGATGGTGTAATCAGTTTCTTTCTGAATGAAACAAAACAGCCTGAGTACTCTTATTTATACATGTAGATCAGATATTCTTCCTGTGTTTTACCCCCAGGAAGAGTGTATTTTTGTTTGAGTATCCATTAATTGTTAAGTAATAATTGCAACAGGGGCTAAGAACCTGGAACAATTAACAGGACCTTCTGGAATGCCTGTAATCTAATAGGGAATGTGTGTTCTGAGAAAGTTATTAAGGTTTGCAATAACTGGCTTTATCTTCATCCTAACCCTAGAACAGTGCCTGACACAAATCAGTGACACAATAAATATTTGTTGAATGAATGAACTTAAAATGTTTTTGCCTTTGCCTTCACTGTAAAGCCATTTTTTTTCATTATTTCACCTGTTTAAAACTATGCTCTGTCTCTTCCTGTCCCAGCCCATATTTGCAGTGAATGCTTTAGAAAAAAGATGTGGACATGATCTATTGTAATTCAACATTAAAAACGAGAGAGGATATTTTCCAAACTCAGGAATTTACCCCTTTTTTCCTGAACTGACATAATACTTTCATAATATAAATAGAGACTTGGTGAAAACATCAGATATATAAACTGCAAAGATTTTGAAAAGAGAAATAGATGAAGGGATTGAAGACAGTCACTGAATTAAAACAAATTCCGTTCAATAGCATTTTTCAAATTTCACCTGACTCAATCTGTGTAGTCTTTTCAGCTGCTTTAAGTATCACAGCCTTATAGATAGTGCAGCATAGGGGCAATAAAGATAAGGTGTAAATTGTGAACAAAAAAGAAAATAACTTTATTTTTGTGTGGTTTAAATAGAATATTGCTGATGAACTTTTCACTTGGATGGCCTTATCAAGTGGTTTTTTTTTTCCAGAGGAAAGAGCAGGGCTTGCAAAACAGTGTAAATCAGGCAATCTACATTCACATCTTGATGATCTGCAAATCACTGAATTCATTTGCAAGAGTAAAGCAGACTCATGAAATCAATAACTTTGCTATTCATTTATGCTGCATACTTTTCCCCTCTTTGGAAGAGTCCATAAAGCAGAGTTTTAAGATTTTATTAAGCTAAAAAAATGAGAGGATATCTTTAGCAAATATCTTCAGTTTTCTTTACCTGTGTTTCTATTTTCTTATTTGAGAAATGCTCAAAGCTAATTGTCTCCAATGGTGTGAGGTCTGTGGGTCATCATGTTAATGTCAGTGATGGGGGCTTTCTGCACACTATTTTGGAAAACAGGCCTGCTCTAAGCTAGTCAGAGATGAGCTTAATTGTTGTATTTGTGAATTAAGGACTGATGCTTATGTATTTTAGAAAATAAAGTGTTAGCTCATTGCTTTAGAGGTCATAAAAATAGAATTGGGTTCATATAAACTATTTCCACATAAAATAATTGTGTTTCCATGATGAAATTCAGATCAGGGCATCAATATCCATCCTAACTGTGGATCCTTAGGGGCTCCAAACACTTAGGTGCACTACCGTATTGCCTCTTGCCCTTTTTGTGTGTCTGAGGCTGAAGAACATGAACACTGAGGAGGTTGTTCTGCTTCAATATTAACTATGGAAGTGTTACCAGTAGCGAAACCATATGAGTCTGCAGCAGCCCCAGTTCTTGCCCCTAATTCGACTGAGGGGCATAAAGCAGAAGAAGAAGCCGAGGCAAGTTTTAGAGCAGTAGTGAAAGTTTATTAAAAAGCTTTAGAATGGCTGTGCGTGGTAGCTCATGCCTGTAATCCCAGCACTTTGGGAGGCCGAGGCGGGAGGATCTTTTGAGGTCGGGAGTTCGAGACCAGCCTGACCAACATGGAGAAACCCTGTCTCTACTAAAAATACAAAAAATAGCCAGGCGTGGTGGCACATGCCTGTAATCCCAACTGCTAGGGAGGCTGAGGCAGGAGAATCGCTTGAACCTGGGAGGCGGAGGTTGTGGTGAGCCGAGATCGCGCCACTGCACTCCAGCCTGGGCAACAACAGTGAAACTCCATCTCAAAAAAAAAAAAAAAAAAAAAAGCTTTAGAGCAGGAATGAAAGGAAGTAAAGTACATTTGGAAGAGAGTCAGGGTCAGGTGGGTGACTTGAGAGATCAAGTGCACTGTTTGACCTTTTGACTTGGGTTTTATACATTGGCGTACTTCTGGGGTTTCATGTCCCTTCTACACTGATTCTTCCCTTGAGATGAACTGTCCACATGTGCAGTGGCCTGCTAGCTCTTGGGAGGGGAGCATGTGCAGTGTGTTTACTGAAGATGTATGCACGCTCACTTGAGGCATTCTTCCCTTAGCCGTCTCGCATTTCCAGAGGAAGATCATATACCAATTAAACTGCTATTTTTCCTCTTAGTACACACGCTTGAGACCACTCGCCCAACTCCAGAGATCTTACTGGGGAAGTGGTAATCAACAGTACCAGGTTTTTTCTATCTATTGGGTTGACTGCAACTAATTATTATTTTAGAGAGACAGTTAACAACCACCTGACTATCCCGTGATGGTTGCCTGACATTCTTGGTGGGTGGGCTTGCGGGGAGCCCTCTCCTGCCTTGCTCATGTTTGACTAGCTACCTAATGTAACAGAAGTGTGCTCTGGAGAAAGTCTATTGCTGTGTACCTTTCACTGCACCTGAAATATTTTGTTGTTGTGTGATGAATGAATTGCTACTATGTGATGATCTTGAATATTTTCACTTTAATGAAGAAGAGTTACTATCAGATTGTTCCCAGAAATAAAATTTTACTTTTCTTCACCTGTGACCCCTTTTCCTGACATAAAGCCATAAACTTTAGAGTTCAGTATGGAACAGAAGCTAAGCATGATAATGATTCTGAGCTTTCAGCTCATGCCTGAGCTTGTGAAGAAATGAAAAAAATAGTCAATTTCAGGTCTGCTCCTGGTTTACCTAAAGATGTGTGAAAAACTTGGGTCTCTGTCACAGTCAGCCAAAATCAGTCAAAATTCATTCTAACTCTAAATAGCTCTTTCATGTTTTTTCTGTCAATGTCTGTAAGTTTGTGAAAAGAACAAATATTTTTCTTAAGTCTTGAAATTTTTATTGGGAGAAATAAAGAGAACTGGATGTTTGAAAAATTTTGTTTTATTTTCTGTTTTTTTTTTTAATGTAGCTTTGTAGTTTATTTTGGTTATAGTTAACATTACAAAATAGTCTTGTATATGTAGAACAACTCATTGACAACTCAAAATGTACAAAATCAGAAGAAAAGAGTATAATTGTCTTCAAGATGCCTATTATTCTGAGGCTGGTTGGTGTGCAAAAAGCCTGCAGTCTCACCACCTATAATTTTCTCTAATACTTTTTTTTTTTTAAATTGACCTCAATACACTTTATTGCAGAACAGGAAATACTAAACATTTAAGAAAGATTTGTGGAAAACGATTTGACTTCAGAAAAATATTTGTTCCATCTTAAGAGGATCAAACTTCAGAAATATTTTTAAAAGTCTTCCTCTGAAATGTCTCAATTCTTAGTGATTAAAAATAGCTAAAAGGGCTTAGAGTAGTGGAGAGACTGGATTTCGGTATTAGATTCAGGTTTGAGTTCTGGTTTTGCCCTGTTCTAAGTGTGCGTGATTTTACTAATTAATAATGATGTTGGACTGCTTCTCTTAGGTTTATTTGTCTAGTGTGTTTCCACTTCTGACAAATATTTTCCATACCTTTACTTGTGTTTTCTTATTGGTTTGTAAGAGTTCTGTATAGAATCTTAATACTAATCGTCAATTGTGTGTACTACCACCTGTAAATATGCCAGTCTGTGTCTTATCTAATATTTCTTAACGTTGTAAAATTGTTCAAAACTGTTTTTAGTTTCAGTGGCTTCTGTTCTTATTTTTCTGGGAGATATTTTTTTTTCTCATTTTAAATAACAGACTAAATAGTCACTGTCTGATTTGAATAAATCAAGCCAGAAATATCCTGACAGTACACCAAACAAGACCTGTGTGTATAATGTGAGTTCTTTCTTTTTAATTTTAGAATCAACCTTGTCCTATGTTAGGCAGCTGGAGGCAAGAGTAAGACAGCTGGAGGAAGAAAATCGCATGCTGCCCCAGGTGGGTGACTTCCAGAAGCTCATAGCTAGTCAGTGCCATTTAAGTTGTAGTATTTTATTTGGAATTTAAAAGCTCAATGACGTTTTGTCTTTTAAATGATAGAAATCATTTTGTAAATAGCCATTCATCAATGTAGAGTGTGATTATGTTCCATGATGGCCATCATCTTATCCAGATTTCTAAGTGTTATACTAAAGGGTGCAGATATCTGAAATGAGAATGTGAAATAATTTTGAAAGGAAGAACAAAGGAGAAGGATAAAATAATGAGAAGTAGAAAATAAAGACATGTCGATAGTACTACTCATATACACCATGCATGTGGTTGGTGGATATAGGGAAGGTAATCTTATTTAAATAGAAAACTTGCTAATTTCTGAACTAGGCAAAGCTATAGGTAGTTGGAAGGTTTCGCATTATAATTAAATTAGTACATTCTAAAATTCTTTGTGGTATAATTGAACTCTTTCAGTGCAACAAAGTGATGACAGCAATTGACAGTTTTTGCTTTGGGACTTCATTTCTTTCCCCTTAATTAAAGTAAAGTGGCACTTTTTCCAGGATGTTTAATGTCTTCCCATACGTTTCACTTATAAAATTCTTTCCATGGGCTGTTAACTTGATGAGAATGATGCTGGTCTTTTGAGGAGGTGGTTTTCAGAAAATGTTTTGTTGAGGAGTTGAACAAATATGATTCTAGGTTGGTTTCCTTTTCAAGCATGTGGACAATAATATATTTTAATGTTTTATAACAAGAAGTTTTCCAAGAAATTAGTCACTAGGGTTCTTTCTACATTCTGGTAATTATTTCTGTTTCATAAATGACTAAGGCAAAATTATACCTCAAACAACTAGTAAGCAGTAGTTTAAATAAAAGGTCAAAGACTAACCAATCTTCAGGTTGGTATTTCAGGAGAAGAAATTTGAACATTAATGCAAAGACCCTTTAGAAAGACATTTTAGGTCTTTTTAATCTTGTTTTGTTTTTGAACTACTTTTGCTCATTAGTGATGATTTGGGCTATCAGGTACTGCACATAAGAATCCTTTTTTCTTTCTTCCATTGGCTAACAGTCTGCCCAGAAATCATGAGATTAAGTGAAATAAACCTACAGTAGTTGTCCCCCTTTTCAAGGGGAATACATTCCAAGACCCCAAGTGGATGCCTGAAACCACGGATAGTACCAAACCCTACAATACTATGTTTTCTTCTATACATAAATATATATGATAAAGTTTAATTCATGAATTAGACACAGTAAGAGATTAACAACACTAATAACAAAGTTATTATTAGTAAAGTACTATTAAATACAATAAGGGTTACTTGAACGCAAGCACTGAGATGCTGTGACCATTGGTCTGATCATCGAGATGGCCATTAAGTGACTAACAGGCAGGAAGTGTAGACAGCATGGATTCATCCCAGGTGGGATGGAGCAGGACAGCATGAGATTTCCTCACACTACTCAAAACGGCCCACAATTTAAAACTTGTTTATTTCTGGAATTTTCCATTTAATATTTTTGGGCCCTGATTGACTACAAGTAACAGAAACTGAGGCTAAGGGTGGAATTCTGTACTTCTATCTCTTCTCAAACTGTACATGTGTTAAAATTCATGATGACAGAAGAGATTGTGTCATGAAATAAAATACTACTGGTGGGTTTGTTTTCTCTTTGCTCTTCATTGTTTTCCTTTTAAAATTTTTTTGTGTTCCTTTTTGCCTTTTATGTTAAATTCACAGTATGACTGTCCTAAGGCCCTTGACTGAAAACATCTAACTTCTTACTTGTTACAAAGAAACCTACAAAATCTAGTTAGTTTATTATACATGGTTGTGCCATCTCTCAGGCGACTGGGAATGTAAAAGAAATAGAAAAAAAATCCAAGTGATTTTTGTTCTTAGTTTCCTTCTGAGAAGGAATTGAGGCTGACATCAAACAGCAAACTAATAGCATGTATGCCATCTTATCAAAAAAAAAAAGAGGCACAACAAATGTGAAAATGATGACAAGGCTGATTCTTAAAAACCTGTGAAAGTGAGTGTTAGAAGTCTTGAAGGAAAATCAGAAGAGTCCTTAACTATACTTGATGTGTCTATGTGTATTGGAATACATAGTACTTGCATAGTTAAGACTAAGCAAGATTAAACAACTACTCAATTTAAAGTGTTCAGTTATATCCTTTGAAATACATTACTATTTTGCTACCAAGGAAGGTTTTTTGGTTCATTTTGTTTTGTTTCATTTTTTTCTCTCTAAGAAATGGCTAGGAAAGATCATGTTTTATTGATGCTAAGATGTTATTGATGTGGGATGCACCATCATGATATGTAGCATTACAAAAGAAAAATGGTATCGGTTATACCATGCCAGATTCTTGCAGATTTCAGCGATGTTACAAATGGGAAAACAATGTTTTAGTTTTAGTTATTTATTTGTCAAAGTAATTTAGTTATTTACTTGTCAAAGTAATTTAATACAAAGAGAACCCATTGTTTGAAATATGCTGTTGGACATATGCAAAGAATGCAGTAGATCTGTCAATTCAAAAACAGGATTTCTGTTAAATTTCTATATCAGAGAGTGGTGCCTTCATTTACTACTAAGATATAATAGAGGTACCAGTTGCAGCTACTCCTATAAATACAAACTAACATGAATACAGACAGTAGGTAAGACCCTAGGATGGAACACAATAAATGGATGTCAGAACAGTGAGCATCATGTAGAGAATTCTCATGGGAGACTGAGACTTCAGCTGGATTACACAAAGGCATTTACCTGTACAACTTACTCTTAGATGTTACTGATACTATTACAAATAATGTGTCATGAGATTTCCCTGCAGAAACTGTTTCTAACTATGATGTTAGCTGATTTGCAAGGTCAATTCAATGAGAAAAGCTGACATCCTAGCCTAAGTTAATCTCAATATTAGAACACTTGATTTTCAGTTATAAGAATTTGTTTGCTATGCCTTGATCAGAAGGTATTCCTTTTCACTCCCAAATTTATTAAAGCGTGTCCATTTGTCTTTGAATAAACAGAAGTAAGAATGTAGCTGGCAGCTGGAATCCCAAGTATGTAAAACACCTTTGCAGCTGTAGCCAGAATTTTTGCTTTTAGTTTAGAGTTCAGACTAATTATGTAAAGCACTGTCCTGGAGGAAGAAATCTTCCTCAATGCTCCTTTTTATTCTTTATATAAAATTGTATATAATGAACAGAAAGTCACAACTTTGCCCTAGCAATATAAATATTTAAAAATAAACACAATGAATATAATAAATGCTTGTGGATTTCTCCCTGGTTAGATGCAAAGACCTTAATTTTTTCATTTGTAAATGAAGGGGTTCTTCTCAGCTCTTACATTTTGTGGGCTCAGGGGTAAATAAAGGCTTGGGCCCATGTTTTATACATATACAAAATGTTCAAGTCCCAGAATGAAGGACTCTTTCACAGATAAAGGCAGTGAAGATTAAGTTAGTTTTATCCAGTGGTGAAGAGGAGCCCACAGGAAGTGCTGATGGAGCCTCTGTACAGCCACCGTGGCAAGTCATCCCCAGTGAATGTAGAGCTCCTTGATCTGCCATGGTGTGTACTGTGTCCTGCAAGAATCACTGAGCAGTATTTTAAACCCAGTTTGTGAACACAACATTTCAAAGGTATCCTAAGGTAAGAGCCAGTCTTATTATTTTTAGAAAATGCTGCATTATGTGCTAGTTATTATTATTGAGAAGAAAATGCCTCTTCAAAGTTAGTACAAATGGTAGTTAAAGGTCACCTGGACTTTAGGATATTCTTCCGAGCACATGAACAAATGGGAACATTTTTTACAGATCACAGTTAAATCTTTTTCAAAGAATTGCATATAATCTCTTACAGTACACATAATACACATAATGCTAAGCTGCTCACATTGGCTGTCAGTTCCACTGCATGGATATGTGATGTGATGTGAACCTCAAACAAAAATCGTGCTTAAATAAATTTATTTAAATAAATATAGCTGCTGTCTATGAGATTTCATTAACTTTTGAATCCAGTGAGATGGAGTCACTCTGAATAATGTAAGTAGACATTTGTAAATAATGACATAGTAGGGTGTAAAGTAGTTTTAAGGAGTTTTGTATCAAAATAAAAAGGAACACACCTATCTTCTATACATACTTACAAATAAATACAGGTTTTCTCTATACAAAGAATCATCAATTTCCAGAGCTGGATAGAACCTTATGTGTCACATAGGACAACCCCCCTTTTCAGTCAAGGTGTATTGGGTTCACAGAGGTTAGGAGCGTCCTCCTGTCAGGCAGCCAGTGAAGGCCGGGCTTCATAAAATGTAGGCCTATTCAGTGTTCTTTCTAGCATGTGCACAGTGGCTCCCTTAATCCGTTCATACCATTAATATGATTCAGTGTAATTAAGCTACTAAACCTATTTTTATCTTATTGACAAATTCATTTTTTCCAACATTTATCTTAAAAACTAACATTGGATCTGCTTAGCCATCTGAGATTTGTTAGATGTTTATTGCATTCCTGCTTTAAAATAAATGTTCAGTTTTTCTTAACGCCATGGTATACAACATAAATAAAACAAAAAGTGCATTTTACAGGGTCTTCTCCCTGACACATTTCCATAGTACTTGAAAACCATAAAGGTTTATTATATACACACAAATTCCCACCCCTGCATGGAAAATTTATGCTTAACAGAATGTGGTAAGAGAGGGCCTTTTGGTTCAGAGTGAACTGGAGGAGGGTGGATAGGGGGAACTGATAGTTACAGTCATGGTTTTAAAACTGAAATTTTAAAATTGAAATTTGATTTTTAGCCCAAATTCAAAAACCTTGCTTAGCTCTTTCTACTCCATTCATTATCCTTTTCTTGATGGTCACAAAGATTTTTTAATCCAGACATAGTCGATATGTTTATATGCTGCATGTGCAGTGAGGCCTATTCAACTAGAAAATATCTTTAAATGGATGATATAGAATACCTACCTGATGAGTTTATTATAAAGTAAATAGTACTACCCTTTAAGACATCAGTTACTATTCACATGTAATGCTGAGGTAAAAGTTATTATTAAACTATTCTCACCTATTTTGTGCTGACTTGGGATTTTGCATCACAAAGAGACTCGACTAGAGACATGAACAAGCAGTTTGCTGTAGCTCCTAAGTCAATTAAATACATTTGTTAAAAGTCCTATTAGGAAATTTGTTCTTTTTGATCAAATGCTCTGGCGCCCACATCTGCTTGGAAAGCAGTATATATTCGTTGTGCTCAGAGACCCTCCCCAGAACAAACCATCCACCTCTTGAAGCCAACATTTGCAAGCCAGTTTCTGAATCCATAGAGGCACCCGGAACTGCCTGCTGTCATATACCTGCACATGGGCTGTGGGTCCACATACCTGTTTGAAAGGCATGGTAACTCAGATCACCCCTGAGTGAGCCCCTTCCAGCAAGTGTTTCTATTTCTCTAGTGCTAGCACACACAGAAGAGTCTAATTTTAGAAATGGAAATGAAAAGTCTCCCTCTCAAGTAATTTGCTTACAATGTGGCCTTGCAATGCAGTCTTTCAGTGCCTTGGCAAGAGGCAAGGTGGTTGCCAGAGCAGTCTCTGAACAAAGGAAAAGAACCTGTCACTGTTGCCACAAGTGCTGAGAAGGGTACGTAGGAGCTAAAGAAATCAAGCTCTCACTTCCATGGCAACACAGTGCAGGTCCAGCATCACATCTCTGAAGTCCTCCCTCACCTCACCACGGTGCTTATGCAGAATTACTAGCATGGGGGCAGAGAAGGGAGGCTTCTCTCAGACTCATTATTCCCCTTATGTGCGTTTCCTTGTTTGCTGTGGCGATAGATATGTATCGTTTTGCCTCTTTATCCTTTTCACATTTTCTGACTGTGCTTTGCCTTTTGTTTGTTTTAGTCTCATAGGGCCATAGATTTATGGCTCTTTTAGAGTTGGAATTGCTCTGAAAAATGAAAATCTGTAACTGTTGTACAAAAACTGTCACAGAGTAAGGCTTTCCAGGATCCTTAAAGCAAGTGATGGTATTCCTCAACTGTTATTTGCATAGAAATTACCATTCTGGCACTCCTGAAGAGAAACTTGTGCAGAATTATACTTTTTTTTCTCATGAAGAGCGACCCTAATTATGTTGCACAACCTGTGTAGAATCTGGATGTTACTGATTGGAAAAATTAGTTAAATCCATTAAGGATTGTTTGCTGCTGGAGTCATACTTGGGAAAAAATGGACTCTACCAAATGAATAGTGCTTATATGGAACAACGTTTTCTCTAAATTGACATAATTTATATAATTAAAGGAAAAAGGGTTTTATGTGTAGTTCAATAGAGCTTTCAGGGGACAGATGGGAGCAGCACGAGTGGTGTGGGTGTGTTGGAATAAAAGAGATAATTAGATATGAAAAGTAAATTTATGGAGAAAAAATCATGCTAGAAAACCTAAATAAATGGAAACTGGATTAAGGGAAAAGCTAAAATTTGTCAGAGAAAATGTCAGAGAGTATAATTCACAGGAAAAATGTGTAAGGCAACATGGAGGCCCTCAAAATGAGGGGATTCATAACATTCTTCAGAGATTTCCTCATATTTGAGGGTTCTTATTTGAGAACTTCTGATACATGATGATAAATCTTCGTTCTAATGAGAGAATATAGGTGAAAGGGAAATGAAAGTAAAATATGGCCACGCTGCTGATTAAACATATTAGTAGAATTATTTAATAGGTACTAAACTATTTGGGACTGTGTTATCAATAATTCATATTTAATAGTGTTGCCTTTTTATATCTACACTGGTATATTAATAATTCTATCTTTGAATGAAGGTACATTCAAAACTTTTTTTATTTGTAATAGCCATAAAAATGTAGCATTATTGTTACCTGTCCTTGGCAGAATTTTTTGCAAAAAATTATGGGACCCTATCAGTCTTAGGTTTGGCTATATAGTAATATCAACTAGAAATGTAGATACTTATGAGAAGCAATACTAAGGAATATTTGGAAAAAAAATGGAAAGGGAATTATAAGAGAAGCTAATGTTGCCTTGAACTTATAGAAATGCTTTTCTGTTCTTCTTTTGCTTAAAAAAAAAAAAGCCAAAAACAAGAAGTTAAAAGTTAAAGATGAAACAGTCTTCTGTTTTCTTTTCCTTTTTTTTTTCTTCTCTTATTTTTTTTTTTTGAGACAGAGTCTCGCTCTGTCACCCAGGCTGGAGTGCAGTGGCACTACCTTGGCTCACTGCAACCTCCACCTCCTGGGTTTTAAGCAATTCTCCTGCCTCAGCCTCCCGGGTGCAGTGGCTCACGCCTATAATCCCAGCACTTTGGGAGGCCGAGGTGGGCGGATCACTTGAGGTTAGGAGTTCAAGACCAGCCTGGCCAACATGGTGAAACCCCATCTCTACTAAAAATACAAAAATTAGCAGGGTATGGTGGCAAATGCCTGTAATCCAGTCTTCTGTTTTCTAATAAAGTAAGGTAACAGGCTCATAGAAAGTGGGAAACATTGTATAGTGTTAGATTTTGGAATATAGTTAATTAAATGTAAATACCATTGAAATGTGGATATCAAAAAAGCAGTAAATTATGAAATCTTGGCCTCTGGGAAGCTTGTAAAGATGCTGTGATTTCCAGTAGAGCAGTCTTACTTTGATCTCCATTTCCTGCTGGAGGTTACTACATCTCTGACTAATGGAAAATAAGCATTTAAACTAAGCTGTCCTCCTCCTCTGTGGTTCAGAGACCTTTCCTTTTTTTTTTTTTTTCTATTGCATGGACATAGCATAATTTATTTAGTCAGCCATCCTATTGATAGATATTTTTTTTCAGTTTCTTTTTTATTTATTTATTTATTTTATTATTATTATACTTTAAGTTTTAGGGTACATGTGCACAATGTGCAGGTTAGTTACATATGTATACATGTGCCATGCTGGTGTGCTGCACCCATTAACTCGTCATTTAGCATTAGGTATATCTCCTAAAGCTATCCCTCCCCCCTCCCCCCACCCCACAACAGTCCCCAGAGTGTGATGTTCCCCTTCCTGTGTCCATGTGTTCTCATTGTTCAATTCCCACCTATGAGTGAGAATATGCGGTGTTTGGTTTTTTGTTCTTGCGATAGTTTACTGAGAATGATGATTTCCAATTTCATCCATGTCCCTACAAAGGACATGAACTCATCATTTTTTATGGCTGCATAGTATTCCACAGTGTATATATGCCACATTTTCTTAATCCAGTCTATTATTGTTGGACATTTGGGTTAGTTCAAGTCTTTGCTATTGTGAATAGTGCCGCAATAAACATACGTGTGCATGTGTCTTTATAGCAGCATGATTTATAGTCCTTTGGGTATATACCCAGTAATGGGATGGCTGGGTCAAATGGTATTTCCAGTTCTAGATCCCTGAGGAATCGCCACACTGACTTCCACAATGGTTGAACTAGTTTACAGTCCCACCAACAGTGTAAAAGTGTTCCTATTTCTCCACATCCTCTCCAGCACTTGTTGTCTCCTGACTTTTTAATGATCGCCATTCTAACTGGTGTGAGATGGTATCTCATTGTGGTTTTGATTTGCATTTCTCTGATGGCCAGTGATGGTGAGCATTTTTTCATGTGTTTTTTGGCTGCATAAATGTCTTCTTTTGAGAAGTGTCTGTTCATGTCCTTTGCCCACTTTTTGATGGGGTTGTTTGTTTTTTTCTTGTCAATTTGTTTGAGTTCATTGTAGATTCTGGATATTAGCCCTTTGTCAGATGAGTAGGTTGCGAAAATTTTCTCCCATTTTGTAGGTTGCCTGTTCACTCCAATGGTAGTTTCTTTTTCTGTGCAGAAGCTCTTTAGTTTAATTCGATCCCATTTGTCAATTTTGGCTTTTGTTGCCATTGCTTTTGGTGTTTTAGACATGAAGTCCTTGCCTATGCCTATGTCCTGAATGGTAATGCCTAGGTTTTCTTCTAGGGTTTTTATGGTTTTAGGTCTAAGGTTTAAGTCTTTAATCCATCTTGAATTAATTTTTGTATAAGGTGTAAGGAAGGGATCCAGTTCCTACAAGGAGATTTAGGCACTTTTCATTTAAAAGTTTTCTACTTTTCATTTTTTGTTTTCTTTCCTGTAGCCTGAGGAAAGTGAACATGCTTATAAATATAACGCATTAGTAATTTAAGTTGGTGCCTTCTGTATCCTTTACATATAAAGTAGACAAATATAAATGTAATATATGCAATATCTATATTGCCTAAATATAAACATAATATAGATCCGAAATGTCATATACATAAAGATCTATATTCTTTGACAATATAAGACAGTTTAAGTGAATACATTTTTAAGTGATTTGAGTCTTTCTTTTTCTTTTTTCGAGACAGGCACTCGCTCTACAGGCTGGAGTGTAGTGGTGTGATCGCGGCTCACTGCAATCTCCGCCTCCCTGGTTCGAGTGATTCTCCTGCCTCAGCCTCCTGAGTAGCTGGGATTACAGGCACGCGCCACCACGCCCAGCTAATTTTTGCATTTTTAATAGAGACGGGGTCCCACCATGTTGGCCAGGGTGGTCTCAAACTCCTGGCCTCAAGTGATCCTCCTCCCTTGGCCTCCCAAAGTGCTGGGATTACAGGTGTGAGCCACTGCCCCTGGCAAGACTTTCTTAAATTACATTTGAAAAGCTGTCATTGTATGAAAAATAAGCAAAACATAACTGAGCCATGTTTAGGAAGCTGAGACATAGCAGTGACTTTGGACTCTGATAGTAATTCGGAGAGGCACTGTGAATTGCTAGAAATAACACCAAATAGGGGTTTCAAGAACTAGTTCTTTGCCTGGCTCTGTCTTTAATCAGTTTTTAGACCAGGAGGACACCCTTAACCTCTCTAAGCCTTATATAGCTTGTCTATAAAAGAAAATTGTCACAGGTGATATGGAAAGAGCTACTCAGCTCTGCAAATTTATGACTCTTTATCCAGAGAGTTTGTGTTTATGTATAATTAATATACAAAACAGGTGTGTTCTTTTTATTTTGATACTCAGATTCCTTAAAACCACAACTTTACACTATATTGGGTCTTTAATTTACAAATGCCTACTTACATCGTGGGGGGTTACTCTACCTCACTGGATTCTAAAGCTAATAAAGTTTCATTAGATAGCTATTAAATCTATTTAAATAACATACAGTCATGGACATGTATGTTTAAGACTCAGACCATATCAGATATACAGATAGTGTGCTCACACGCTAGTCTAATCAGTGTTGGTTTTATGTGTATTTGGAGAGATAACATGCAGTCCCCTTAATGTTTCTTTCTATTCTTTATATAAAATCATGTATAATGAACATAAAAGTTCTAGTTTTCCCTAACAATATACATATTTAAAAATAAAATGAGTGTGATAAAGGCTTGTGGATTTCTCTCTGGTTAGATCCAAAGAGCTAACTCCTTCATTTCTAAGTGTGGTTCCTTTCAGCTCTGAACATTCTGAGACCAGGTGTAAATAAAAGCTTGGGCTCATGCCTTATACATTTGCAAAGCTAACAAGTGTCAGGATGAAGGGCTATTTATTCAAGAACAGATAGAGAGAAGCAGTGAAGATTGAATTGGTTGTATCTAGTTGGTGGAGAGGAACCCACAGGAAGTGCTGATGGAATGCTGGTACAGCCACCATGGCAGGTCATCGCCCAGTGAATGCAGAGCTCTTTGCACTGCCATGTTCTCTATGATACCCGATGAAGATCACTAAGCTGTCCTTTAAATCCAGTGCAACATTTTGAAGAGAGCCAAAAACTAGGAACAGTCTTATTATTTGGGGGAGTTGCAATGTTATTTATTAGGCATTATTTAAGAAGAAAATGCCTTGTGAAGGGTGGTATATACAGCCCAGCCACAACTGTGAGCATAGCGTTACTGAGTAGACTGTGTTTCCTCAGGCCACACCAGCCCAGGTAAAGATCACCTGAAGTTAGGATATTCTCACCTGAGTTCATGAACTAATGTGAAAATTTTAAAAATATCACACTTGAACATATTTTAAAGGGACCACATGTTATCTCATATTGCATGTAATAAAAGAAGCCATGACATTTCTCATACTGCCTACAATAAAAGGAGGCATGACATTTCACAGAGGGAATTTAAATAATTATGACGAAAGAGAATGCTAACATAGAAAATGCTAAAAAGTTAACTTTTATCTAAGTGTAATTTATACCCAACAATAGGTATTCTTTATTTTAAAATGTAGCATACTTTTCAGAAATTCAGTTCTGAGACTGGCCAAAATAAATTGTTATGACAAAGAGACGACAAAGACATGAGGTATCACACATTAGTTTTTTCAGTGAAGCTACATAGAGGAGAATAATGAAAGAGAAGCTGCATATAAATCAAAGTCATCTGTGCTTGTGATACACATAAAGAATAATACAAAGAGGAAGAAAACGTTTTTTCAAAGGATACCTGATTTACCGGATTCATTCTGCAGACTAAAGCATCTGAAATAGCCACTAAGAAGTGGATGAGGCCTTTCTTTAGATTTTCTGGTTGACATCATGAAAGAATTGTAGGAGGCACACAGTGAGATGGTAATGAGTGTAGCTTTTACTGTTTAGAAGAAGCTCTTGTACATGATCTTTTAGGTTGAGTGCCTCTGAGCCTGTCTAACCTGGTAGCATGTTAACACATGACACTAATTAAAGCATGTTGGAGAAGCAGGATGAAGAAAGAGCATATTAAATAAATTATAGGTGTTAGCTTAATTGTTTCACTACTTAGGGGCCTTCAATGGCTTGGTAAGTCTTACTAGAAGACGATTTAGGGTTTATTTTAGAATTAAAAATTATACAAAGTATTCTAACATCAATAATCAATGGAGTCTTTTGAAAAACAGCCCAGCCACAATTGTAAACATAGCGTTACTGAGTAGATTGTGTTTCCTCAGGCCACACCAGCCCAAATTGGGATCACAGAAATGATAACAGTGTTCTCCATGGGCCCAGCCCGCTATGAGTCTGCTTTTGGGAGCTGTTCCCCCATCAGGTATACAAGCCTTCACCTACTGTCTTAAGTCTAGTCCTGTGGGTTTCCACACTTCACCCTTCCTGAGCCTGAGTTTGGCTGTTGACTGGCTGCCAGAGTCTGGCCATTCCCCACGGCTCCTAGGATTGGAGCTCCCGAGTTTTCCAATATTCTCTGGGCTGAGAAAATTCCCCCACCCTTACTTGGGTTCTACCCTATTCCAGGCTCCAAACGCATAGGAAAAGTAGCTCCTTCCCCAGGGTCTACTGTTAAGGCCAGGAAATGGAGGTGGGAAGGAATACTCACTGTTGGTCAAGAGACAGTCTGTTCAGAATTTTTTTTTCCCTTTGAAAGCACTGTATTCTTCTTAATTCACGTGTGTCTATAGTCTATTTCTTACCTTTGGGAGAACTCTTTGTCCTCAAACTTCATAGTATCTCACAAAAATTTACTCACCTCAGATATTTGTGATTTCAGAAATGCTTAATTGAGACCAAAATAATGAAGCCCTCTTTCAGAATTTTTTTTCTCTTTACGATTTTTGTAACTCATATAGGTTAGTGATATAGAAGCAACCTTTGAATTATTGTTCGTAAAAAAGAGAAAAATAAAATAAGACAGCTCACCTCTTCACTTAAACCCTTGGATTACATTTTTTGTTAGTTTTATTAATTTGACTATTGTTCTTAGCAATTATATTAGGAAAAAGATTGGATTGAGAAATGTACGGATTACAGAGGAAGTGTCAATCTGACTTAAATGTAGTATAGCAAGTAAAGGAATTGGGTATTGTCTTTTCATGACCTAAAATGCCTCTCACTTGCTACAGAACAACTTGCAAGGCAGGAGTTCTAATATTTGACAGATAACAAATAACCAATAAACCCAGGACCAGATGGGAGCCATTCTGGACTTACATAAAAGCTGGCTCTAAGAAGGGAGGCTTTTTAATAGCCAAGCTCTATCAATTGTTTGTGACAACCAAGGCAGGTGTGTCTTAATGTCAAAGGGGGATAATTTTTTTAATTTAAGCATTTTCATATGTGATGAAATTTAATATCTATAACTACAGAAATCTCATAAGAGGAAAAGATAAAATGCACACTCAGAAATAAATCTAACCAGTAAATTTGATCACAACTAAATTGTGTGGGAATGATTGGTCGTTATGCTTTTGGGTGCCTAGCAAGTATTGAGTGCCAAAAGTTAACAGAAGCTACAGTTAAAATTTGGATGAAATATTTCTCACAAAGAGTTTTAAGCAAAGGGGCCTTTATCAACTTTGTATTTTGCAATTTTTGTTTGGAACAAGCCCCGTTCACTTTCTACTCCTGTTTCTACCACACTCCCATTTTAATACATGATTCTTTAACCAGTGAAACTCACATGCTTTTGTTAGTAAGTTCTCTAAATGGTCAGATAGTTGGTGATGGCAGCTTAGGTTCTTTGCCAATTGAAAAAGACTTTGGCTGTGATAGGCTGAGCCAGGTGGATCACCTAAGGTCAGGGATTCAAGACCAGCCTAGCCAACATGGTGAAACCCCATCTCTACTAAAAATACAAAAATTAGCCAGGCATGGTGGCAGACACCTGTAATCTCAGCTACTGAGGCAGGAGAATCACTTGAAACTGGGATGCAGAGGTTGCAGTGAGCTGAGATCATGCCACTGCACTTCAGCCTGGCCGACAGAACTTTTTTTTTCCATCTCAAGGAAAAAAAAAAAAAAAAGAAAAGGACTTCGGAGAGGTCATTTTAAGATTGAGCCCTAGGCCGGGCACGATGGCTCATGCCTGTAATCCCAGCGCTTTGGGAGGCCGAGGCTTGTGGATCACGAGGTCAGGAGATCAAGACCATCCTGGCTAACATGGTGAAACCCCATCTCTACTAAAAAAACCAAAAAAACAAAAAAGTAGGCCAGGCGTGGTGGTGGGCACCTGTAGTCCCAGCTATTCGGGAGGTTGAGGCAGGATAATGACGTGAACCTGGGAGGCGGAGCTTGCAGTGAGCTGAGATCACACCACTGCCCTCAAACCTGGGCAGCAGAGTGAGACTCCATCTCAAAAAAAAAAAAAAAAGATTGAGCCCTAAATAGCCACTTGTGAAGAAGGTGTCTCATGCAGTCTTCTGAGCATTGATTCATTGATTTTATTGTAGAGGATTCTCTTGGTTAGGGAAACCAGTCATACTGAGCTGTTGTCACTTGAAGAAGAGATCAAGATAGGCATGAGAGAAGGTGGGGACAGCTGCCCCTCAAATGTTCACTTAAGTACCCACTATGCTCAGGATCTTAATATTAATAAAATTCATCAGAATCAGTCATGAGAGTGTGATAAGACATCTTTCAATTCTAGATAGAAGTATTTTGGGGTGATTTCTTGTGGCTACAGTTGATGCCATAATTTATTGTTAATAATTGGTCTTTAAACCATTTGAAAATATTCAGTGTTTTTATCACTTTGATTTTAAGTACTTTTATTGCCTTATTAAACTATGCTTTTTATTTTAGATGTATCTTTTGTGTTAATGTTTTTTGAAGGCATGAGTCCTACTGGGTTTTCAGTGTGTGTTCAGTATCTTAAGTCTTTAGGGCCCAAGAAGGGACATTGTAGGTCATGGAAGGGATAGTGTCCATTTCCTTTTTTTTTTTTTTTTGCTATGTTCTTTTCTCTTAAATGATGAGGTTGCAGCCTGAAATGGACCTTTCTTTCTGTGAGAAACAGAGCTTATGCCAGAGCAGGGTGGATATTTACAAGCATCTGTAACCCTTACAGTTGGATCTGACTCAGGTTACAGACAGGGCACAATACAATATGGAGACCCAGTGTGTCATCAGTTCCAACCTGGTGCTTTGTTTCTGTCTCAAGCACTAACCACATCCTGAGTATCAGCTGGAGTCCTGGATACTGGCCCAGCATTGAATCCATCTTGATGATGATTCCCATTCTGACCCTGGCCCCCCATGGTTATTCTATTTTGCAGGTGAGAGAATGTCACCTATTAATGGACAGGGCAAGGTTTGTGTCCAGATTTTCTGTTACCTCTGGTTTAGTATTTCTATTTTGCTCAGACTTGTCACGTGACACTTTTGCATCTCTTGAAGCAAGATAATCTGTGAAAATGACACTATCACCACTACCTCCACCACCATCAGCCAAAACAAACCTCTGCGTAGTATTGGGGTCTGAATACGACAGATCCCAGGAAACCTGGGCTTTAGTTTCTAGTCCATCTGTTTTGATATTTACTATGAGAGTTCATTTCTTTAATAATGTTTTATCCAGTTGGGAAGGTCTTGTCCTTTTAGAACTCTTAAGAAATTTCAAGCCTCCAATAAACAGTTACTCAGCAAAGGACATTTGTCTATTTATCACTTATTTTCTGGTTCATTTACTGCTTCCGTTTAAGCACCTAGCCTCCTTCTCCAGAAATGTCCCAGACTATTCCAATCTGCAGTGACTTCTTTATTATCTATACCAGGGTTGGCAAACTTTTTTAGCAAAGAGCCAGGTAGTAAATATTTTCAAATTTATGGGCCATATGTTCTGCTTCAGCTACTCACATCCTGCCATTGTAGTGTGAGAAGAGCAGAAAACAGCCACAGAGAACATGTAAATGAACAAGTGTGGCTGTATTAGAATAAAACTTACTTACAAAATAGACAGTGGCCTGGATTTAACTCTGGCAGTAGTTTGCTGATCCCTGCTTTACACTAAAATAATTTATTCATCCATGACTCTGGGTTATCTCTTATATTTTTGTCTTTTTTTCTTTCTTTTTTTTTTGACATGGAGTTTCACTCTTGTTACCCAGGTTGGAGTACAGTGGCACGATCTTGGCTCACTGCAACCTCCACCTCCCAGGTTCAAGCGCTTCTTCTGCCTCAGCCTCCCATGTAGCTGGGATTACAGGCTTCTGCCACCATGCCCGGCTAATTTTTTTGTATTTTTTTTTTTTTTTTTTTTTTAGTAGAGATGGGGTTTCACTGTGTTGGCCAGGCTGGTCTTGAACTCCTGACCTCAGGCGATCCACCCACCTTAGCCTCCCAAAGTGCTGGGATTACAGGCATGAGTATGTTTTCATTTGTACATAAAGACTTTATACAAATGCTCTTCCTAATATTTGCTACTTATTTTTGCATTAGTTCAAATTCTTTGTCCTGTCATCCCAAAACCTGCTCTGAGTTATCAGTACTGGGATTTGAAGTGTGCTGTGATTTAACCAGTGGTAGTTGAGCAAGAGGCAAGGTATTTTTTTCTAATTAATCTCTTAGCTTTAGGCTGAGAACTTTTTGGAGACCAGGATGCTTGCATTTGACTTGAAAAGGGAAGATCCTCCCATATAGAAGGGACAATTGTTGTGATATCGTCGAATAGGAAATTTGTACTTTTTTGAAACATATGTCTATGGTGACTGTAGGTACCCTTTAGTGAGTGATTGATTATATTACTTTTGTTTCCTGGCGATCTCTTCCATGTCTTAGAGAGATTGGTAAGAAACTAAAATGGCACAGGCTTATCTTTAAAATAGATACCACATAGGCAGCAGCTTGGAAAGAACATGAATTTCTGTATACACCTTCACAGACAAGTGAAATGCTAAATCTATGTTTATCGATGGATGAAGAAAACCATTTCTGGCTAAGGAGGAGTCAGAAATCAATCTCCCTTTTCTCAAGTGAGGGCATTTCCTGAAAAAAGGAGAAACTTGCAGAAAAAAGTACGAAGTAGGTGAATTCTGCATTTTTCAGGTTCTTCATATTAATATTCTTCCTTCACATGATCTTTGTCATATATGTGGGTTTTAGTCATTATGTATGTGTTCTTGTAAAGGAAAGGTGAAGGTGTTTTAGTTGGTTGTTTCTGCAGCATCTGTTCATTGGGAATCTGCAAGGTGCTTTCGGAAGGACAGAGGAGAACAAAGGCTAGTTCACATCTTCAGCATGTTTTCTGTGGGTCAGGACAAGACTTAGAGGAAAGTGAGAAGAATCCTCACTTACTTGTCTTTGTCACCAGGACTGATTGACATCAGAAGAGCCAAATGGTGGAAGAGAGCTTAAAAAGATTAGCCAGTGTGATGTTCACGTTGTATGCTATAAATACATGTATTTACTATTGGTCAATTAAAAATAAAATAAACTTTTTTTAAAAAAGATTAACCAAATGCATTCACAATGCTTGGTCAGTGACTAATGTCAACCTAGCAATTTTCAAGCCTC
The DNA here is from genome assembly GCF_000001405.40 of Homo sapiens. Taxonomy (NCBI): domain Eukaryota; kingdom Metazoa; phylum Chordata; class Mammalia; order Primates; family Hominidae; genus Homo; species Homo sapiens. The sequence continues at coordinate 56,360,235 of NC_000002.12, forward strand.
TCTGTAGCACTTAATGTTTTCAGAATGCTTTGCAATCAGGCTTATTAGTCTCTCTTCACAGCTACCACGTGAAGCTAATTGATAGGCCTCTCCATTTTAGCGTTGAGGACAAGTGACTTGCTGAGGGTCAGGCAGTGAGTGATTAATGGAGCTCATTAGTCTTTGGGTTATTTCTCTCTTGAGTTAGCAAAAATGCTTTTCATTTTTTTTTTAAAAAGACATCTCTAACCAGCCTCGGGGAACTTACTACTGGTTAACCAGATTGTTTTTCAGGATAATGCTATTGCAAAAATTCTAGTTTTTAAGTTTCTTTTAAAATTTTGCCTTTCCTAAAGCTTTAGTGTCACTTTTCAGAAAGTTTTGGCTGTACGTGTTAAGGGCTACCTTTACCTGTGTAATTCCCTCAAAATTTTGGCCATTTTCTTCCTATCACACAGAGACTTTAGAAAAAATAAACTGTGTTAAGCAAGAAGCTTTAGTTTGTGACAGTAGTTGTGGTCAAAGTTTGTATGGAGAGATGAGATGAAACCATGTTTTATTCCAGTTACCTCTGCTATCTTTTATCCCCAGAATCTCATATAGGCTAAACAGAAGCAGTGACCTCACTATTTGGAATGAGAAAGGTTAACATTTATTGTTGGTTTGGTACAGGAATATTTATTCAGTGATAGATAATTAGTGGGCTTCCACTGCTTTTCTTAGCACAAGCAAAACATCCCTTAAAAATAGGGAGTAGAGGCCAGGCGTGGTGGCTCACGCCTGTAATCCCAGCACTTTGGGAAGCCAAGGCGGGCAGATCACAAGGTCAGGAGATCGAGACCATCCTGGCTAACATGTTGAAACCCCATCTCTACTAAAAATGCAAAAACCTTAGCCGGGCGTGGTGGCGGGTGCCTGTAGTCCCAGCTACTCGGGAGGCTGAGGCAGGAGAATGGCGCGAACCCAGGAGGCGGAGCTTGCAGTGAGCGGAGATCGCGCCACTGCACTCCAGTCTGGTTGACAGAGCAAGACTCCGTCTCAAAAAGAAAAAAAAAAATAGGGAATAGAATTTCTGTAGGTCATGGAAGGCTGATGGCTAGCATTGGCCATTCATTTAATCTTTTACCCCTTGAATCTTTTTTGAGCATCTCTTATGTACAGATACTGTTTGAGAATACAGTCTTAAATAAGAGAGTTAAGGCCTCTGTCTCATGCAGCTTACATTTTAGTAGCTAGATTATTATTTTTAAAACCATAAATATGTAATACATTACCCAAAAGAGGTAATCACTATGAAGAAAATAAAAGCAGGGCATAGAATAAGAGAATGACTAGAGTACGATAATATTTAGAAAAGACCTCTCATCTGAGGAGACTTGAATAAAGGAAGTATGGAAAAGAGTATTCCTGGAAGTGGGAACAGCAAGGATATTTCAGAAAGAGGAACAATGCCAATGTGGCTGGAACAGAGTGGGTAAAATGGAGAATAAAATGAGATGAAGTTGGAGAAACAGGAAGACCCTATGTGCTCTGTTGACCAAGCTCAAGCATGTGGATTTGGATATGAGTCGATGGAATGCTATTGGAGGATTTGGGCAGGGATGTGATATCATTAATTCACATTTTTGAAGGATCAGTCTCCATGTTGGGTAAACACGAGACTGAAGAAGGTAGAGACAGGGAGAGGGGACATTGGTACACTCATTAGGGAGCTAGCTTGGTAGTCTAAGAGAGCTGAGAGTGGCTTGAACTAAGTGGTAGGGTGGAGATGGTGAGGAGGGGTTAGACTCACAGTGTGTTTTCAAGTAGAGCTAAGGGTGCTTAATGATAGATGGAATGTGGACTGTAAAGGAAAGGGACTGCATACGGCTTCATAGGTTGGGCACTGACAGCCCCAGAAGGAACTACTCACAGAGACTATGCAGTGAATGGCAGCCCAGGGATGGTACAGAGTGTCAACCCTGGGAAGAATTGAGGATGACTTCTTGGATTTTGATCTCAGCAATCATATGATTGGTGGTGCTGTTTACTGAGATAGGCAAGACTGTGAGGAACAGGTTAGGAGGTGCAGGGGAATCAAGTTCTATTTTGGACATAGTCAATTTGAGGTGTTGGACATCAACAAGGAGATGTCACATAGTGTTGGATGTGTACATGTCAAACTCAGGTGAGATATCAGAGCTGGAGACAAAAAATTGGGAAGAATGAAATATATATATATATTTTAACTATGGGACTGAATGGGAACTTCTCATCAATGAATGCTGAGGGAAAAAAAAGAAGAGCTTTGTGGACTGTATCCTGGATACCCCAAGATTTAAAGATGGAGAAGGAGAGAGGAGCCAAGTGTAGACTGCAAAGAGAGACCCAATTAGCTTTTTTTTTTCTTTTTTTCTTTTTAAGATGAAGTCTCGCTCTGTTGCCCAGTGAAGTCTCGCTCTGTCACCCAGGCTGGAGTGCAGTGGTGTGATCTCAGCTCATTGCAACCTCTGCAACCTGGGTTCAAGTGATTCTCCTTCCTCAGCCTCCTGAGTAGCTGGGATTACAGGCATGTGCCACCACACCCGGCTAATTTTTTGTATTTTTTTTTAGTGGAGACTGGGTTTTGCCATGTTGGCCAGGCTGGTCTCAAACTCCTGACCTCAGGTGATCTGTCCCCTTGACCTCCCAAAGTGCTGGGATTACAGGTGTGAGCCATTGCTCCCGGCCCCATTTAGCTTTTTTAGTCTCCCAGAGGTATGGATGATTTTGGGACTTACTTCAATGGACTGACTTTGCAAAGATGTTTTATATTTTGTTTTAACTCTCTGTGCCCTAGACTTATCCTTTTGAATATGATTCAGTTAAATGAGTGTATATATAGTTTGAATAAAAAAATCTTGTTTTCCATCGTATTTTTTTTATAAGAAGGTAGGGCACAGATAAACATATTTTTAAAATCTCTTTGTTTTCTTCCTTTCCAGTAAGAGCTGTTTGTGACAATAAGAGCTCATGCTTCCATGATGCTTCCTTTTGTGCTTTGATGATGGTCTCGCTGATGGTGGATTTCATTTTTCCCTGCCAGAGATATTACTACTACCAATTATGCAAAGGCTACACTGCCTGGATTCTGGATTCATTTTGGCTACTCTCGTTTCTGTAAACATTTAAGCATAAGATCATTGCTAACGCTCCATGATAGATCTTTCAGCAGGTGGCATGGGTAGACCTACAGCCTAACTGGTAGCTGTGTTTGTTTGTATTATTGTATGTATCCTAGATAGGTAGCTGTAAGGATACATACAAGAAGCTGACTCTTCTTGCTTCTCTATTGACCTCTCTCTTGTCTTGACTTTCCCATTTTGCATGGGAGCTTCATATACTAGAAGATTCATCAAAGAACCTAAGACCCTTCTTTTTGCCAAAGCTAGGGCAGCAAACACCACCTCACAGTGGAATATTTCTTAGTCAATTCAGCAAATATTTATTTTAAGTCACTGTTTAGTTCCTGGGGCTCTAGTTCTGTGCATGTGTTCCCCTGGGCCCTGATAGCATGCTGAGGTGTTTAACACAATTATTAATCGGCTCTGGTCTGCAAGTCAGATGCAATGTTAATTAGCATTACTTCTTTGCCATTGCATCCATACTGGCAATTCAGCTCCATGCCCTTACGCTCCGTGTCCTACTTGTGCTTTCCTTTTCTCCCTTTTAAAAAATAAGCCCAAAACCTGAAAGTATTCAGATATGTTCTCAGCAACAATGCCATAACCTTTTACTATTTAATACCAGCCTGATTGAAAAGCAATTTAGAAGTATCAGTCTTTTTCTGTAGGAATTTCAGTGTTTCTCACTGGGAGTTCTATAGTTAATAAAAGTCAAGTATTAAGCATATAGACTCATTGCCTAGAAGTAGTTGCCTATGTTTCCTAGGTATTGTTTAACAGCCTCTTTTTCTTTTTTTCAACCAGGCCTTCAATGTTATTCTTTATCTGCCGTCACTCTGGCTACAGAGACACTGGGTGTTTTCTGTCTTAGCCCTTTCAAAAGATATTAATTCTTTTCTTCCTGGGGTTTGCCCTTTGTAATTTTTGTAAAAAGGCATCCTGCTAACCTTCTGTAATTATTACTTTTATTTCGTTTTATTTTTTCTGGGAACTATATTTCTGTATCTGTAAGTTTCACCTGGAGGAACAGGTATTTCAAAATTACTTTCTTTTCCTTCCAATAACATTTTATTGTTTGCAGAGATATTTTCATCAGTGATACAGTGAGCACTGCATGAAGTTAATATCATTTTAAATTTAAATGTTTTGCAAACTCTCTTATTTCACATGTCAGGAGAAAACCTTTTGGAGGGTATTCGTGACAAAGAATGCTTGAGGGCTTTGCATTATTAATCACTTCTTTGATCTTGATTTTAAAAATCTGATGAAAGAGTTAGATCTATTACTTCCCCCGGTATTTTCTATGCTGGTTAATAGCATGACCATTTAGCGAGTACCTAACCAGAAAGTTGATAGTCATCCTGGATAACTCCTTCAACCTCACTGCCTACATTCAAATAGACATTAAAGTTCATAGGGTCTTGCCCTCTAATCCATCAATATTGTCCTTTTAATTTCTTCTGCTATTTTCCAGTGTAGGCAATAAGTAATACTTTTTTTCCCTTCAAATTCTTTGTTGATCTCCTAATTGGAACTTCATCCCAGGTAGTCTGGCCTCACCCAAATCATTCTCCACACTATTACCAGATCAATCTGTCCACCACCAATCAGTTTCTGTTACATCTGTGGCTCCACATAGAATAAATTTCAAATCCTTCTTACGGCATGGGAGATTTCCCATGCAACTCCTGCATGTCATGTTGGACTCAGCTTTTGCTACTCTGGGCCTCATATCCTGTGCTCACATCCTTCTACTACAGGAAGATAGAACTAATTTTATTTTCCTGAACATGTCAGCAGCCTAAGATTTTTGGTTCTCTGAATTGAAGCTGCTTACTACGTCCACTGTGACTCCACAGACATCAATCTCAGCCATTATTTGGCATAATAAATGAGGGGTGTGTGAATTAATATTACTTTCATTTGTTTATTAGGATAGATACACATTTTATGTAATGGTTGCAGCCACAGTTATGTGCCTGGAGTGGAGAAGGTCAAATGAGCACAGAGCTGATGTTAATCTGGTGTGTAGCAGTTCATCTGTATCAGTTATTCATATTAACATGCTTCTAATCCAGTTCCTTCGAAGGCTGCTGAGCTATTCCAACCAATCTGACCCTCCCTAGGATCATCTGGATCTCTCTGTAACCCAGGAGCCAAAGAATGAGTGCATAGACTAGAAGGAGACTTCTGGGACCCAAAGAAGGAAAAATCACTCTGGGGTATAAATTACTGAAAACATTACCAGGCCCACAGTTAGTATCTTTAAAAAAACTTTTTTTACATTTATAGATAAAATTACATCTTTACTGTGTACAACATGATGTTTTAAAGTATTAGACATCGTGGAATGACTTAATACAGCTAATTAACATATACATCAGTTCGCATAGTTATCATTTTTGGGTGAGAACACTTTACATCCACTTTCTTAGTATTTTTCAAGAATGCAATAAATTATTGACTATAGTCACCATGCTGTACAGTAGATCACTTGAAATTATTCCTCCTGTCTAACTGAAATTTTGTATCCTTTGACAGACATTTCCTTCTCCTTCCCAATCCCCTCAACTCCTGGTAACCACCTTTCTCCTCTCTAAGTAGAAATAAACTTTTTTTTTAAGATTTCATATATGAGTACGATCATGCAGTATTTATCTTTCTGTGCCTGACTTATTTCATTTAGTGTAATGTCCTCCAGGTTCATCCACGTTGTGACAAGTGACAGGATTTCCTTCGTTTTTAAGGCTGAATAGTATTCTGTTGTATATATAGATAGCACATTTTCTTTATTCATCCATTCATGGACACTTAGGTTGTTTCCATATCTTGGCTATTATGACTAATGCTGCAGTTAACATGGGAGTGCAGATATCTCTTTGACATACTGATTTTGTTTAATTTTAATGTATACCCAGTAGTGGGATTGCTGAATCATATGTAGTCCTACTTGTAATTTTTTGAAGGAACTTCATACTGTTTTCCATAATAGCTATACTTATTTGCATTCCCACCAGCAGTGTGCAAGGGTTCCCATCTCTCCATATTCTTGCCAACACATCTTTTGTCTTTTTGATAATAGTCATTTTAAAAGGCATGAGGTGATCTCATTGTGGTTTTAATTTGTATTTTTCTCTTGATTAGAACTGTTCAGCATTTTTGCATAAATCCTTTGCTATTTGTATGTCTTCTTTTTAAGAAATGTCTATTCAGGTCCTTTGCTCATTTTTCAATTGGGTTGTTTCCTTGCTATTGAGATGTTTGAGTTATTTCTATATTTTGGATATTCACCCAGCATTTTAGGAACTCACATTAGCCAGTTTTATTAATCTTTTAATGGACAGCACTTAGGGTAGTGCTAACGTGGTAGGAGCTTAGTGATTGAGAGCTGTTATGTCAAAAACAGGCCCTCAAGAAGTCCTCTGCCTGCCGAGGAGTCTGTACATAGGCTACAATCCTTCACCACATGTGACGCAGAGAGTAGTCGCCTCCTGGTCCAGATTTCTCCTTCTTATTTCTTTCATCTTTTATGATTTAATCTCTCTTTTATCTTTTTATCTATTTAATCTTTTGCCATTATCTTATAATGCTTTCATTAGCACTGAGATGTGTTTCATGTGTCAGGGCCCCCACTTCTATTTGCTGGCAATTTTATTCTTTCCTAATGTGACTGCTTCAAGTTAAGTGCAGAATCTTTGCCCAGCAAATTGTTAAGTAAGCTTTATGATCTTCCATAATTTCCACAGAGCCCCTTCTGCCAATTGTATTCTCTATGTGGGACTGGTGTCACGATTTTCTAGGTACTGTAGCATACTATATGTCTCTATCTCAAGAACTCTTTCCTTTGGACCACTGCCCTGTGCCTGCCCACAGCGTATTCTCTTTCTGCTAGTGTTGTTACAGTAGGATGATATGGGTATTTTCAATTCTGTTTCTTTTATTGGAGTAATTTCTTATTTGGGGGTGGAAATGTGGCTGCCTTTATACTTAGACCATTTGAGGGCTGAAGCTTAAGGAGTTTCCTTCTAAATCCTTTCAAGCTCCAAATCCTGTGGGCAACATGTCCTCATATGCAAAATCTGCTATAGAGCTGTCACCAGAAATTTTGCTTTGTAGTTTCCCAACATAGTTCTCTTTCTCTAAATCAGGGTTTCTCAACTTCAGCTATAGCGACATTTTGGGCTAGATAATCCTTTCTTTGTGAGGGGTCTGTCCAGTGCATTTTAAGATATTTGGCAACATCCTTGGCCTCTACCCACTAAATGCCAGTAGAAACTGCATAGTTTTGACAAGTAAAAATGTCTGCAGGCATTTTTGCCAAATGTTTTCTCTTGGGGGCCAAATCACCCCCGCCCCCAATGAGAACTGACACTCTCAATAATAAACATTCGGACATAAATTGACAAGTTATAAAATATGTTGACAAGCAAAGCAAAAACATTCATGATAAGGACAGCAAATGCTTATAGAGCACTTATGTGGGCCAGACACTGTTTTAAAAGCTCTTTCCATGTAAGTTTCCAAGCCCATAGAGTGACCGTACCATTTTACCATTATTATTTACACTGTATAGATGAGGAAACTAAGGCACAGAAAGGCCATATAGCTTGTCCAAAGTCATGCAGCTCATAAGTGTCAGATCAAGAATTTAAACTCCGGCACTGCGACCCTGGAGTCTGTGATTTGAACTCACTGTGTTTCTCTTTCAACAAAAATTCGTTGGAATAGGTATCTATATGGCATTGCATGCAATATCACGTCTGATAGTTACTAAATTAATGTTTGTTAAGTGAATAAATGAATGACTATACATCCAGGAAATTACTTATTATTTTACATCAGCATTGAATAGATTCTTTAGTTAATTTAAATGAAAAATGCACTTTTCTTTGGATATAACCGACTAAATATTAACATTAGAGTAAGGCAAGAGGGTCTTAGCATTTCTAAGCCTATGCACAAGAATCTCTTGGAGAGGGTTTGCCAAGGTGACCTTTAAAATCTCTTCTAATCAGAGCTTTTATTTATTTGCTAGGACAGTTTTACAATATGTCAGAATGAAGATTGGCCAAACTGAACAAAATATTATTTCCCTGATGAGATTAAGCAAAGTATCTGCCTTGCCCTGTAATAAGGGAAAACTGAATTTATCCTCCCCCTTAAACTAGGCATACACTCTGATGAGGTATTAAATATTATATGATAGTTTAACCAAGTTCAGGAATTATAAAAAATTAAGCATCTTTAAGTAACAGGAAACCACTTTAGCTGATCAATCTTCAGGCTTCCGTAGTTGGCCTTCTATAGTGAATGAGAGGGCTGGGGTCTCAAATTTGTTATAAGTGCATTACATCTGATTTATATCAAAGTGAGAAACTATTTTATGTAACACTACAGTATTACTCTATTGAATGTGAGTTTTAGTCAATTGGAAATATTTATATAGTACATATATATTTTTATATATACACATACATATGTACATATATGTATATGTATATATTCAATAAGAAACTCAGTATATTTGTTTTCCATTTTTCTGGCGTGCAAACAAAACTTTTTTTAGGAAGAATTTTCATTAAATTAAAAAATTTCCTTGACTTCATTACTAATTAAAACATTATAAAGGATTTTTCTAGGAGCTTTATTTTTTAGGTAATTTTCCCTACTGCAGAGATCACACATCAAATTCTGAGTGATCATCGTTTTGTGATTCATGTATTTTAGATAACATATAATATTGGACATTTCTTAGTGTTTTTCATTATTTCTATGAGGAACAGTAACACTTAATTCACGCAAATTTGAGAAAAGAAACACGACAGTGTAAAAAAGTTAAATGGTCTATTTTTTTGCAAAATTGGTTTTTATTCCCTTCATTTACATATATAGCTCATTGTGAGCAATAAGGGAAAGATAAACTATAATGTCTTAGAGAATGTTGTACGTCTTTAAATAAATAGATGAGAACTATTTATTATTAGAATGGTCGTAGTTTGAAGAGAAAATGTTGCAGATGTAGTTGTTCAAAACTTCATGTTGATTTCATGTTTAAGTACAGAGAATTTTATACCCTGTTGAAGTTTGAAGAACTAACCAGAATCTGACCCCGAAAGTCCTGAGGACTAAAGGCTATGACTCATGCTAAACCCATGCAAATGTCCATATGTGAATTCATTTGCCCATCTTTATGCCTTTCAAAGTCAGCAAGGTAAAAGTCTTCAAGTCAGGCTGACTTATTCTTCTTAGCTTAAAACATAGGTCACTTCATACTTTATTACTGAGGTTTCCAACAAATAGTTCTTGGGGACTTTTTCTGTTCATCATTCAAGAGGAACCTTTATGTGTGTCTGAAGTTCGCTGAGATGCCTGGTGAGTGAGAAGTACAGTTCGGATTTCCCATTTCCCCCTTTTTCTTCTTTTCAGTACTTGATTTTCACTCTTCTTTCCTCCTCACAAATTTTTGAAATACTTCGTTTTCTGAAAAACCCTACACTATTACCTCTATAGAAGTTTCCAGAGTTTTCAAGGAATAAAAACTATTGACTAGTACAGTTATAGCGAAACTTAAAGAGACTCAGTGATTCATACTTCTTCATATTCTTTTATGATTTCTGTGAGTACTTACCACAGAGTAAGTAATCTATAATTTACTTCTCACACAATGGGAGTGTTAGGGTCATTCAGGGATTCTTTTTCACAAACTTGGAATTTTAGAAAACTACAGAAAACAAAACTAAGTGAAACAGAATTCCTCAGAAAATAGGAAGTGACGATCTTAAGACTGTTTGGAATTGTTCTCCCAATTAGTGACCAGAATCTGAGTTCCACCATTTTGAGCCCCCAAGTTGCCAGAAACAAGTTTAACGACTGAATTACTGAAGGCTTCTTACGTTTTATGAAACTGTCTTCAGCAAACACTGTAATTGGTGATTGTAGGCCCTGCGAAACACTAAGCCTTCATTAGTGTATAAATACCATTTTGATGTAGTTTATTTGAAAGTTAATGATGATGGCTGGCCCAGAACACACTTTTCTATATACCTAGATTAAAAAAATATATATGCTGACATGGGGAGAAAATTAATTAATCCTGGTTCTAAAAGAGTGCCTTTTCCTTTAAAATGGTTATATCATCAGTTTATTCTTCCACAAAGATCTGGCCCCTGTTTATTGTTCCCCCTTATGAGATTAATAATACTATAAAATACATATTTAATATATTTTAAAGGAACATTTTATAATACTTAAAGTATAGCTATTGTTTTATGTAGTATCTACTTTCTGAAAGTTGGAAATTATTGTGAGTTCTCTACATAGTAGCTAAATGGCGCTCATGCCAGCTGGCTTCTAAGTTGGCATAGATCCTACCTTAGATTTCATGGGTATGATGATAAGCTTTGTTACAATGGAGAGGAATTGGGATTTAGCCTTGCTACACATTAAGAAAGAATGAAAGTAGAATGCCTATATGTTTTACTCAGTTGTTAAATCCAAAAAGGATAAGATCTGAGAGGTGCATGTTATGGAAATAATCAAATTCAGATACTAGATCTCCTTATTTGTAAAAATAATTATAAAATTTGCATTACTCATTAATGATCATCTCAGAAATAGAATTATGCAGATTGGGGTGGGAGGTGAGTATTAAGCTGTGAATCATGTTATAAATTTTTGGAGATAATTCTTTTGATGATGGAAACAAATTAGACACTACACATGGACTAATTATCAAAAGAGCAATGTTCAAATTAATGTTGCTATGATGAAATTATCATTATGACCCAAGTGCAAATATATAATTGCCTCTGTTATACGTGAGAAGTAGAGTATGTGTGACTTATTTTTATAGGTCACTGGTGCCAATTTAATAGGTTCAGAAAAGAGTTTTGTGAGTACCAACTACTGGTCATTATTTCTTCTCTTTCTTACTTCACTTAAGACCATGGTGCATTTTCTTTTTTCAACCTCCAAAAGTTAGAGAAGAGTGAAAATTGGACCAGTACTATTCAGATATAGGCCGCTAACTTCAAAAAAAATGAATTGATGAGAATTAAAATTTTATGTTCTTATTTTCAGTCTTCTAAAGTCAACCTCAACATTTAGACACTAGAATTTTGGGACCATTTTGCGTATTTTCCATAATTAAAATTATTAAATTATTAAAATTATTTTCTTATTCCTTGGGACATTATATTCTTAGTTATAGGTCTCTGTGAAAGTTGGCAGGAGAGGAAATCATGTTCTAATAAGTTCATTTTGTTTCTGATCATTTTAATAGGATTATACAGTTTGGTGATGGAAAAAGCTAAAATTAAGGACTTTTTTCTTTTCAATTATGTGATGCCTCTAGTTCTAATAAATACATAAAAATTTAGTTAACTTATGAATACAAAGTTTGATGATTATGTAGATTTTTCTATGTAAAATATTTATTTTAATGCAGTGATGACCTTTTAGCTCATTACATTCTCTTCAACATGCAGAAATTTTGTTAAAAATTTGATGCAGTTTTAATTTTCTCAGTATTATTGAATATGTATACCCAAATTTCACTTCTTAACAAAAGGGCATAGTGCTCCCAATTGTATTTCAAATAACTTTTGTTAAGTTCTGAAGTTATGTAGTTTATTTCTGTATAATATCCAGGTAAAGCATATTATTATTTTATGCTGGTAAAACCCATAAAATAAAGTTGTTTAAATACCTTCAAGTTTTTTCTGTAATTTTGACTTTATCGTCTACTTTTTGATAGAATTTATAATGTAGTTATATGTTTACCAGAAACTTAAATCAGGATTAGGTCTAATATGTAGGACTTCAGATTGTTTTTATTTTTATTTTTTCCCTAGCTACAGGTGCATGTTACAGCTTGCCATTGTGGTCATTGTGGTTCATCTCATTAAGCTTCATGTTCTATCTGCTTTCTTGAGACTTGGGAAACAGTATTTTTCTGAGTGATTGTACCATATTGTTCCAAATATAAGGCCAGCCAGAATAGAAGGCAACCTCCAACTAGAAACAGCTCAAATATGGAGAAAGGCTGGGGGTCCAGAGCCCGGCGGGTCTTGCAGTGGTGGCAAGGGTGCCGAGGAATAGGACGATGCCTGCCTACTCTCCCGGTGAGTGAAGATGAGTCAGCTGGATGCATTTGCTTGTGCATAACCAGATGACTTCTGTTGCTAGAGAAAAAGTTATACTGGGGGGTAGAAAACAAGTTCATACACATGAAAGAAAGTTGTATGTCTAAGTCTGGGGAGGGAGGATGGGAGTAGAATTTTTCACCTCCTAAACAGTTTTCTTGTTTTTTTCCCCCACATCTGGGGGTGAAAGTTGAGCAACCGCATGCAGGAGAGAAGAACAAAAGTACCCTGGACATTTCATGATAAAAGGAGTTTAGGTCAGTGGTCTTGAAAATCATGTCTCTAGACAAGCTCAGAAAAGTACTCCTTTGCCCTTTAAAATTGTCTACTGACTGAGAGGTGATGCATGCACTGTGTGATCATGTGTAGCTTGAAAACAAGCCACTTAATCTGGAAATCACATTTCCAGTTTTAGTAAGATTTTTCTCTTTTTAAATTCCCTGTTTGGCTCAGTAGCATATTTTTTTAAATAGTTCAGTGAAAATGTATTAGTCGACTGAGAGTATATGTAAATTGAACCCTCATAATTCTCCAAATATTGGTCTGATTCTGCTAAGCGCATAGAAAACTAACCTTTTATTTTATAGTACTAAATGAGATATAGTAGAATGAGGTGCTTCATTCTGTTATTGCAGTCTAGAAAAATTATTTAACATCTGTTGGAAGTAAACTTCACCAGGCACTTGGTTACCTTTGTGGCTTCACAAAAACAAAATAAAATATAAGCCTTGATCTTTCTGGTTGATTTGTAGTCCATGGCTCCCAAAGCTAGTTTGAAGTATAACATTCATCCCTAAATGATGAATTTCCCCCCACTGTATACTCCAGGCAAAATACTATTGTAGCCCCCATCCCATTTTTTAAAGAAAACTACTTTCATAAAAAAAAAAAAAGTGTGTTTTTTAATAGATATGGCCAGAACAGGACTTTGTTTACATTTAAACAATGGAAAATGGCTCAGATGATTTGGTTTAAGGATGTTGTTTACATTGATTTTTAGAAGTTCTCTGAAACCAAAATGCCCTGAACGATAGAGGCCCATGCCCAAGCAAAAGGATGGTATTATTGATACGCTTATCTTTTTACCAGGTCTGGAAAGAGAACATTTGAAGCAGAAAGGCTGGGCAGAAAAGGATTTGAAAGTAAAAACAGGAAGGAAGTAGCTCAGAGTGGGAAGGTTTATTGCCTTCTAAATTAGAGGAAATATGACTTCTAAGTCAGAGGAAATATGGCACTGCAATGGTGGGTCCTAAACAAGAGTTTGAAGCGAATTCTGTATAACCTGAGAAATCTTTTGAAAAGCATTCATAAGAGTGGTACCAGGAGGAAAAGAGAAGAGTAGAGGACCAGGGTTACTCAGGAAAGAGGAGCTTCCTTTTATAACTCCTTAATTTTGGAACCATTTGATTCCAAAGGATCCAAAGTATAGAGGAAGAAGATGTCCAAAATATGAGGGTGGGTGAAGGGTGTGTCCCTTAACCATCTTTTAACTTCAGATAATTTCCCTTCCATTAGATGTATTAGGCATTATTGTTTCTGATTTGATCTGGTTTATAAATACAGGAAAACAAATGTTTTAATTTCCTTTCCCACAGGGGATTGGGTCTGTTCTAATTGACAATCCTGTTTCATCACCTGCTGTACATTTTAGTTTTAGTAGCAATGGAGGACAGAAACTGAGGAAGCCACGTACATGCCATATTCTACTGCTTCCTCTCCTTGTTGGCCAGTGAGGCTGGGTGCAGGACCTGACTGGATTATAGAACTCTTTGAGCAGGGAAAAGAATGTGGCCTCAGTAGGCTAGTGAGGTGGCAGGGGGAGCCTTTGAGGACATAGGAGAAATGACAGCAAGAAAGAAAGGGAGAAAATCTTCCAAATTGCAAAAATAATAATCTGCAATAATAACATTAAGTTAATAATAATAAACTTTCCTTATAAAGCATGGTTTACATGTAATCCATACCTATAATTGCTGGGTGCAGTTTTCTCTTCTTATCTCTAAAATGTACAGCATAAAAATTCTCTTGGCTGAGCAGGATTGCTCATGCCTGTAATCCTAGCACTTTGGGAGGCTGAGGCAGGAGGATCACTTGAGGCCAGGAGTTCAAGACCAACCTGGGCAACATAGCAAGACTCTGTCTCTGTGAAAAAGATAAAATGTCACTAGGCATAATGGCACATGCCTGTAGTCCCAGATACTCAGGAGGCTGAGGTGGGAGGATTGCTTAAGCCCCGGAGTTGAAGGCTGCAGTGAACAATGATCGTGCCACTGCACTCCAGCCTGGGCGATGGAGAGAGTCTGCAAGTTAATATTCCAAACTACCGTTGTTTCTCTCTTTATGAATTCTCATGATACACCTTCAGTGACTCCTCTTCGGGGTGTTAGATTGATAGAATCAACTTGAATGGAGCAATTACTAATCAATTAGACATGAAAAATTCTGTAAATAGGTTGATAGGCAGAAATTAAAATTTCAGGTTCTCTAATAGTGTAATGATCTACATAAAAATAGATTTGGAAAATTCCCATGTGACTGCTTTTTCTAGGAGAGTAGATAACTGATACTCTCTTTTTCTTTACTGATCCATTAGTCTTCCCCCAAGCACCCTTTAGAAAAAGTACAGATCCTTAGGGGAAATTTCCAGTGCTTGTACAGAAGAATGTGGCCTGCACATGTCAAATTAATCATGTACAGGTTCTAGTTTCTCACCAATTAAGTTGAAGAACCACTAAACTAAAAATATGTAGTTTATATCTATTCTGTTTTTCATCTTTAAAAAGAGCAGAAAAGATCAATTTTCAGTTTTTAAAGAAAACGTTGAATTTGGATAAATCTTTTTTGAAAATGCTTTATTATAGGTCTTTCCCTCAAAGAAGGGTTTTATAAGAGACACAGTTTCTCCAACACAAGAATGTGATGTGTCTGCATATTCTGAGACATATGGAATATGGCATTTGGCTTGCTGAGTGAGCATGTTTAACTCAGCTATGGAGTAACTCATGAATTTCCTACTCTTAAGTATCTTTGAGTTTCAAAAATCATTCTTGAAATGTGTTTAAGGGCCATTCCTTGGGGGTGGGGCATTTCAGAGATGGCATCTGACAATGTATTGAAGTGGCTCTTCTTTATGTTTTCTTGCTGGTCAAGCAGCAAGTGTGTTCCAATGAACAGATTGATAGCATTGTAGACTAGGTTAGGAAAAAGTAACAAAATGGCTAATTCTCATTTGGTAGTGAAATTGAATATTGAATGACATCTTTGTAGTTATAAACGACTTTTGTTTTAATAACAAAGTTGTTGATTTTCTACTAAGGGTTCTTTTAGGTTGTCATCAGGGGCTGATGGGAGTAACAGTTCACCCAACTCTGCAGCTAGCTTCAGTGGACATGCCACACCTTCCCAGCAGCCTGAACCTGTGGTACATTCTCTTAAGGTAACCAATCGTGTGCAACCATTTATCCAGAGCTTCAGTTGTGTCGTCGCTTGTTCGCTGTAGTCTAGTAGTCCTCACAGTCTTGCTTGAACCATAGATATTTTATTTTTTGACTCCTTATGGTGTAACTTTTTAAATCTTAATTTTTGAAGTATGATTTTTATTGTTCTAAACTGACAATGAGTTTGAGTACTTATGGTTGAATCTCTAGTTTTATCGTTTTGTTTTGAGAATGTGATTCATATCTATCGGCATCGAAGTTACAGTCTGTGCATGTATATCCATATTTGTAAAAAATTGTGATAGGTATTTTATGTGCAATGTTTGTAGCGTGGATGTCTTCAAATATAGGAAGTTAATAGTTGGTCATAATATGGAAGGATACCACAGTATTCTTTCTTGATGCAATTGAAGTACATTATGCAACTTAAATAAAATATTGAAATAAATAAAAACCTACTCTTTCCTCTTCTAAGTAGAAATTGGGTTCTCAAACTCCAGTTAATGCCCCGTTATAGAATAATAGAAAACAGATATATGGTGTTATACATAAAGCTACTTTACTTTTGTGTCTTCCTTCACATTTTGCAGTGATTTCACAAAAAATTGCCTAAAATTTGTCATCTATTTTCTTTACCAATAATGAGCTTTCCAATAAGTAAAACTAATGAAAAATCAGGACTATAGGTACAATTAATAATAAATAAACAATATAAATATTTACTTATCTCAAAGAAGAAACTAACACAGGTGATAAAAATCATCTTACAAATTGAGATGGTTTCTTGAAATTTTATCAGTTTCAATGTATGAAGCACTGTCTAACAAATCTATCTATAATTTCTAACATGTAGCTTTGATCAAACCTTTCTGACCCATAAAACAGGTAGAGTGCTTCCGATCTGCTTTTACCATGTGAGTTTCACAACTCTTCTTAAAATTGTTTCAATTTCAAAATGATTTATCATCAGCCTGGAGATGCACTCCTCTTTTGGAGTGGGCCACACTTTCTGTGGCATGCACAAAACAAATACATAGATGAGAACTTCAAAATGTTTATTTCACTTTGAGATGATGAAGTTTTAGCAGAAGATTTTGCTCCCTCAGGATATTTTGCTTTAGCTTATACAAAATGAATTTGCTTTTCCTAAACATATACTGATTATTGATGAGGGAAGGCAGGGCAACCATGCTAGTGGCCACTGACAGTGCACTTGGCATTTTCTGTCTTTGTTGGAATAATTCACAAAGTGAGCAACTGAGAGGAATTCCTGGGAAGGCACAGCCAGTGTGAGGGGGCACTGCTTTGCCTCTAGTGGGTGTTGGTTTATGGACTGTTGAATATCTTGTTCTCTGTGGCAGCACTTGGATGAACTTTAGCATGAATCAGGCACTAGCTATCTGAAAAGCATTTTAAAAGTAGAAAATGGACCAGAGATTGGCTTCAATCTTGTAGTATTATAGCATCTGCACACACTCCAACAGCAGCAACTTGTCCTCCTATTCAAACTGTTTGAAAGCCATTTCAGCCTGTTGCCTTATTAAATGGCAATTGCTATTTGAATCAGATCAGCATAGTGAGTCACACTGAAATATTTTCCAGATTTCTCAAAGCAGCTGTTAGTGTGGCCTAAAAGGAAGGGGAGGGCAAGGAAGAGCTCCTCAATTTTCTCTGAATTTAGTTCTAATTTTCATACAAAATTTTATCTCTGGGAGGCCAAGGTAGGCGGATCATGAGGTCAGGAGTTTGAGACCAGCCTGGCCAACATAGTGAAACCCTGTCTCTACTAAAAATACAAAAATTCAGCAGGGTGTGGTGGCAGGCACCTGTAATCCCAGCTACTTGGGAGGCTGAGGCAGGAGAATTGCTTGAATCCGGGAGGCAGAGGTTGCAGTGAGCCGAGATCGTGCCATTGCACTCCAGCCTGGGTGACAGTGTGAAACTCCGTCTCAAAAAAAAAAAAAAAAGATATATATGTTTCAAGAGAGGGAGATTTTATGTTATATTCAGTACACATAAGTGTCCTTGGTTGGCAGATGAGTGATACTGAGCAAGTGAAACATCTTTATTAGAAAACTGGGGACCCTTGAATATCAAATGTTTTTACTTCCATGAGTTAACTGTGTTAGGACACAGAAATATGTACAAACATCAGTTTTGGGAAATACATCTTAAAAAGATTTCATTATAAGAAAAAGAAATTATGGCCACTTGACATGTTTTGTTTTTGAGAGCCAGCTGTCTAGAGCTGATTTATATCATGAGATATGTCTATTGTGAAAAGAATAATTAGTACAGTGGCTCAGTTTCTCACTTTCTGATAGATTTTATAGAAAACGCTAGGCTTTATAAAATCTGTGGTCATGGTTTGTGGGAAATGTAAAGCACTGTAAGAAATTAGTACATTTGTGATGACACTATATTCTTCTTGTTTTAAAATTTATGATAACTATTAATTGGAGCTTTACTTCATTTAGTAAAAATTAACTGATTTGAAGTACACTTCTCTGAGGTGCATTACAAATCAAATTTGTAGGTAAATGAGCTTGCTCAAGGAAGGAGCTCTTTATGTTTTCTATGAATATTCACCAAGCACAGTCAGTGATTTTCTCTAAATATGTAAAGAAGGTAAATTAACTGTAATCTGAGGTGAGTATCAGGGCTCAGAAGTGGCATTTTTATAATAATAATGGCTAGACGTTTCAAATTAATGAGTGTAGTTTGTGATCAGATTATTTATTACAGGATCGAACTCTAGTTAGATTCAGATAGTGTCCATGAACTTGACCTGAAGGTCCCACTTCATGCTTAAGTCATTTAGTTTGGCTCAATTGGTGTAAATTCACAGGTAGCAGATGTGAACATCAGCATTGTCCGTGATGACAGTAGAATCAAGTAGCTTAGCAGTGTTGCAGTTGGTGTGGATTCTATAGGAACTTCTAGGGAGAGCATTAGTTTTTTGTATTACTTCAACACTTTGATTTATAAACTGATATAGATAAAAACAACAAACAGCACAGAAAGCCAAAGTTATTTTCTCCTTTTGTAGTATAAAAAGGTACCCACAATAAAACTTTAGACATTTTTAAAGGAATATTATTTTCAACGTGTTTAGGGCTAATTTAGAGAAGTGGAAACATAGGCCTCTAAAATTGTTTAAAAGGCATTTTATTCCAAGACATTTTGCTTTCATGAAAAATATTTAAAGTGTTGTTCAAATATTTTCACTATAAGGAGCCAGTGCTTCTCTTTGATACTATCAAAGAGCCACCTCCACATGCCTTTTCTTAGGCACTGGGAACATGTCCAGGCAAGAACTGCGAGGTCAGTAGTTCTTACGTGCATATTCCTGGGTTTTGACCAGTTTCACCTGTCACTATCATCTTTTTTAGTCATCTTTTATGCAGGCCATGTCTACATATCATTTGGACCATTTGGCACATAGTTAATTATATTGGTCATCATTACAGTGGAGCAAGAGTTATTGACTATATCCAAATTGTTGATACAGTGAGATTATCTTAATGACCAAAGTAAATGCATATACTTATTTTAGACACTAATGAATTCCATTGATTATTAGTGATGCAATGGATTGCTTTTAATGGCCATTTGAAAATCAAATAGAATCATTCCAAATAGATTTCAGAACAATCAGCTATTTAAAAAATATGTTTCCATATGCTAATCCACTCTGATATGCAGACATGGAGAAAACTAAAGGTTTTACAAAGTGGAGCTCCTTGATGGTTTTATCATAACTAACAAGCTTTTTTCCATGTGAAATTTGCTTTTCTTTTTCAACAAATCCAGGTCTTGGATGTTCAGGAAACTATAGATCGTCAACAGGGTAAAGAGTATGAACATGACCTTAGTGAGACAGAAAAAGCTATAGTCAGAGAAATGTGCAATGTAAGTTTAATGTGCTTTATTGTGTATTCTGTGTTGAAAGCCACATCGTAGCTTAGCTATTGTTTTATGAATATTTTTAAAATGCTGACCAAATGCCTTTATGTTTTTATATGAAAATAAAACCAATTTCCCTTGTTTTTATTTTCAGTATATTTTATTGTAGTTTTATTAATACAATCATGTTACAGAATATTCAATTTAGAGATGATCAGCCAATTCTGTATTCCAGAAGACTCTACAAACATTTGCTAATACTGAATTTACTGTCTAAAATATGTTTCTAATTTCGATAAAATAAATGGGTTTCTATTTTATACTTCTAAGAAGTTTGTTAAAGATCAGTGTTTAAAAACCTATGATAAAGAAAATACAGCCACCTTTAGATTTACTTGTAACTATTCTTGGAAAAAATCGCCACCTTACTAGGTAATTTTGCTTAGTTCTTCATATGTCATATATGTGTGCTTCATGTCATGCGAAGTATTATCTTTAGCTTTCAGTTGTTGACCCAAACTCAGAATATAGTAAGGTAAGAAAGACAGATAAGAACCTAAAAGATAGTTAGGCCAGGCACAGTAGCACACACCTATAGTCCCAGCACTTTGGGAGGCTGAAGAGGGAAAATTGCTTTAGCCCAGGAGTTTGAGGCTGCAGTGAGCTATGATCATACCACTCCACTCCAGCCTGGGCAACAGAATGAGACCCTGTCTCAAAAAAAAAAACAACAACAACAGGATAGACAAATAGAAATCTATTCATGAAGTCAGAGACCACAGTAAAAAAATAAATAAATAAATAAATAAAGATATGTTATTTTCACGTGCATATTCAACGCAATCATTAATATGGCTTGGATTTTTACTATTAATCCCTGACTAAATTTTAATATTTTGAGTAATATACATGGGATGTATCATTTAGTCAATAATATAAATTGTGAGGCTTTAAATAGCTAAATGGAATATTATAGAGGAAGCCATTGTTAAATGCAAGAAATCATGGTTAAGCACTGGTCATGTTAAACACTGATTTTAATTGGCTTTACATTATGCTTTATCCTCATATTCTTTTCTCTATCCTATCAGGATGTGAAAATTGCTTAGAAATACCCTTTAGCTTTAGATCTATTAGGACCAGATATTCTCAGACACTTACGCATCAACCTCCTCGAGGTGTTTCTGGAATCCAGTAAATGTTACATAAGTCCCCTGGGCATTTTTTATGTGCTGGAATGAGACTTGTAGTCTCTTGCTTGCCTGTGTTGTGGCTGATTTTTCTCTTCCCACCCTTCCTAAGTTATTTGTTTTTCTTTCCTGCATATCTGTTGTCTGTTTTCAAAAGGACATCTAGTTCTAGATGTCATCTTTCCTAAATGCACCACCATTCACTTTCTGTAGCTTTTCAACCTGTGCTTAAGATTTTCAATTTGAATATTTCCCTCAGATAAATTTTAAAAAGTGAGCCACATACCTAGGAATGCCTGTTGCTTCTCATCTATTGACTATGGAATGAGAGAGAAAGTTCAGACAATAGGAACTGTTGGACTAGAAGGAGCCATAGAGGTCATTCTCCAGTGTTTGTCCAAAGAATAGTATGTGGACCTCCTTCATAATTCGGATCTCTGAGTTTACCATCAGACCTCAGGCAATTCAGATATGAACCCCTGGGTAAGAACCCGAACACTCTAATTCTATATTTGAAGAAATTAAGACCCAGAAATTAAGTTACTTGCTCGAACTATTTTCTAATGAATAGTGAAGTCAGGAGTACACCAAGATTTCCTTTGAGGACCTTTCCTGAGGAACAAAAAGTGAAAAGCACCCTATCTTACAGAGGGGGCCATCTCCATGGTTCTTAATGCCAGAATTTCTGTAAAAAATTCCAGGATTGTTTCTTTCCCTTTTCCTTTGCTTTCCTTCCTTTCAATTTCTGGACATTAGAAAATTCATATCTTAGTCTCAATAGAGACCCATTACTGGATTGGATTTTGATTAGTTTTATGTTGATCTTTTTGTTTGCCTGCACTTTCAAAAATAAATTGAAAGGCACCATACAGTATTATTTTTATTTTTTAGTGTATAAGATACTTTCAGAAAGCCAAAAGCTTGCCCCCCTTGTTTACCTTTAAAAGTTCTCTAGGAGTATGTTTTCTGTCTCCTTTTGTCTTTGATCCCCAGAATTTGAGGAAAAAATGCAAACAAACCCAAATCTGATTCTTAAGCAATTTTATATATTTGGAAACAATTTAAAAATGTTATTGTCACCATTATTAATTATATGATCAAAAACACATAGTCAATGCCACAGAATAGGGAAAAATGCAGATTGTAAAGCAATTTCATAGATAAGTTGTGAAACTAGCAAAGATTATGAAGGCTTGGCTTCTAGTAGAGAAATTATATGCCTTTATAATAATGTCACAGAAAAATAAAGTTTTCCCATAATATGAGATGGGTTATAAGACTCAGATAGAACTTGGGACCACAGAAGTTTTGCTGTCATTTCTAGTATTGCTCCTAGAGATTAGATGTTGTTGACATCTACACAGCGAAAAGGTTATTATTCATATTACCATCATGTGGGTTAGTATGTAGTTAGCTATTCTCTTCCCAAACAGTGCTACAGAAATAAATGTACTGCCCCCTAAGAAATAGTAAATCTGCCTTTTTGTAGTAGTTGTTTTATTTTAGGTTTGTCTGTTTGGCTCTTGTAAATTCCCTGAGGACAGTTGAAATACCTGATTGGTCATCTCAGTCACAGTCTCAAACACACACCTGTTATGCCTTTTTAGTTAATAAGTCACTACTCCTGTGTCAACCTTTGTATTGTTGGTTTATTGCAAAGTTCTGCCTTCTTTAAGAGTTTCCTTTCACCACATAGTTACATCTGGGTTAAGCTCATTGTGTTCCACATTTCAATATTTGAAGAGGAGTTGCACTTTTGAGTTGTAACCAGCTAGTGCTGGTGTCTGTTATCCGTGTAAGGTCCTTAAGTCTACCCTCTGCTTCTAAACCACACATTCAAAGCATTCTGGATAGATGTAATTGTATTTAAGGGCTAGAAAAGGAAAGTCCATAGCATCCTTTGGCTCCTTGATTCAGTGTTTGTGTCTTGTCAATTTATTAAGAAATGAGACTTTCCTAAGTCTCTTGTGTATAGCTTGAGCCATCCATTGCTATATATTAATAATTCCTTTCCAGATATTTAAGAACCCTAACTTCAACTCCTTTTGAGTACAATGGGATATTTATGCCATGTATTGGTATATGCTGAGGCATTGAGATTAACAGTTTCTTTGGCTTAGAAATGAAGGTAAACAGAGCCCTATATTGTGTATTACTATGAAGGATATTGGGTTTCCCTGTAGTATCCACTTCTATTTAAAAGCAAAACCAAACCAAACAAAAGAAACAGTTTATGAATAATTAATGAACAAACTAGTTTTGTGTTCACGTCAGAGTGTTGTAAAGTTTTGCACAATCAATCAATCTGATCATAATCCTTAGCGTGAAATAGTCTGGGAGGGTATGGCTGTTATTGTGCATGTGCACATACATGCATGTGCATGTGTGTGTATTCCAATCAATGTTAGTGTATTGATGTATTATTGGTGAATTCGGTAGTTTTACGTTTATGCTTACATTATTCTTGATTGCACCTTTTGTCCCTCTATGTGGCCCAGCTTCTAACATATTGTAATTGTATCTCTTTCAGTGATTCTTGAATTTATTCTTATCATCTGCCTACATTTGGATGCTTTGTGTTTTGGAAATCCAAGACATCATATTGCTTGGTAGCTAAGATTTGTGACAACTGATGACCCCACTCTGTAGAAAAAGCCAGAGAAATTTACTAGTGGCCCTAAGACTACCACCTCAGGACTTAAATAGCTCAATAACAAAAGCTCCTTCATTTTCCTCAGCACATTAAACACTGATATCCTTTGTTATGGATGTATAATATAGGAACCAGGATGATCTTGCCAAGGTGTTCTTAATTCTGGCTACACATTAGAATTACTTTTAGAGCTTTTTTTAAAAATGCAGTTGTCCATGCCTCACTTCTCCCAGTGAAATCAGAATCTTCAAGGATGGGGATTACTGTTTAAGAGTTCCTCAAGTGCTTAGTGTGCAGTCAGAGTTGGGGACCACTTACGTAACTACAGTAAGTTAATACATCATTTTAAAATTTTGACCCTGGTTACTAACAAGGTTTAGTAGTCCCTACTACTAAGTAGTTCTTGTGTTTTAGGAAGCTTGTCATCACATTTTATTTTGTATTTGAACTCATTCATGTGGATATTTTGTCTCTTGTCTTTACTTCATCTTCGCTCCTCTCTTAATTTACCCTTAAGAAATGCAAATCTCCTTGTGAAAGAGGAAAAGTAAGATACTCACTCCTTCTTTTTTTTTTTAAGGTTGTGTGGAGGAAACTTGGAGATGCTGCAGGTTCGTGTCCTGGAATTAGGCAACATTTGTCAGGAAACCAGTACAAAGGACCAATGTGAGATGCACTCTTTTTCAAACAGGAGATCACCACTGCCAGAAAGTGATAGAAGACAAGAAGAAAAAGGAAAGAGTGGGTTTCCACAAACCTGGACTCATGGAATAACATGGAGTGATTGTACATTGCACATATCTCCCCTCTAAAACCTGTAGTACAACTTCTCCCCTCAAGCTGATATTCTGTGTCTCTCACCTCAATGTCCACAACAGTCAATCTCAAACAAGGTAGCTTTGAACATCTCAAACAGAGTAGCTTTGAAAATCAACATTTTGGTACCAGTGTTTTCATTAGAAATAAGTGTTTTTAACTCCCCAGATATAATATTGTAATTGGGAAACCTGAATAGTTTTAAGAGTCCAGTGGAGCCTCAGTGTTTTGAATAGAGATGACTCATTACACATAATGGTAGGAGTTTTCTACCATATCATATTGAAGATATGAAGAGGTATTTTCCAGCTTCCCAAGTTTGAGAGTTGGGCATTTACCTCTTACACTTCAGTCAACAAACAAACTAGTAATTCCTAATGCATAATTAATTTGGATGCAAGATAAGATTAAGTTTCTGGAGTTTTGTTTTGACTTCTGAGGTGCTAAAAAATACCATGTAAATTCTCCCTACCAGCTAGAAGGGTAGCAAGACGTTGTAGAGTGCTTATCAGAGAGTACCATTTACTTCAATTGATCAATATAAATATATCTTTTTTTTTCATCTTAATGAGTTTCTCATAAAGACACATCTTGGGGCATACCAACCTTCATATTCATTCAGTGTATCCATTGGTGTTAATATTAACAATTTCAACTAAAAACAACAAACATAATTTTTCTAAGTGTTTCGAGCTGTGAGATGTCAATTTCTACAATTTAGTTTCTAGACATGCTGTATATTTAATAAACTTTATGTAAACTTTAAAATATTGCACTGCATTTATGAAAAAAGCTTTCTTTGCCTACTGCAGCTATCTAACATTTTATGAAACTGACGCATGTCCTTCATTATTGAGGCTAAAAGCTCTTGTTCAGATTGCTTGAGGTTTGAAAAAGAGGTGTGCTAGCTTTGCTTAGTTTATTTCTTATTTTTGGTATACATATACATATATATAACATTAGAATGTGTGTACTGGAAATGCTATGATAGGTATTTTGTGTTAATCCAAATGCAATGATAGTTTCTTGTATGAATGTGCAAGAGGCCTGTGACCGAATGCTACGTTTTTATGGTAGTTTAAGATTATAAAAGTAGAAATGCAACAATTCCCAGTTTTTGGATAGGTTCTAAATTTCTGAGATTTGATTCATGGCAGATATTCTCTGTTGTTGTTGTTTTAGATGGGCTCATTACATAACGAGTTAATTGTCACTAGTAGGAGACTGTGAAGGAATTTTGTTATACTTTCAAAAATGTTACTGTGATGAAAAATCATCTATTTTCAGAAAATATTTATGAATTAATTTACTATAGAATTATCTCTCTAATTATCATAATTGGGTTACAATTTAAGCTCCCCTTTTAAATGTTATATTTTAAAATGTTATTACTCTATAAAAGAAAATTGCTTGCTATATTTACACCTTCTTTCCTAGGAAAGCTTTCATCCTTAAATTGTTGTATTCCTACCCTCTGAAGACATTTAAAATAAGCTTTTGTGCCTGCAGCAGAGCCTGCAGAAGCTAATACAAGGGACACTGGTCTTTTGACAAAATAAACTTGTGTAAATTTTGATACTGTATTAAAACTATTTTTTTAAAGTTCTGCATAAAATTGAGTATTAAGTATATGTGTTCATCTTAGCAATGGTAATAAATTATTTAATCTCACAGTGTCTTTGTCTTCTTCAAAATGTCTTTCCTAAATTGAGTCCATTTGTAATAGTCATGACGTGTCCTAATGCTCCTATGTGATGGTAGTAATAATAGTAATACAGATGATTCATTATCTTAAACATAAACCAAAGGCATGTTTTAAAATGTGCTCATAATGAGGGATTAAATATTTAGATATTCCTCAACTTGCACCATTCTGTATTATAATGGAATTAAAGCTTTCAAATGATATTTAAAATATTTAAAAATGTTTCTGTTATAAAATCCTCTTAGTCTTTTAATTTATATAGATTAAAATTAAACTTAATTATTATCTACTTATTTTTAAAACAGTCATCAGAAGGAAATATTTTGGAGAGGAAATACCAAATAAATGAAAAACTTGGCCTCTTTAAGGGACTTATACGTTATTCAGAAAGGCGTAATATATACATGTGACTAAGAGATCAATAGGAAAAGACACACACAAATGTGCTCAGAGAACACATACTTCTTGGATGTCACTAATAAGATTGTGGAATAAGGCCTTCTACACTTAGTATTAGCCTCAACTTTAAATGACAGAGAAGATGGACAAATAAGTGCCTGAATCTTGCTATTGCCTAATACCTTTATCAATCAAAATGAGTGGCACCATTCACTTGTGTGACCAGGTTATTAGTTTATGATCTTATCTTCCCTGGGACAAAGGTTAATGTATCTATCTTGGCAGAATAT
Source organism: Homo sapiens (assembly GCF_000001405.40). Lineage (NCBI taxonomy): Eukaryota > Metazoa > Chordata > Mammalia > Primates > Hominidae > Homo > Homo sapiens. The sequence goes on from NC_000002.12 coordinate 56,386,896, forward strand.
TTTTACCAGCCTTGAAGCTGATAGACTGACAACCAGAATCTGAGCTTTTAAATGAATGCCTTTCAAGCTTCAAACACATGCTTAAGGCACTATAGGAAATTCAGATCATCTTATGTAATTTCCAGTAAAGTAGCGACAGTCTAATTGGGATGATTGTTCCTTAGGTCAATGAATATTTAATGAATGCCTATCACTGCCATGTGAGTAAACACAGCATTGGTTCCTGACTTATAGTGTGGACTGCTCTCAAGAATTACATTTAAGAGTAGTATCTGGGATGCTAGCTGGATCTTTTTGATCCTTGAGATCGTGATAGGGTTACCTCAAACATCCAGTTTCTTGATCTGAGTAAGCAGTATCCAAATGATTTCCACTAATTTCCAGAGTTCACATTCTTTAGTAAGCTTCTTGTTGCCTCATTCCACCTCTACATCAGGGGCAAACTGATTTCTCCAGTAGAAACCTTGGTTGCAATCTATTCCTGGAAAGGATCTGCCTACCTCAAGCTGGCTTATCAAGGTAGATGCCCAAAAAAGCTCAAGGCACCACTATGAGGAATTCATATACTAATATACATTTTTAATTCTTTTCCTTCTAAAGAATAAAAATTATCCACCCTGTTACACAATTACAAACAGTATATTAAGTTGAACCATAGGAAATTGCCAATATATGACCACTTTTGGATTATTAAAACAGTAATTTCATACGGTCCAACCTCTCAAGATGAAGATATTTTTTGGTTGGAATTATAGAGTGAATACAGTAGAAGTTATAGAAGAGTCATCACATTGGGCTGGAGCTATCTTAAAGTATGCTGTATTAAGTGCAGCATTGAATAAATAGCATTTGACTTTAGAGAGGCAGAATTTGGGCCTGCAAGTTCAGTATTTGACTTTATAATTAGCTTTCTGAGTTTGACCAATTTAACTTCACTGAGACTGTTTCCTTACGTGCTGTATGGAGATAAAATCTATATTGCTGAGTTGTTGTAAGGCTTTTATTGCTGCCTTAATTTTAAAGTTCAGTGGTCTTGACAGCGAATGAGGAATAATAGCAAGTCTTTAAAGACAAAGGATCCCAGACCCCGTGGTCTGTTGCAATTTATACTATTAGACTAGAAGAGAAAAATCACATTAAGTGCTGAAGGGTCTGTCACTACTAGATAAAGTAATTCTAGCTGCACAGTTAAATACTATGAAGTCCTGCCCTTTTTACATCATCCAGCCTACCACAGGCTCTTTCATGGCCAATCACAGATGGTGATTGTGTGGGTGGAGGGGAAAAAAAGGACATTGGTCTTATATTCACGTATGAACAGTAGGTTTTACAAACAAAATCCCTACAACTATTTAATTCGGTATTTGTTTTTCATCTCACTGAGAAAACAAGAAAAAACTTTGATTTCAAAATGGCAGGATGAGTACCTGCTGCAGCTTCCTCTTCTTGCCTCAAACCTTAAAAATGATGTAAACAGTATTTCGATAAATAAATCCATAACCCCACTAGATCATAAGAAATAATGTGCTCCATGGGCCAGCAGTTATGATGAATTTTGGAAAGAAGGGAGACAAACAGTATCTGAATGAAGAACGAATCAATTCAAAGCACATGACGAAGGATATTGTTGAAAAAGGAAGATGGCTACAAGGGTGCTCCGAACAAAGAGGAATTTGACGCATGCATTGTATGGTATCCTGGGGTAACTGACAATAGCTAGGCATCAAAACTCCTGCATATAACTGCTCTCTCCTTGACTCAGGAAGAGAACAATAAAAATAGATTCATTTTGCTAGAATTCAGCGGAAGATTTTTTTAAAGTCTGAAAATGAAGGGAAATAGAGTCTGCATTTGTAAGTTTCCACAGTGCTTTCTCTCACTCTCTACTCTCTCTCACTCTCTACTCTCTTCATCCTTCTCTGCTTTTATTTCCTAGTTGATTTTTAATTGACCTATTTTATTTATTTATTTCTTTATTTCAATAGCTATTGGGGAACAGGTGGTGTTCGATTACATGACTAAGTTCTATAGGTGTGATTTCTGAGATTTGGGTGCACCCATCACCCGAGCGTACACCGAGTGTACACTGTACCCAATGTGTAATATTTTATCCCTCATCCCCTTCTCCCACTTTCTCCCCAAACCCCCAAAGTCCATTATATCATTCTTATGCCTTTGCATTCCTCAAAGTTTAGCTCCCACTTGTAAGTGAGAACATAGAGTGTTTGGTTTTCCATTCCTGAGTTACTTCACTTAGAATTACGGTCTCCAACTCCATCCAGGTTGCTGCAAATGCCATTATTTCATTCTTTTATGGCTAAGTAGTATTCCATGGTGTGTGCGTGTATACATGGGTCATTGGGTATACATGGTGTATACATGGGTCATTGGGTCATTGCCTTGGAAAGAGGCGGTGACTCTCGGGTGTTGCCATGGCAATGATAAATTGACATGGCAGACTGGTGGGCATGTCTGATTGGAAAGCTGCTTCTGCCTTCCCCCCTTTGTGTATACACACACACCGTGGAGTACTACTTAGCCATAAAAAGGAATGAAATAATGGCTTTTGCAGCAACCTGGATGGAGTTGGAGACCATAATTCTAAGTGAAGTAACTCAGGAAATATATATATATATATATATATATATATATATATATATATATATATGATTCAAGGGCAAGCCAGAGGTAGAAGAAAACAGCTTTATGGAAGAGGCAGTGTTACAGCTCCCTGACTGCTCCTACAGAGCAGGGCTACCCCATAGGCAAAAAGTGGCAGCTCAGGACAGTTTTGGAGTCATATTTATACCCACTTTTAATTGCATGCAGATTAAGAGGTGGTTTCTGCAGAAATTTCTAGGGAAGTACTCCTTCCCTATGACAAAAGCACCCAGTCCCTCTACTTATGTAACTTTTGGGTCATCGGGTCATTGCCATGGAAAGAGGTGGTAACTCTCAGGTGTTGCCATGGCAATGATAAATTGACATGGTAGACTGGTGGGCATGTCTGATTGGAAAGCTGCTTCTGCCCTCCCCTCTGTTTTAGCTAGTGCTCAGTCTGGTTGCTTGTCTGAGCCCTGCATCTGGAGTTGAGTCCCGTCTCCTACCTCAGTGTCATGTAGTAGTAGGAGCTGTGATCACAGGTCCCGTTATATATTCATTAACCTTTAAAAAGTTCTGCTAAGCCAAAACCACTTTTTGCCATGTAAGGTTGTCAACCTTTATAGCTTATTAAAGTTTTGGGTCAGAGCTGAAATTTTTCTCCTTACAAAATTATCGGCTTTGCTAACAAATCCCCATCCAAAGGAGAATTATAAATTGTTCATCAACTGTTACAAGAGAAGATCCATTTATCCACCTGCTCATTTGGTGTACAAAACATTTGGAGATTACTTTAATGCACAGTCAGTATAGAAATGTGTGTTTCAATCACTGGTCAGAAAGTATGATCTAATTTTTCTATCGTCCACCTCTTTACAAAAGCCCGACTGAGAAAAGTTTCATTTAGGGAAAATAAGGTACCCACTACTTTTGATAATTTAAAACTGTAATTAAAACATATTAGATACCAGAGTTTAACATATAAACTTGGCTTATGGAATCACCTTCACTCAATTGCACTAAATATTTAATCAATACCATTTTATGAAATGACCATGTGTTTGCTACAAAAATGTTGCCAAGCCTAATGTTCACTGATGAAAAAGGTCTCTTAGCTACAATCCCAAACAAAAAATTCAGTATATAATTTATAATTGGAAAATGGTTGTTTCATATGAGGTGGTTTCATAGTGAGGTTTTTTTCCCTCTTCTTTCATTTGGTATGTTTAGACTTACCAGCCTTTTGTCTAGCTGTCAGGAAGTCGAGGGCCAAGTTAGAAGTTCAGTCACAGAAACAGGATTGACTCCCATGGTTGGTATCTGAATTCCTATCTTTTTCTTAGTCTCTATTTCCTTCTCTAATTTACTAATCTCTATTAGCCATGACATCATTTGTTTTTGTAAGCTTCCTAAATATTTTTGAAAAAGCTGTGGTATCAATACATTCAGTAGTTAAAAATGACGGTCATGCCACAGAAGGAGAAGTAAGGAAATACTAAGCCATCTGCAATAAAAACAAAACAAAACAAAAATAAAAACAACTCTGCTTCTTTTCCCCCTTTTTTTGCATTTGCTGTTGTGAATAAACTTTTCATCTAAAGTTTGGAAAAAATACGTCATATATATGTATGTGCGTGTGTGTGTGTACGTGTATATATATATGTGTGTGTATATATACACATACATATTTTTTAAGAATTTGCATTTATAGTTAAACAGATTTAGTAATTGAGTTAAAAATATCCAAATAATATATTTCTATAGTGGATAAAGTGAAACATAGTCCTCGTTCTTTTCTAAGATGGCATAACAACCTCTAAAATTTTAGCATGAGGCTTTTATACAGATACCTCTACACACAATGCACATTCACTTTTTCCTCACCAGGACCCTCTCCAACTTATAGCAGGGGGCCCAATTTATTTTATCTTAAGCAAAGTTTCTTTTGCTCCCAAAGGGAAGATGGTACAAGTGGGGCCAAGGTATCATGATTAATGCACATGTCTTTTTCCGTGTTACAACCTAAAATTGGCATTTATATTGGGTGACGTGTATTCAGCTCACAGAGGAAGAAGAAGACTTGAGGAAAGATTTTAAAACAAAGAATTCAAATTGGTTCAGTTTGGTAGTTAGAATTCCAGGCATGCTAACATAGAAAACTACTCTGATTTTTTTCATTTGTTCATCTCTTCTGTATCTTTGCCTTAACATTATTCTGAAACTCTACTTGTAGCAATTTGGTGTCATTAAGTGACTGAGAGCACTCACCAGTCAGTTCCTTCTTCAATGAAGAGCTCCCAGTGTGTGGATTAATGTACACATTTTCTTTCCTATATTTACCTCTCTAATGACTTGAACAATTTGTTAAGGCCCTGCTTAGCAGATGTGAACAGCAACTGTGGTGATTTTGGGTTCACATCATGTGTTGTGCCCTGCTGATGTTGTTCAAATAATCAGATATTCTGAACATCATAGAATTCACTGTAACTTTAAGGATGGAACCCACGGAGAAGTATGCCCAGGATAACTTTGGTAATGGGTGCAATTAGTACCGACTTTGCTTCTGTTGTGAGTCTGTCTTGTCTTTCAAAAAGAGTAATCAAACTAGAAAATATAGAACAAACCAATAACAGTTACAGAAAGGTGCCCAGAGGGGTTGAAAAATCATAAGTGAATTCCTAAGGACTTCTATTTTTAGTACTGGTGTTTGCTTATCTATCCTAGGTCAATGCACTAAATCCACTTAAAAGCAATAAAGCATTTTTATGTATAAAAGCCTTTTTATGTAAAAAGAAACAATGTTTCTTTTTAAAACATCACAAACATATCGCCAATTCACTAATTAATTGTGATACTCTTGGTTTGTTTTCATTCATATATCATACAACATGTCTTTGAATCTATGTGCCACAAAGTAGTTTAGACACTAGGGATGACAAAAGTGCCCAGTCCCTCTACTTATGTACTTTACACACTAGCAGGGAACTTAGGCTTTGAACTAATCATTGCCCATGAGTTGAGTAATATGAAGTAGAAATATAAGGTGTTGTGGAGGTTTATAACAAAATATTTTAGGTTGGGTGTCCCAGTACCAGACTCTCCTCTTGTGCATGGAAAGTGCTCTCCAGAGACACCAGAAAGGAAATGGGGGAAGTAGGAAAGGAAAGGAAATAATCTAACAAGAGTAAAATTTTTGGAAGGTAGCTTCAGCCTGATGCTGTAAGGAAACAATGGAGTGTAAATTGCACCTCAGAGTTTGTCCTGAGCAAGTAAAATGGGCTTCATTCTGCCATGCTATCTCTCAAGTGTAAAGGACCAAATGAAGAGAAAGAGTGTAGGCATGGGGTTGTGAGAATGTAAGGTCCAGACACTTCTAGCTCTCTGCACAAGTGGCTCTGGTAACCTGAGGGCAGTAGGCAAAGAAGAGTAGCAGGTGTAGCCCATCAGTGGCAAAAATGTATAGAAACTGGGATTAGGGAAAACAGAAACGATAAAATGATCTCAGGGGATCTGTGCACAACAGGAGCATTTTCCATTAGTGTCCCTCCTCTTGCATTGCTCTGATAGTTTGCATCTCACATTAAGTTTACTCTACCCTGCCACAGCTTAATTCATCAAAGTTTCTTGGAAAATTTTACAAGCATTACTGGGAAGAGCTACAACTCTTGTTGCTGCTGTTGATCCCAAGGCCATAAATGATTTTTATAATCCTTTTCCTCTCACCTGTATTAAATTTTTTAGCTTTCTCTTTTTTAGCTAGCACTTGTGTTGATTCAGGTGGCTTGGTTGGTGGGGGCAACCTAGACTTTCATTCATGACAATCATCTTGTGGTCATCATGCCCTTATCAGGCTCTGGTTGCTATAATTGCCCAGTCACAGTTCAAACTAGGTGTAGGAGTACCAAGATCCTAGTTGGTGGAGTTTTTTAAATCGCTAACAGGTATTGAATTTTGCCAAACGTTTGCATCTACTTTGTTGATCATCTGATTTTTCTCTTTTATTTGGTTATTGTGGTGAATTGTATGTATTAATTTTTATATGTTGAGTCAACCTTGCTGTCTCAGATTGAGCTCTCCAGCAGCCAATGCTGACATGGATTTTGGGATGAAAATTTTTTTTTAGCGACCAACACCCACGTAAGTAAGAGAAAAGAAGCTATATCTTTCTGAGGAATTGCTCATTTATTATTATGAAATGTCTCTAGATTTATAACATTTTTTTCCCTGAATTCCACTAAATTTGATATAAATTTTAGCCACACCAGCTTTCTAAATCTTGTTGGTTTGCATAGTGTCTTTTTTAATCTTTGTACTCTCAACTTATTTTTGTGCTTCTATTTAAAGTGCATCACCTATAAACAGCATATATTTGGGCCTGCTTTTTAAAAATCTAGTAAAACAATCTCTACTTTTCCTGAAAAAGATTTTCTTTAGAATTACCAATTTCTTTAGTTTTTTAAGTTAGTGAACTAATTTTTAGGGTAATTTTAGGCTTAGAGAAAATTTGAGTAGAAAATATAGAGTTTCAATACCTCTATTTCCACATGGGTACAACCTCTCACTAATGACATCCCACATCGCAGTGGCACAATAGTTACAATCAATGAATGATTGGTACATTACCACTCGAAGTCCACAGTTTACATTAGGGTTCATTCTAAGTATTGTACATTCTATGGGCTTTGACAAATGTATAATGACATGTATTCACCATTATAGAATCATACAGAGTAGTTTCACTGCCCTAAAAGTCCTCTGTGCTCTGCCTGTTCATCCTTCCCTCCTAAACAACACCTGGCAACCATTGATCTTTTTACTATCTTCATAATTTTGCCTTTTTCAGAGTGTCAGATAGTTGGAATCATGTGACATATAGCTTTGTCAAATTGGCTTCTTTCACTTAGTAATATGCATTTAAGGTCTCTCCATTTTTTTATGGCTTGATAGCTCATTTATTTTTAGTACTGAATAAAATTCAATTGTTTGGATGTATCACAATTTATCCATTCACCAACAGCAAGACACATTGATTGCTTCCAAGTTTGGCAGTTATGAATAAAAGCTGCTATAAAAATCTACATGCAGGTTTTTGTGTAGACACAAATCTTCAATTCATTTGAATAAACACAAAGGAGTGGGATTGCTGGATTGTATGGGAAGAGTATGTTTGTTTAGTTTTGTAAGAAACTGCCAAACTGTCTTTCAAAGTAGCTGTACCATTATGCATTCCCACTAATAATGAATGAGAGTTCCTGTTGCTCCACATCCTCTATAACATTTAGTGTCATCAGTGTTTGGATTTTGACCATTCTCTTAGGTGTGTAGTGGAATCTCATTGTTGTTTTAATTTTCAATCCCCTAGCAATTTACAACATTGGACATATTTTCATATACTTACTTGCCATCTGTATATCTTTTTTGATGAGGTATCTTTTGCCCATTTTTAAATTGTATTGTTGCTTTTCTTATTGTTAAGTTTGAGGGGTTTTTTTTTGTATATTTTGGATAACAGTCCCTCTTCAGATGTAGCTTTTGAAAATATTTTCTATCAGTCTGTTGCTTGTTTTCTTATTCTCGTGACATTGTTTTTATGTTTTTAATTTTAATTAAACTTATCAACTTTTTAATAAATCATGACTTTGATATTGTATCTAGAAAGTCACTGACAATCCCCATGGCCATTTAGGTTTTCTCTACTGTAATCTTCTAGGAGTTGTAGAGTTTTGAACTTTACATTTAGGTTTATAATTTATTTTGAGTTAATTTTTGTAAAGGGTGTTAAGTTACATGTCTAGATTCTTTTTTTTTTGCATGTGAATGTCCAGTTGCCCCATTACCATTTGTCAAAAAGACTCTTTAGTCCATTGAATTGTCTTTGATCCTTTGTCTAAGATTATTTGACTGTATTTGCATGGGTCTGTTTCTTGGCTCTCTATTCTATTCCATTGATCTGTTTGTTCTTATGCCAGTACCACATTGTCTTGATTACTATAGCTTTTTACTAAGTCTTCAAGTTGAGTAATGCTGGTCCTCTCACTTTGTTCTTCTTCAATATTGTGTTGACTAGTCCAGGCCTTTTGCCTCTCCACATGAACTTTATAATCAGTTTGTCAATATTTCACAAAATAACTTGCTGGATTTTGATTGGGATCAAGTTAGGAAGAACTGATTTGGTAACAATATTGATTGTTCCTATCTATGAACATAGGATTGTTTTTTATTGATTTAGTTCTTTGTGTTTGTAGTTTTTCTTATATAGACTTATACATATCTTGTTGGATTTATATCTAAGTAGTTTATTGCTTGGGATGCTAATGTCAGTAGTATTGTGTTTTAAATTTTAAATCCCACTTGTTCATTGATAACATATAGGAAAGCAATCAATTCCTGCATGTTGACTGTGTATCCTTCAAGCTGTAATTGCTTATTTGCTGTGGAAGTTTTTGTTTGTTTCTTTTGGATTTTCTACAAAGATAATTATGTCATCTGTGAACAAAGACAGTGTTACTTATTTCTTATCAACTTGTATATATTTTATTTCCTGTTCTTAACTTGTTGTATTATCTAGAACTCTGAGTATGACATTAAAAGGAATGGTGAGAGGAGACAACTTTGCTTTGTATCCAATCTTAGTGGGAAAGTTTCTAGTTCCTCACCTTTAAGTACTATGTAGCTGCAGGTTTTTTGCAGATGTTCTTCATCAAGTTGAGGAAATTCTCCTCTATTTTCAGCTTGAGGAGAATTTTTATCATTAATGAGTGTTGAATTTTGTCAAATACTTTTTCTACATCTAGTGATATAATCATGTGGTTTTTCTTCTATAGCCTGTTGATATGATGGATTACATTATTTAACTTTCAAATATTGAACCAGACTTTCACACCTGAAATAAATACTATTTGGTCATGGTGCATAGTTGTTTTTTTTTTTATAGATAATTGGGTTTGGTTTGCTAATATTTTGTCGATGATTTTTGCACCTATGTTTAAGAGAAATATTTGTCTGTACGTTGCTTTTCTTGTATTGCCTTTGTCTGGTTTTGGTATTAGGATAATGCCAGCCTAATAGAATGACTTGGGAAGTATTCCCTCTGCTTGTATCTTCCAGAAGAGTAATATGGTTAGGCTTTGTGCCCCCACCTAAATCTCATCTTGAATTGTAATACCTATAATCCCAATAAGCCCCACATGTCAAGGGAGAGACCAGGTGGAGGTAATTGAATCATGAGGATGGTTTCCCCCGTGCTGTTCTCATAATAGTGAATGAGTTCTTATGAGATCTGATGGTTTTATAAGAGGCTCTTCCCCCTTCACTCGGCATTTCTCCTTCCTGCCACTTTGTGAAGAAGGTGCCTTGCCTCTCCTTCCTCTTCCATGATAATTGTAAGTTTCCTAAATCCTCCCCAGCATGCTAAACTGTGACTCAATTAAAGCTCTTTTCTTTATAAATTACCCAGTCTTGGGAAGTTCTTTATAGCAGTGTGAGAATGGACTAATACAAAGAGATTTTAGAGAATTAGCATAATTTATTACTTAAATGTTTGATAGAATTAACCAGTGACTCAATCTGGATTTTGTGCTTTCTGTTTTGAAAGATTATTAATTATTGATTCAATTTTAAAAATAGATATAGGCATATTCAGATGATCTTTTTCTTCCTGTGTGAGTTTTTTCAGATTGTGTCTTTCAAGGAATTGGTTCATTTTATCTAGATCATGCTAGATGATGAGTTAGTGGGTGCAGCACACCAGCATGGCACATGTATACATATGTAACTAACCTGCACAATGTGCACATGTACCCTAAAACTTAAAGTATAATAAAAAAAAATAAAAAAAATAAAAAAAAATTTGTGGGCATGGAGTTGTTCATAATACTCCTTTTTATTATCCTTTTAATATCCATGGGATCTGTAGTGATGTCCCTTATTTTATTTCTGATACTAGTAATTTGTGTCTTCTCTCTTTTTTTCTTGGTTAGCCTGACTAGAGGATTATCAATTTTATTGATCTTTTCAAAGGACCAGCTCTTGCTTTGATTGATTTTTCTCTATTGATTTCCTGTTTTTAATTTCAGTGATTTCTGCTCAAATGCTTATTATTTCTTTTATTCTGCTTAGTTTGGATTTAACTGGCTCTTCTTTTTCTAATTTTCTAAGTAGAAAATTTAGATAATTTATTTTAGATCTTTCTTCCTTTTTTTAGTATATACATTCAAGGCTATAAGTTCTCCTCTCAGAACTTCTTTTGATGTTTCTCACAAATCTTGATAAATTCTATTTTCTTTCTCAGTTTGTCAAAATATTTTAAAATTTTTTTTTGGATTTCTTCTTTGACTCATGTTATTTAGAAGTTTGTTGTTTAAGCTGAAAGTATTTGGTGGGGGGGTGGCTTCCAGCTATATTTCTGTTACTGATTTCTTGTTTAATTTCTCTGTGGTCTGGGAGCAGGTCATTGCATGAGTTTTATTCTTTTACATTTGTGAAGACATGTTTTATGACCCAGAATGTGGTCTATCTTGGTGAATGTTCCATGTGAGCTTGAGAAGAATGTGTAATCTGCTATTTTTAGTTGAAGTAGTCTATAGATGCCAACTATATCTGGTCTATTGATGGTGTTGTTGAATTCAAATGTGTCTTTACTGATTTTCTGCCTGAGTTTCTTTTGATTAGTGTTAGCATGATATATTTTTTTCCATCCATTTACTTTGATCTGTATTGTCTTTGTAACTAAAGTGTATTTCTTGTAGTCTTGTTTTTTGATTATTCTGACAATCTCTGTATTTTATGCCATATTTGTTACTGTTTTCTATTTGTTATTCTTGTTCTTTGTCCCTAATGTCTTCTATACTTTTTCTGCCTTTTGTGGTTTTAATTTAGACTTTTGTATTACTCCATTTTCTCTTCTTTTTCATAATATAAACTATACCTCTTATTACCTTATTAGTGGGTGATTTAGAGTATGCAATGTACTTTTACAATGAATCCAAGTCTACTCATATTTTAATTTATTTTAAATTTTAAATTTTTGTGGATTCACAGTAGGTGTATACATTTATGGAGTATGTAAGAAGTTTTGATTCAGGCATGCAATGCATAATAATTACATCATAGAAGATAGGGTATCCAACCCCTCAAGCATTTATCCTTTGTGTTACAAACAACCCAATTATACTCTTTTAGCTGTTTTAAAATGTACAGTTAAATTATTATTGACTATACTCACCCTGTTATGCTATTGAATACTAGGGTTCAGTTATTCATACTTTCTTTTTTTTTACCTATTAACCATCTCCACCCACCTTCACCCCCCTACTACCCTTCCCAGCCTCTGGTAATCATCCTTCCAAATCCACTTTTAAATAATAGTGTACCGCTTAGTGGGTAGTGGAAGTGCCTTATGATAACAAAATATTTCTAATTTTTCCTTTCTGTCCCTTGCGTCATTTGTTTCACTTATACACAATCATACATAAGCCTCTATGAATGCACACATAACCTACATAATTGAACACATTGTTGCTATTATTATTTTGAACAAAATATTATTGTTAGATACATTAAGCATAGGAAAAATAGAAGTTTTTATGTGACCTTCATTTATTTATTCTCTGATAATCTTCCTTTCTTTATGTAGATCTGAGTTTCTGATGTACCTCATTTTCCTTGTCTCTGAAGAACTTTTAACATTTCTTGCAAGGCAGTTCTACTGACAACAAATTATCTTAAGTTTTGATTGTCTAAGTCTTAACTTCTTTGCCTTTGATGGATAATTTCACAGGGTACAGACTTTTAAGTTGATTATTTTTTTTCTCTCAGCACTTTAAATATTTCACTCCACTCTCTTCTTGCTTGCATGGTTTCTTAGGAGAAGTTAGATGTAGTTCTTATCTTTGCTCTTCTATAGGTGAGGTGGCTTTTCCTGTTTTCCTTCAATATTTTTTTCTTTATCTTAAGTTTGAATATGATATGTCTAGATGTAGTTTTTTTTTAGGGTATACATATTCTTTCTTTTGACATTCATCTTGACTGATGTTCTCTGAGTTACCTGGCTATGTGGTTTGGCATATGAAAATAAATAATTATGGGAAATCCCTCAGTCGGGATTGCCTCAAACACTGCTGTATTCTTTTCTCTTTTTCTTCTCCTTCTGTTATTTATATTGTGGGTATATTATACCTTTTATAGTTATTCCCAGTTCTTGGATATTCTGTTCTGTGCTTTTTTTCACTTTGCTTTTTCAGTTATGGAGGTTTCTATTGCCATATTCTCAAGCTTAGAGCCTCTTTCCTCAGTTCTATCTAGTCTAGTAATGAGCCCATGGAAGGCGGTCTTCATTTTGTTACAGAGATTTTTTAATGTAGAGCATTTCTTTTTAATTATCTTTTAGAATTCCCATCTCTCTGCTTACATTATCCATATGTTCTTGCATATTGTCTACTTTTTTCTATTAAAGCCCTTGGCATATTAATCATAGTTGAAAAAAATTCCTGGTCTGATAATTTCAATATTCCTGCTATATCTAACTCTGGTTCTGATGCATGTTAAGTCTCTTCAAGCTGTTTTTTTTTTTTTTTTTTTTTTGCCTGTCAGTATGCTTTGCAATTTTTTGTTGAAAGATAGACATAATGTCCTGGGTAAAAGATCTTTAGTAAGATAGTGTTAGGGTACTGGGAGAAGGAGAGAGGGGAAACATTCTACAGTCCTATGATTAGGTCTCGGTATTTTGGTGAGCCTGAGCCCCTGGGCTGTGGCAGTGTTTCTCAGTACCCCAGGTTCCCTGGACTTCAGTGGGACAAAATGAATGCATGGGGCTGGAATTGGCTATTTCTTTTCCCTCACATGGAAGGCTAGAACTGGCTGGAGTTTGTATTTTCCTTCCTCCAGGTAGGCTAGCCTCTCACAAAACTTCTGCATTTTACGCTCTGGTAAAACAGTTTCTCCTAAGGGTAGCCCTCATGTAGAACAGAATGCTCAGGCATATTTCAAAATAGTTTCTCTCGCCTTCCCCATCCCAGAGGGAGGAAGAAATTTTTGTCCAACATTCACTGGGAGGACCTTGTAGAGCTTCTGGAGGTAAAACTCATAAAAATGTACCACTTGCCTCATGACTGGGTCCCCTAGAGTTTTTAATTATCTGATTTGTCCACACTGAGCCTCCCAATTTGTCAATTACAGTTTAGGTTTTCCTACCTCAGTACTGATTCTCATGGAAGTTTGTGGGTTCTCCCCATAGGTTGTGATGTTCTGTGTTTTCTTATCTGTATCTCCAATTCTGGGGGAAGCAGTTTGCCCTGTGACCTCAATTCTCTGATGGAAATAAGAAGAGTTGTTGATTTTTCAGTTTGCCTGGCTTTTTTACTTGTTAAAACAGAGTAGCAACTCCTAAGCTGCTTACATGCTGAACCAGAAACCAGAAATCCAACCTATACTTTTAAATTAGAGTTCTTGATTCATTTAAGTCTATTTTTTGGCTATGTGTTTTCCAAATGTTGACATTTCTATCCTTCTGGTTGCTTTGGCCAAAACCCTTGGAGCCATCTTTGACTCTCTTTTCTCTCTCTCCTATATGCAATCCATCAGCAAATCTTGTGGCAGTACTTTTATAATATGTCCAGAATCCCATCACTTTCTATTATCTGTTCATCTATTTTTTTAAGGCTATGTTACCAAGTTTTCTCATCTGGATAACAGCAACAGCTTCCTATCTGGTCTCCCTTCTTCTATCCTTGCCCTCACTTCCTACAGTCCAGTCCCAACAGAGCAGCTACAGTGATCTAATTATAACCTAAGTTAGATCGTGTCAGTCCTTATTTCAAAACCTTCCAATGGTTTTTCCATCCTACTTAGAGTAAAATCCAAATTCCAGATAGAGGCTTATTAGTCTTCCTATCTTCTGACATTTTCTCCTATTACTCTTCCCCTGGCTTACTCCATTCCAGGCACACTGACCTTCTAGTTATTCCTTGAGCTCACCTGATGTACTTCCACCTTATGTCATATGACTAGCTGGCTGTCCTTCTCTTTGGGAATAGTCTTTTCCCAGATATCTACATAGATAACCTCCTCAACTCCTTTTAAGTCTTTGCTCAAATATCATCTCAGTGAGGCCTGCCCTTACCACCCTATATAAGATTGCAACCCCACTCCTACTGTGTCCTCTCTTGCTCTGCTCTACTTTTTTTCTTTTTCCATAGCACTAATCACCTTCTTATATTTTAACATATCATTTATTTGTTATATATTAGGTTGTATGTCTCTTACTTATTCAAATATGAGCTCATGAGTGTGGTGACCTCTTCTGATTATTTTTTTCATTCCAGGTATGGTCTACATATAGACAACTTTATGCATAGTCCAGAGTAAATGACAAATACAGAATTTTAAGCATTAAAATGACATTAATAGCATGCCAGTCAATTCTCTGAAGAGCAGCATGAAGCTCTGTATAGATATAGACATAGACAGAAATTTCACTTTTTATACATGGGAATACAGACAAATTATAGGAAATATATACAATATAATTGTAAAATGTGAATAGGTACAAAACATCAAAGTAAGAAATAACTCTATCCCTCACTCTCATCAGTCTCTAATATGGACTCTTTACTACATTCAGATTATTTTTTTCAATTGTTTATTAGTACATACTAAGTAACATACCATGCTCCCTCTTACCCACAAACCTTCCTTGTGTGTTTTGAATATTGTCATCATTCCTATGTAAAACTCACCCATGTTCGGACCCAGATTAAGTGTCATCTTTTTCTGAAGCTGTATTTGACCTCTTAATTTTGTTCAGTGAAGTGTCCTGGGTGCCCTAAACAGTGCCTGGAATGTAGTAGATGCCGAACAGATATTTCTGGATGATTAAATTGGTTATTATGGTCTTCTTTAATCTCAACTACAAAATAACAATTCAGGTTATTTAGTGTAGCAGATGGAGTATAATATGTCTTAAAAAGGCCAATGGGTTTGGAAATAAACAAAACATTTCCAGCATCCAAAACAAAAAAAAACCCAAAAAAACAAAAAAACAAAAAAACCAAAACCTAGAATATCAATAAGCAACAGCAACGATAGGCAACAAAATCCCACCCTAGTGCTGCCATAGTGTGTTTTATTATCATAACTGATGATTTTTCATAGTAAACTCTTCTACAAAAGATTATTTCCATGGCAACATATTCAATTTCTACCTTATGATATGAGCTCATAAAAACAGCATCAAAAACACCACCAAACCACAGAAAAACAGAAACAAGAAAACACTGTAACATACAAATAATTAATATACACTGACTACAAGTTAAAAAGTAGCACATATGAAGCTCTACGTTTAAAATTAAGCCATTCATAGCAAAGTAGGTAGAAATCTCTAGTGCTTTAAGAAAAGACTATAGTCTAATTTTTTTTTTTGCAATCAGTATTTGAAATTAAATACTTGTAGCACACTGACACTTTATATGCAAGTATTAACTTAATATGTCAGTTCTGATTTCTTACCGAAAGATTTCAATCCCGAGTGAAAGATCAACGGCATTCAGCAGGGATTCTCTTTTAATTACCATTTCTTTCCCAGTCTGAAGGGACTCTTCTGACTGAAAAAGCAACTAACATTTTATTTTGACAGTTATTTGAATTACAGTAAATAATAGGAGATAGGAGGCTCTTACATGACACATTTATGATTTTGGTAAACAATCTGTTGAAAAATCATTTTGTATAGCTTTAGCAGAATTCAGTGGGCCCACTAGAAAAGGGAGAGAATAAAGGGTCCTAACAGAATACATAAAAGTAATTTCATTTTTAAAGTTGAGCCTTTGTTCTTAGATCACACTGGAGACTCCGCTCTTTATGTTCCAGTCTTCTCACTTTATTTTTCACTGCCAAGGAAAGCTTTCTTCACTTTCCAATCCCTCCCTCAAGTTTTTTAAAAATAATAAACAATAATAATAATTCTCTCTCTCTCTTCCCCGTCCCCCCCTCACCACTCCACTCCTGCATGTATGTGTGTGTGTGCGTGTGTCCATGTTTTTGAGCCACTATTTTTGTGAAGTCTCTGGTCTCTCTCCTTATTTAGGACCAACTCCAGAATTTTTCTCGGAAGTTCCTCCCAGGTCATATTAATTACTCCCTGATGATATCTATACATTTCTGAGAGCCCTCACTACCATTTCTCAAGCCTATCGCCCAATGTGCCAAAGCTGTAAAGGGTTTTAGAACTAAATTTGATAGGATTTGGTGCTCTCTTTTGTATGTTTGTGGTTTTCTCTGTTACACAAAAGCAGCCTGTGTTGCATTCCAATTCCACATAAGTGTGTAATCTTTCCAGTGCTCCCCACCTTCAGCTTCCACTACCATAGGATTAGAGTGGATAGTGGGGACAACAGGCAAAGGTGAGTACACAACCCTGCACTTTGATTAAGATTTTGTTAATATTGCAAGGTTGCTTTGGCTGGTTCTTTCTTCCCTTAGAAATGAGGTTCTTGACCTGAGTCCAAGAGCTCTGACTGGGTCAAAATGGGCTGCAGTAGATATATGAGCCTTGTGAATTTGTAAAAATATTTTGTGGTATGTGAATTTAAGGGTTTAAAAAAATCCCCCAATAATCACAGCAAATTAACTTTAATAAGTCACCTCATGGAAACATATGTTACTATGCCCATTCTACCAGTTTTGCAAATGCGCTGGGAAATATCTAAATTCTGCAAATTTTGGTTCAAATTGGGACAATTCTCCACTTCTATTCCCATCTCTAACACTACATTAGTACAAAGTACTTGGTTACAGCAGGAGGTGATGTCTGGTAATTGCTAGGTATACTATCTTGGAGCTAGGCAGAGCTGAACTGGAGTGCCAACTCTATCACTTTCTAACTAAATAGGCTTCAGCAAATCTAAGCCTAAGTTATCAAATGGATGTAAGTATATTTGTCTCATAGGGTGATTGTGAAGAATGAAAAATGCATGAAAAAGCACTTGCTTGTAATGTGTGGTGATATGGTTTAGCTGTGTCCCCACCTGAATCTTATCTTGAAATGTAACTCCCACAATTTCCATGTATCATGGGAGGAACCCACTTGCAGGTAATTGAATCATGGAGGCAGGTCTTTCCCGTTCTGTTTTCGCGATAGCGAATAAGTCTCATGAGATCTGATGGCTTTAAACATAGAAGTTTCCTTACACAAGCTCTCTCTCTTTGCCTGCTGCCATCCATGTAAGATGTGACTTGCTTCTCCCTGCCTTTTGCCATGATTGCAAGGCTTCCCCAGCCATATGGAAGTGTGAGTCCATTAAACCTCTTTCTTTTGTAAATTGCCCAGTCTCAGATATATCTTTATCAGCAGTGTGAAAATGGACTAGTACACATGGTACACATCATACTACAGGATAAAAAGAAGTACACTTAAAAGTACATTGATAGACGGATTAACTAACTAAATCACCTTTTACATCTCTTCCCAACCTTTCACATTTCCTGAAAAGTACTCAAAAGGCAGAGAGAAAATAATAGGTAAAAATTGGATTGAGATTCACAATGTCCACTGTATTTGCAAAGCTTTCCAGTCTTCCTCCATAAAGTGAAAAAGAAGCACTCTGAGAGCTGAGCACTAGATATTTAGAAATATGTGTTCATGCTTTATCTATCTTTAACAAACTCATATTCCTCTGGCTTGGGGCCCTCTTGTATTTTACCAGTTTGTATATATAAAATACTATTAATAATAAATTATAAACACATTTAGGATAAACTTAGAGTTTTATTCCTTTAAATGATTAAAATATATTTATATATGTTGTGAAGTGTGAAAAAACATTGTCTTATATTATGGTTCAAACAATACTTACTGAGTTCTGATACTGTGAGAGGCACATGTGAGTATTAAATATTATTAGTATTACTATGCGTTAAAATATTTCTAATGCTCCTAATGCTCTTAGAAATATTTCTAATGCTCCTAATGCTATTAGAAATGTTTCTAATGCTCCTAATGCTATTAGAAATATTTTAACACCTAGTAATACTAATAATATTTAATACTCACATGAGCCTCTCACAGTATCAGAACTCAATATTGTTTGAACCATAATATAAGATAATGTTTTTTCACACTTCACAACAAATATAAATATATTTTAATCATTTATGACGAGTTAATGGGTGCAGCACACCAACATGGCACATGTATACATATGTAACAAACCTGCATGTTGTGCACATGTACCCTAAAACTTAAAGTATAATAATAATAAAATTAAACAAAAAAAAACTAAAAAAAAAAAAAGAATGAAATTTAATGTAGGGACTCAAAATGGGATGATTGTCAGCAAAAATAATAAAATATGTAATAGAAAATAATTAGTCTAAAAGTTATATGACAACTAAATAAAACAAATATTTGGAGTCTAAAAAAATAAAATAAAATATTTCTAGAAAAAAAGTGAATAAGACCATTTGGTAGTTAATAATCATTGCCTTAGCAAGTTGTGCTCTTTAAATGCCCCCACTACGGGGAGTCCAGTATCTCTGTATTTAAGAGAACTGGAAGAAGATGAAGTATTCCAGCTAGATGGTCCTGGATTTAATACTCAATTTGATGGGCAGCTCTTTGGGCCAAGCACAAATGTCCTGTATTGGTGCCAGTGGCAGGTGTCTCAGCCTGGCCACATAATTCTACTGTACCCTCTGTTTTGAGAAACTTTGATTGTAGATAGTCACCTCAGAGTAAAATGACAAATCTTGTGATTAAGGAAGAAAATTATTTTTCAATTTGAACTAAATGGGAGACTTTCTTCCACTTGGCTGATTCTACCAGAATGCTATGTATAACTGCATCCTCTATTATTGGCTACCTTGTTATCCTCAATTGCTTTCTTAGCCTATACTTATGTTTTTTCCAGATCTTCAAGCTATTTCTACGGATATATCCACATAAGGGCTCAATCCTAGGTGCAGTTCTTGGCAGAGGGAGGGAATACGTTAGTCTTACCTCACTGGGGCTCAGCGTTAACCATTTGATTCACGCAGCTTTGAAGCGAATCAGATTCAGGGTTTCATAACACAGCGGTGTGCATTTATACCCATTCCACAGGCCCAAACTTTTGTTTATATTTCCCACCTGCTACCATATCTCTCTCAAGAACTGGAAGCTATAACTTATGGTCAGATTCTAGTTTAACACTTTGTCCAAAATAGGTTTTCATTTGTAATCTCTTTTGATGCCATGTTGTAGAAATCTTGATCATGTTGACTTAGAGTTGAACTAGGGATATAAACTAGATAGAACTTTAGATTTTGTTTATTCAGGATGCTGGATAGTAAGAATTTTCCAGTCTTTTTCTATTTTAGTAAATTTACCTTTAATATATGGGTTGATTCTATTTGAAGAGACTCACTAAAGATTTGGATTAGGTAATGTATTATGGTCCATGTATAATGGTACATGTTTCACTTCCATACCTAGATGGAGGCATTTTATACAGATGGTATGTGTAGGTAGCTCCTCTGTCTTTCCCTGTTCTCCAGCTTCTTTCTACCTGTGACACAAATACATGACATCAAATTGGCAGGATGGTTTGCATTCCTGATTAGGTAGGCCTAGTACTATGAGGCTATAAAATCACAGATGGCACATGATGCCTTGAAAAATCAGTTGTAGAATAAAAACAAATAGATGTCTTTTATGTGGAGAAGTTGCCTTCTTTTCAAAAAGCAAGCCCTGGTGTTCTTCATGAATTTTTGCTTTTTTGGTTAAACAGTACCAAAAGAAGGAGCAAGACCTTTTTATGTTGTTTAGAGAGCTCCATTAGTACTTCCATTGCTAGCAGAAATTGAAAGGCTGAATGCCTAACAGACACAATAAAAAGCATAAACATGGAAAATGACTGCAGGAGTTTCAGAGGGTCACTCTCCGGGAAGCCATAGATTGAAGGAAGCACAGCAGAACAGGGCAGAAGCTGAGCTTCAGTGTCTGCCATTTTCCTCTTCAGATGGTCCTTTTCATGACAGATAAGGTATCAATGAACTGGGGGGGCTCTAGGGAGTCAGAGGGTAGACGTTTCCATGCTCTGCTGGTTCTTACATCCAGCATGAAAAGGTGAGAAGAATCAGGACTCTGTCTAGGCCTTACAGCCTGGCTTGCGATATATCTAGGGATTTCCTAGTAGAATGTCACGGTCCTCAGCATGAGTTCAGGATCAGAACTGAGAAAGCAACGACAACAAAAAACCGCACACACACATATTACATATTGTGTGTGTGTGTGTGTGTGTTTAGTTGTGAAGTTACTAATTTAATTCAGATTGGGAACCCACCAGAGAAGGAAAGGCCGTTATCTAAGATCAGTGGTTCTTAAACATTCATGTGCAGAAGAATCAGTTGAGTAGTTCGTTAAAATGGGCCTCTTATCCAGAAATTTGGATCTGGCTCATGGCACACAAACATGTACTTTGAATAAGCACCCTGGGTAATTCTGATCTGAGAGTCTAGAACCACAGTTTGGAAAAGTCTGACAAAGTGGAACCTGAATCCTTATGGCTTCAGTGGCTTCATTTATCATGGTTTAGGCAGCCATTCTGGAAAAGAGACTCTTTTTTGTTTGTGTGTTTGTTTGTTTGTTTTGGATGCAGATTATGGAGAACATAGAACTGAGACTATCCTGAGAAGGCCATGTACCTACAAACTGTTTCCTGACTCTCAGCATGAGCACACGAGTGTGGCTCAGTTGGTAATGTCATGGGCACAGGTTGGAGGAATGCTATTCTACCATGTTGTTTATTTCCTGCTGCTGTTGAATCTTCCTGAGGGGGTAGATATGGAAAAGTGGCTCAGACTAGAATTCCAGAGACTTAGTGTCAGTTTCTTCAAATATGTGTGAAGTTGAATCACAGTTTCCTCCTACGTAAAGTTAGAGGGTTGGTGTGGATAATCCTAAGATTTGTTTAAAATCTTGTATTGTGTGCGAGGGTGTGTGTCTTCTTTTTATGAATTTTCTGGTACCTAAAAGAAAGAGTAAGGATACTCATATACCTGTGTTATTGCCATGTCACAGTTGTCATTGTCATTATTTTCTTCTCCAAAGAAGAAATTGTATAGTGCATGTGAAGTCAAGAAAGTGACCTCACAGCTGCTAGGGCAACAATACACTTACTTGTTTTAGATTTAGCAAGTCCCCAGGATCTATTTGGATACTTGCCATTTTCTTTCTCTGTTCTCATTAGGCATATATATTTTTTTCTGCTGTGAAATTGATTACTATAATCCTATCTATTCAGAAGGTAGCATATAGGAAACAGTATAAAGTAATTGTTAAACATGACTCTTTGGGCATAAAGACAAGATACAAATTTCTGCTTCTAAAACTTACTGGCCATTTAATCTTCGGAAAATTGCTTAATTTCTCCAAGTTCAATTACCTCATCTATGAAATGGGTATAATAACAGTAATTATTTTGTAGAGTTGTTAAAAGGTTGCATAAGATAATGCTTTTTAAGAATTTAATTTAATGTAAATTTAAATTTAATGCAATGTTTGACGTAGGGCAAGAACTAAATAAATAGTAGTTTTTCTGTATATGCTAGAGGTCTTTAATTCTGGCTGTACAATGGAAACACTGGGAAAATTTTAGGTAAATCCCGGTGCCTGTGCTCTACCTGAGGCTAATTAAATCAGCATTTCCGAGGATGAAGCAGGACGTATGTATATTTTGAAAGCCCTCCAGGTGATTTTGTGTGGCAGAGGTTGAGAGCATCTGGTATTTGCCAAGTGTAATATATGTATCAGAAAGGAGATGATTCTTTTGGCTTCTCATGTACGCATTGAAGGCATAGTCAATGCGGCTGATATAGACCTCCACACAGACATAGGAGTGATGCCTTTGGTAATCATGACAGTATTAGTCCTTAATTAGTTGGTATCTGGTGCCCCAGTGGCCAAGGCCATCATGGGATAACAAGAAAAGAAAACATACGTTGGGTCTATTTTAACCTGGAGAGCCCAACGTATCATTCCGAATTTTGTGATATCTGGTTTTGAGATAATTTTCTACAATCCTTCTGATCCAATTTCTGTTGAAAAACAAAGCACAACAAAAAGTAATCCATTGAAGCTGTGAAACATACACAAGGAAGGTGACGTTTTCCTGAGGATAAGGGAAGCTAGATTTGGGCCTTTTGGGGGTTTGTGATGTGTTTTTCCTTGGTTATTAGTCCCCTGATCCACTCTGAGCACAGAACAGGCTCAGAGATGTTGATTAGATTCTGGGGGACTTTCCCTTGAGTGAGGGCCCTGAGAGGCCACGGCCTAGCCTTGGGGGAAGCTCTGTTTCCAGGCTCTGGCCTCCACTGGTGTAATCTTAACTGATTCTTAAATTGGTGTTGTCTGAATTGGTAAGGCAAATGCCAGGCTTCCCTAGAAGCTTTCCAAGTATATGTTCCAAGTATTTTGCTAGGGCTTACCTCAGAGAGGATGTATTCCTAAACTTTTGACATGAATTCAGATACAGTAAGACCTTGCTTAATGATGGAGATATGTTTTGAGAATGCATTGTTAGATCATTTTATTGTTGTGCAAACACCATAGAATGTGCTTATACAAACCTAGATGGTATAACCCACTACATACCTAGGCTGTATAGTATAGAATATAGCTCCTAGGCTGCAAATCTGTATAGCATATTCCTGTACTAAATACTGTAGGCAATTATAACACAGTGGTAAGTATTTGTGTTTCTAAACACAGAAAAGTTATAGTTAAAATATAAAAAAAATGGTACATCTGTATAAAGCACCTACCATTAATGTAGCCTGTCAGACTGGAAATTGTTCTGGATGAGTCAGGGAGTGAGTGGTGTGTGAATGTGGAGGCCTAGAACATTACACTATGGTAGACTTTATAAACACCGTACACTTAGGCTACACTACATTTATAAAAACAGTTTTCTTTTTTTGGTGACAAATTGATGTTAGCTTACTGTTACTTTTTAACTTTATAAACATTGTTTTAAACCTTTTTGACTCTTTTGTAATAATACAGCTTAAAACACAAACACATTGTAGAGCTGTACAAAAATATTTTCTTTCTTTATATCCTTATTCAATAAGCTCTTTTCTATGTAAAGCTTTTTAACTTTTTAAATTTTTTTGTTAAAAAACTAAGATACAAACATGCAGATGAGCTTAGGCCTGCACAGGGTCAGGATCATCAATGTCGCTATTTTCCACCTCCACATCTTGTCCCAGTGGAAGGGCTTCAGGAGCAGTAACACCCAGGGAGCTGTTTGTCTCCTATGATAACAGCCTATAATAATACCTTCTTCTGGAAAACTTCCTGAAGGACCTACCTGAGGCTGTTTTACAGTTAACTTTATTCTTATTATTTTAGTAAGAAGGAGTATACTCTAAAATAACAATAAAAAGTATGGCATAGTTAATACACAAACCAGTCATATAGTCATTTGTTATCACTACCAAGTGTTATATGCTATACATATATGTGCTATACTGTTATGTGACTGGCAGTGCAGTAGGTCTGTTTACACCAGCATTACCACAGTGAATAATGCATTGTGCTACAATGTTAGGGCAGCTACAATGTCACTAGACAACAGGAATTTTTCAGCTCCATAGTAATCGTATGACACCACTGTCATATGTGTGGTCAGTCATTGACTGAAATATCCTTATGTGGCACACGACTGTAGATAAAATCTCATCTTTTGCTAGCGTGAGCTGAGTCAGCACACACTCACTGAGGCAAGGTAGCGGCCTACGTATTTCACCCTGATAGACTCTATCCTTATCCTTTTAGTTTTTTACCCAAGGAGGCTCCAGCTATTTCTGTCACAGGCCCCAAATTTGTGCATTCCATCCCTAATAGGGAGGCAGAGGGGTTGAAGGATACAGTTAAAGTTGGAGCAGAAGGAAATAGGTAGCTGTAAATCCAAAGAGAGCAGAGGTGAGTGCTGGATGGTGGATAAGTAGTGAGAAGATAATAAATGCCTAGAGGGAGCAGGGTGGGGAAAGTAGTGCAAAGCCCTAAAATAACCTCACTGTCTAGAAGACCTCTGTGGCTTTTACCGTCCCAGCAGCACTTCCCCTCTTCTGGCATCCAGAATCAGAGACAATAGTGGGCCTGTCTTCACTCTTGACTCCTGATGCTGTGATGGGTCCATAGGTACAGTTGTAATGCAAGTAGGACCTATCAGAGTCCTTTCTTGGGGCCGATAAACAATGAAATTTCACAATAGCAAAGATATGTAAACAACCTAAGTATCCATTGATACATGAATAAAGGAAATGTGGTATATATGGTATATATGCACAATGGAATACTATTCAGCCATATAAAAGAAGGAAATCATGTCTTTTGCAGCAACATGGATGGAATCTGAGGCCATTATCTTAAGTGAAACAACTCACATAGAAAGACAAATACTGTACGTTCTCATTTAGAAGTGGGAGTGAAATAATGTGTACATCGGACATAGAGTATGGAATAGTAGACACTGGAGACTCAGAAGGGTGAGGGGCAGAGAGGCAGGATGAATGACAAGAAATTACTTAATGGGTACAATGCATGTTATTTGGGTGAGGCACCGACTTTACCATTACACAATATAAACATATAACAAAAGTACACTTGTACCCCACATATTAAAAAAAATTAAATTTAAAATAAGATGCTGGTGATGACTGACTATCACTACAAGGAAAGAGTGTACCTGCTAATGAAACAAACAGGAAGGTAAGAGGACAGAGAGCGAAGGAGAGACCTGATGATTCTGCTATGCTTAAACCAGCCCACCCCTTAGTCCTTGGTTTTCCCGGTGATGTGAGCTTTTCTGTCCCTTTTTCTCCCAAGCTAGAGGAGTAGGATTTCTGTCAAGGAAAGTTCCAATACAACTCATTTCATAATTTTGGTAAGAATTTGCCTCCCACAGACAGCAACAGTAGATTTTTTTCCCTCGAGTTATTTTGAATAGGTTGCCTCTCCTAACAGGAAAGTTCTTGAGTGGTACACTTCATCGGGAATGACTCCCTTTGTAGACATTTTTCTTTGGTCTTTTCTTTACATATATCCTTCCCCTGTTAGGTTAAAAGCTCCTACTTGCATTTCAGATTTTGGCCCAGAACATCTAAAATCAGGGCCTGATAGAGGCTTGTTCCTGCCCAATTTTATTCTTTCCAGCTGAGGCAGCTGCCTCAGTTAAGTGCTGCCTGGTAAATAGAGCATGTATAAAAGGTGAAGGAAGGAGGAATCAGGACTGAAGCAACCAGAACATCTGATGATCAGAAGCCCTCCCTGACCTGTCCTACTTCCTCTTCACAGCAACTCAGTGTTGACATTTTTGGATCCAGAAATCAGGGGCATTTCTCTGAGAGTAGAAAGGGGTTTTTAGAAAGAGACATCCTATAGATTATGGTGGCTAAATAGAGCTAATTGGATGCTGTTGGAGAAGAGTACTAAAAACAAGCTTTCAAGGAATTTAACATACCCCTTCACGTGCAGCCTGGTGCTGGAGTGGGTATACACTGCTGTTGGGGATTGATTTAGAGAGGCATGGTTTAGGAGAGACAGCCTCCCAAGCAAGCAGTCCAGGCCAAGAAGAATCTTAGAGTAAAAATGTCAGGCTAAGTGATTCTTAACCAGGAGTGATTTACTCCCCAGGAGACATATGCAATGTCTGGAGATATTTTGGTTGTCATAACTGCAGAGGATGTTGCTACTGCTTAGCAAGTAGAGGCAGAAATGAAACTAAGCATCCTAAGTTCACAGGACAGCTCCCACAATTATCTGGTCCAAAATGTCAGTGGTGTTGCAGTTGAGAAACTGGGCTGAAGCCATTAGTGATACCTGGGTGATATGGGGAGATCAAGGACAGACACTCTTTCCAGAGGGTCAGAGGCAGAATCCACACCAGGACCAAGCAAGAGATTGCAGCTGGGGGAATAAAGTGTTAAAAGAAGTATAGGTCAGGAACAAAAAAGTCCTATGATAGCAGCAAGGCATCTGAGTTGGTTGTTCTCATTTGGGAAGGGTGAGCTCATTTAATGGTCTAGAGTATACTTTCTTCCTTTGTTTCATTCATAGTTAATATACTAAAGTAATTCACAATGAGGGCAGCAGTCACTTTTTATTTTTTTCTGTGTCCTTGGTACTTGGCACAGAGTAAATTCAATAAATGGCTATTAATAAAATGGGAATGAATGCAGTGATGTATTTCTCCTCTGGGAAACATACATACATTTTTAGATATAAAAATAAGGATACTTACCTACACATATGCATATATATGCATATATATTGTGTTACAATGTAAAGCACACATACTTTGGAGTCATAAAATCTAAGCTAACCAGCTATGCGACTCACTTACACTAGATAATACTAACACTGACCTTAGAAGATATTTTTTTCATTTTTTTAAAAAAGAAAATACTAAACTGACCTTACAAGGATATTTTCATTTTGCGAAATTGAGATATAATCATGTATCTTAAATTGACCTTTTAAAAATGTGCAATTCAGTGGTTTTTAATATATTCACAAAGTTGTACAACCATTTCCGCTATCTAATTCGTGTACATGTTCATCACTCATCAGGATACCCATTAGCATTGACTAATGAGCCCTATTCTCCCATTCCCCATCTCCTAGGAACCACTAATCTACTTCTGTCTCTGTGGATTTCCCTATTTTGGACATTTCATGTTAAAGGCATCATGCAATATGTGGCTTTGATATCTGGCTTCTTTCACTTAGCATGTTTTCAAGATTCATTGATATTATAGGCTATATCAGACATTTATTCATTTTTAAGGCTGAATGATAGGCCATTGTATGGATATGCCGTATTTATCTGTTAATCATAAGCCATTTGGCTTATTTTCACTTCTTGGCTATTATGAATAGGCTGCAATGAGCAGTTGTGTGCAAAATTTTTATATTATCTTTGGTATCTAACTAGGAATGAAACTATTGGGTCATATAGTAACTCTATATTTAATCTTTTGAGCAGCTGCCAGCTGTTTTCTATAATAAAGCATCTATACCATTTTACATTTTCACCAGCATTGCATGAGGGTTCTAATTTCTCCACATTCTCACCACTTGTTATTGTCCTTCTAATTTAGCCATTCTAGTGGGGGTGAAGTTGTTTCTCACTGTGGTTTTAATTTGAATTTCCATAATTAATAATGATGTCAAGCATCTTTTCATGTGCTTCTTGGCCATTTGCTTATCTTTTTTGGAGAAATTTCTATTCAAGTCCTTTGCTTATTTATTTATTTATGAGACAGAGTCTTGATCTGTTGCCCAGGCTGGAGTGCAATGTCCCAGTCTCGGCTCACTGCAACCTCTGCCTCTCAGGTCCTCCTGCCTCAGCCTCTTGAGTAGCTGGGATTACAGGTTCCTGCCACCACACCCTGCTAATTTTTGTATTTTTAGTAGAGACAGGGTCTTGTCATGTTGGCCAGGCTGGTCTCGATCTCCTGACCTCAGGTATCTGCCCACCTCGGCCTCCCAAATGGCTGGAATTACAGGCATGTGCCACTACGCCCCGCCCTTTGCTCATTTTAAAATTGGTTTGTTTATGGTTTTGTTGTTGAATTGTAGAGTTCTATATATATGCTATATACTAGTCCTTTATTAGACATATGCTTTGCAAATAGTTTTTTCCACTCTGGGGGTTGTCTTTTCACTTTCTTTATAGTCTCCTTTAAAACAAATATTTTGAATTTTGATGTCTAATTTGTTGACTGTTTTGTTTTGTTTGCTTGTGCTTCTGGTGTCATATTTAAGAACCCTTGCCTAATCCAATGTCATGAAGACTTGAGCCTACATTTTTTTTTCAAAAGTTTATTATAGTTTTAGCATATACATTTAGGTCTATGATCCATTTGAAACTAACTTTTGTGTGGGGTGTAAGGTATGGGTTCAATTTGTGTGTGTGTGTGTGTGTGTGTGTGTGTGTTGATATCCATTTAACTCAAGCCTCTATATTGAAAAGAATATTCTTTCCCCTAATAAATTATCTTTGTACCCTTGTCAAAAGCCTATTGACCATAAATGTATAGGTTTATTTCTGTAGTGTATTTCATTGTTCTTTATGCCTATCTTATGCGAGTACTACACTGTGTACTTGATTATAGTAATTTTGTTGTAAGTTTTGAAATTGAGAATTTTTTCCTACTTTGTTTTTCATTTTCAATGTTGTTTGGCTATCCTGGGTCCCTTGCAATTCCATATGAATATTAGGATCAACTTGTCAGTTTCTGCCAAAAAAAAAGCAACTAGGATTTTAATAAGAATTGTGTTGACTCTGTAGATAAATTTGGGGAGCATTGTCAACATAATACTATTATATTAAGTCTTCCAATCTGCAAAGATGGGATGGCTTTCCATTAAATTTTCATTAAAGTTCTTCTTTAATTTCCTTAAGTGATATTTTATGGCTGTCAGTACACAAGTCTTGTACTTCTTTTGTTAAATTTATTCCAAAATATTTTATTTGTTGATGCTATTGTAAATGGAATTGTTTTCTCAATTTAATTTTCATTTATTCATTGCTGTGTATAGAAATACGGTTGGTTTTTGTACATTCATCGTGCGTCCTACAACACTTATTAGTTATAATAGTTTTTTAGTAAATTCTTTGATATTTTCAATATATAAGATCATGCCATTTGTTAGTATACATAGTTTTATTTCTTCCTTTCCAAATTGGATGCCTTTTTTGTCTTTTTCTTGTCTAATTGGCTTGGATAAAACCTCCAGCAAAATGTTGACTGGAAGAGGCAAGAGTTGAGGTCCTTGTCTTTTTTCTGATTTTAGGGGAAAGATTGCAGTTTTTCACTATTAAATAAGATGTTAGCTGTAAGTTTTTCTAAATTAAAAAAAAATAAGTTTGAAGAAATACCTTGTTTCTACTTTGGTGAGTGTTTTTATCATGAAAGGAAGTTGAATTTTTTCAGATGCTTTTACTGCATCTATTGGTATAATTATATTTTTGTTATTTATTCCATTAATGTGGTCTAATTACATTGGTTGGTTTTCCTGTATTGAACCAAGCTTTCATTCCTGGGCTAAATTCCACTTAATTGTGGTGTAGAATTCTTCTTACATGTTGATAGACTTAGTTTGTTAGTGTTATGTTGAGAATTTTTACCTGTATATCTACAAGTGATATTGATTTGTAGTTTTCCTGTGGTATCTTTGTCTGTTTGTGGTATCAGGGTAATACTGGCCTCATTAAATCATTTGGAAAGTATTCTGTCCTCTTTTAGGTTTTGGATGAGTTTGTGTGTGAATAATTTGATGACTGGTACTAATTTTTTTTTTTTTAACTCACCAGGAATGCCATCTGGTCCCGTGAGTTTTTCTGGAAAGTGCTTTTTTTTTTTTTTAAATGCAACCCCTTTACTTGTTATAGGTCTCTTAGGACTTTCTATTTCTTTTTGAGTCAGTTTTGCTAATTAGGGACTTTTTAAGAAATTCATCTAGGTTATATAACTTGTTGACAATTATTCATAACATTCCTTTCAAATTGAATATGCCATCTTGCTACTTTCTGGCCTCCATGGTTTCTGATCAGAAATTAGTTGTTTTTAATTAGCTTCTTTCTTGCTGGTTACAAGGCTCTTTCTTTGTCTTTGATTGTTTAATTATGGTGTATTTATGTGTGGTTCTCTGAGTTTATCTCATAGGGAATTTATTGAATTTCTTGAATAGTAGTTTAACATTTTTCATCAAGTTTGGAAAGTTTTAGTTTTTGTGTTTGTTTTTTGGTCATTACTTCAAGTATTCTTTCTGCTTTCTCTCTGTCCTCTTTTTCTGAGACTCTGCTCATGAGCATGTTTGCAAGTGCGATGGTCTCTGAAAATCTCTTCTTTCTTCTTTACTCTCTATTGCTTTCTGTTTCTCAGACAAGATAATTTTAATTCATTCTCTTTAAGTTCAGTAATTATTTTCATGGTTCAGTGGGGGCTCTTGTCACACACATAACTGGATACACCATCTTTAGCACAAACATTTACCACTGGAGAGCTTTCTCCACAGTAGGAAGTCACCCATGAGAATGACAATACATTTGTTTGTGCAATTGTTGCAGCACAATCTATGAGTAGAAAAATTGAGTTTCAGGTTTCTAACTTATTCTAATTACTTTTGCAAATGAAAACCAGAAAAACAGACCCAATGTGTTTATTTTTTCAACAGAATTGATTGCATGATAAAGCTTTTAGGTGTTGGGAATGGTTTTGTTCAAGGAAGTCAATGATTTTGCCACAATGAGATTAGTGATGATAGAAGTAATTCTAATTTGTATTCTGCAGTCATTATACTACTGCAGATAACTAAGTCTCTCCAGGAAGAGAAAACTTTATAGACTGGAGCCAAGGCATTTAGTTCCAGATGGAATAAAAGAAGAAATAAAGCATTTACATTGAACTTTTTATTGTAATTTAGCCCAATTTGATGAGGGAAAACTCTTTATTCCAGAAGAATAACAGCTGGTGAAAGTATAAGGCATAATTAAAGTAGAAATTTACCATTTTGAAACCCTTAGTAAAGTAATTGATTACAGGGATAACAGGTCAATAATGAATGTTATACATTTAAGAGAGAGGCCATTAGGGAGCAAGTCATTCTAAAGTAGCAAAGAAACTCACAGATTACTTGATAATTGCAAAAAAGAAAAATATACCTATGCAGTGGAGACATGTGGTTGTCACCAACTTAACCAAGCAATCACACTTAACATCACACTAATAGTCAGACAACCTAACATTATGACTTCCCTGATACGATACATTTTGAAGTACATGACATCTTGCCAAGAAAATATCAAACCTGAGTGTAATCAGTGCTTTAGCTCTAACTTAGATTTGATAGAAAATAGGAAATGCAAGAGATAGAGAATAAAAATAAATGACCCATCAACAAACAACTAGACAAATCTAGACTATGGGACACTCACATACAACTTGTCTAACTTCTTCAAAAATTCATTAGAAAGGAAAGGTAGGATGACAGTTTTAGATGAGAAGAAACTTAAGCTCAGACCAACCAAATACAAAGCATGACTGATAGGATTCATACTAAAAATATTTCAATAACTGTTTTGATAATTAGAACAATTTATATAGAGAGAGGATAGTGAGTTTAATTATTGCTATGTAACAAGTCACTTTAAACCTCAATGGCTTAATGCAATGGTTTATTATTTCTCCTGATTATGTGGGTTGGCTAGGTGGTTTTTCTCCTGGTCTTATCTGGGTTCACCCTTGCTGCTGTTTAGCTGGCAGATAGGATGGGGCTTGAGTTCAGCTGGGGCATTGGCCAGTGCATCTAAGATCTACTCTGGATGGCCAGCTTAAGCTTCCTTATAGCTTGGTAGTCTTACAAAAGCACCCAAACAGGTAGCAACACATTCTAAGGTCATGAAAACAGAAATTACAGGGAATTTCAAAAGCTTAGTCTTTGAAACCACACAGTGTCACTTCAGCTGGATTTTATTGGCCAACACTTATCACAGTACAAACTTAGATTCAAGGGAAGGAGAAATAGACTCCACATTTTGGTAAGAGAAATGCCAAAGTTTCATTGTAAAGGGTGTTCTGGATGAAAGATATTGGTGCAACCACTTGGTGAAACACTCTACAACAATGTGGATTGGTGGTTGTGGACATTGTGTTGACATACAGACACAAAGTTTTTAATGCATTTTCACTTTTCCAGAATCTGAATTATGGTCAAGATTTAAAACAGAATACCAAGGCTTATTTCTTGGATACAAAGTTTTCACCTGCTTTGTAGGAAAGAGAACAATTCCAGGCAGTGGGAGAAGAATAAAGAAATGTGTATTCAAGACACAATAAATAGAGAGATTTGGCTGGAAGAGGGGGTTCATGTAGTACAGTAGGAGGAGATGTTAAATAGGTCATTGGCAGATTTTGGAGGCGATAAATCAGAGAAATGTGAAAGCTATTGAACTTGAGTATGATATGATCTACGTAGAATGAAGGCTATATCAGAGAGAAGGCAAACTGCAGACAAAATGATAGGAAGCTCGCCGTTCAATTGCTTGTCTACTGAAAGTTGAGCTTGAATAATGGAAAAACACAAGGGATTAAGATTTTTCAGCCCTGGCTAATGTGACAGTGGGAGGAGACAAATGTGTCTAAAGATCTGAATCCAAGAGTTAAGAGACAATAGAGATATAATTGATAAAATAAAGCAATGAAGAAGAGCCAATTTTATGCAAGGAAGATAACTTTCTTTCCCTCAACTTTTATTTTAGAGATGGGGGTACATGTGTAGGTTTGTTACATGGGTATATTACACTCAGGTAGTGAGCAGAGTACCCAATGGGTAGTTTTTTGAACCATTCTCCTCTTCCTCCCTCCCCACTCTAGTAGTTTGTACTGTATATTGTTCTCATGTGTATGGTCTTGAGTTCTCAATGTTTAGCTCCTACTTGTAACTGAGAACATGTGGTATTTTTTTTCTGTTCCTGTATTAATTTGCTTAGGATAGCGGCCTCCAGCTGCATCCACATTGCTCCAAAGGACATGATTTCATTCTTTTTTTACGGCTATGTAGTATCCCATGGTGTATATGTATCACATTTTTCCTATTCAATGCACCATTAATGGGCACATAGGTCAATTCCATGTCTTTGCTATTGTGAATAGTGCAGTGATGAACATACAAGTGCATGCGTCTTTTTGGTAGAATGATTTTTCTTTCTTTTGGATATATATCCAATAATGGGATTGCTGGGTTGAATGATAATCTATCTGTTTTAAGTTCTTTGAGAAATCTCCAAACTGCTTTCCACAGTTACTGAACTAATTCACATTCCCATAAGTAGTGTAGAAGCATTCCCCTTTTTCCACAGCCTCGCTAGCATCTGTTGTTTTTTTACTTTTTAATGATAGCCATTCTGACTGGTGTGAGATGGTATCTCACTGTGATTTTGATTTGCATTTCCCCAATGATTACTGATGTGGAGCATTTTAAAAATATGTTTGTTGGCCACTTGTATGTCTTTTTTTGAGAAGTGTCTGTTCGTGTACTTTGCCCACGTTTTTTTTTTTGTTTGTTTTTTGTTTTTTGTTTTTGTTTTTTTTTGAGATGGTGTCTCACTCTGCCACCCAGGCTGGAGTGCAGTGGTGCGATATTGGCTCACTGCAACCTCTGACTCCTGGGTTCAAGTGATTCTCCTGCCTCAGCCTTCTGAGTAGCTGGAATTACAGGTGCCTGCCACCACACCTGGCTAATTTTTTGTATTTTTTAGTAGAGACAGGGTTTCACCATGTTGGCAGACTGGTCTTGAACTCCTGACTTGAAGTGATCCACCCATCTCAGCCTACCATAGTGCTGGGAGTACAGGTGGGAGGCAACATGCCCAGCTCCTTTGCCCATTTTTAAATGGAATTATTTGTTGTTTGCTTGTTGGCTTGTTTAAGTTACTTATAGATTCTGGATATTAGACCTGTACCAGTTGGATAGTTAACTTTGGTTTTTGATTTTGAATTTGGACCTTTTAAGAAAAAAGGGAGGAAGTTCCAAGATGGCTGAATAGAAACAGCTCCAGTCTACAGCTCCCAGCATGAGGGATGCAGAAGACGGGTGATTTCTGCATTTCCAACTGAGGTACCGGGTTCATCTCACTGGGGCTTGTCAGACAGTGGGTGCAGCCCATGGAGCACGAGCTGAAGCAGGGTGGGGCATCACCTCACCCGAGAAGTGGAAGGAGTTGGGGAATTCCCTTTCCTAGCCAAGGGAAGATGTGACAGACGGTACGTGGAAAATCGGGACACTCCCACCCTAATACTGTGCATTTCCAACAGTCTTAGCAAAGGGCACACCAGGAGATTATATCCCATGCCTGGATCGGAGGGTCCCATGCCCATGGAGCATTGCTCACTGCTAGCACAGCAGTCTGAGATCAAACTGCAAGGTGGCAGCAAGGCTGGGGGAGAGGCGTCCACCATTGCTGAGGCTTGAGTAGGTAAACAAAGCGGCTGGGAAGTTGGAACTGGGTGGAGCCCACTGCAGCTTAAGGAGGCCTGCCTGCCTCTGTAGACTCCTCCTGTGGGGGCAGGGCATAGCTAAAAAAAGGCAGCAGAAACTTGCGCAGACTTAAACATCCCTGTCTGACAGTTGTGAAGAGAGTAGTGGTTATCTTAGCATGGAGCTTGCGATCTGAGAACAGACAGACTGCCTCCTCAAGTGGGTCCCTGACCCCCGAGTAGCCTAACTGGGAGACACCTCTCAGTAGGGGCGACTGACACCTCATGCAGCTGGATGCCCCTCTGAGATGAAGCTTCCAGAGAGAGGATCAGGCAGCAACATTTGCCGTTCTGCAACATTTGCTGTTCTGTAGCCTCTGCTGGTGATACGCAGGCAAACAGGGTCTGGAGTGGATCTCCAGCAAACTCCAACAGACCCGCAGCTGAGGGTCCTGACAGTTAGAAGGAAAAGTAAAAAACAGAAAGGACATCCACACCAAAACCCCATTTGTACATCACCATCATCAAAGACCAAAGGTAGATAAAACCACAAAGATGGGGAAAAACCAGAGCAGAAAAGCTGAAAATTCTAAAAATCAGAGCACCTCTTCTCCTCCAAAGGAATGCAGCTCCTCGCCAGCAACGGAACGAAGCTGGATGGAGAATGACTTTGACAATTTCACAGAAGAAGGCTTCAGACAATCGGTAATAACAAACTTCTCCAAGCTAAAAGAGGATGTTCGAACCCATCGTAAAGAAGCAAAAAACCTTGAAAAAAGATTAGACGAATGGCTAACTAGAATAAACACCATAGAAAAGACCTTAGATGACCTGATGGAGCTGAAAACCATGGCACAAGAACTACATGATGCATGCACAAGCTTCAATAGCCGATTTGGTCAAGTGGAAGAAAGGGTATCAGTGATTGAAGATCAAATGAATGAAATGAATTGAGAAGAGAAGTTTAGAGAAAAAAGAGTAAAAAGAAACAAACAAAACCTCCAACAAATATGGGACTATGTAAAAAGACCCAATCTACATCTGATTGGTGTACCTGAAAGTGACGGGGAGAATGGAACCAAGTTGGAAAACACTTTTCAGGATATTATCCAGCAGAACTTCCCCAACCAAGCAAGGCAGGCCAACATTCACATTCAGAAAATACAGAGAATGCCACAAAGATACACCTTGAGAAGAGCAACTCCGAGACACATAATTGTCAAATTCACCAAAGTTGAAATGAAGGAAAAAATGTTAAGGGCAGCCAGAGAAAGGTCAGGTTACCCACAAAGGGAAGCCCATCAGACTAACAGCGGATGTCTCGGCAGAAACTCTACAAGCCAGAAGAGAGTGGGGGCCAATATTCAACATTCTTAAAGAAAAGAATTTTCAACCCAGAATTTCACATCCAGCCAAACTAAGCTTCATAAGTGAAGGGGAAATAAAATCCTTTACAGACAAACAAATGCTGAGAGATTTTGTCACCACCAGGCATGCCTTACAAGAGCTCCTGAAGGAAGCACTGAACATGGAAAGGAACAACCAGTATCAGCCACTGCAAAAACATGGCAAATTGTAAAGACCTTCAATGCTAGGAAGAAACTGCATCAATTAATGAGCAAAAAATAACTAGCTAACATCATAATGACAGGATCAAATTCACACATAACAATATTAAACTTAAATGTAAATGGACTAAATGCTCCAATTAAAAGACACAGACTGGCAAATTGGATAAAGAGTCAAGACCCATCAGTGTGCTGTATTCAGGAGACCCATCTCACGTGCAGAGATACACATAGACTCAAAATAAAGGGATGCAGAAAGATCTGCCAAGCAAATGGAAAACAAAAAAAAAGCAGGGGTTGTAATCCTAGTCCCTGATTAAACAGACTTTAAACCAACAAAGAGAAAAAGAGACAAAGAAGGCCATTAAATAATGGTAAAGGGATCAATTCAACAAGAAGAGCTAACTAGCCTAAATATATATGCACCCAATACAGGAGCACCCAGATTCAGAAAGCAAGTCCTTAGAGACCTGCAAAGAGACTTAGACTCCCACACAATAATAATGGGAGACTTTAACACCCCACTGTCAACATTAGACAGAACGAGACAGAAAGTTAACAAGGATATCCAGGAATTGAACTCAGCTGTGCACGAAGCAGACCTAATAGACATCTACAGAACTCTGCACCCCAAATCTACAGAATATACATTCTTCTCAGCACCACAACACACCTATTCCAAAATTGACCACATAGTTGGAAGCACTCCTCAGCAAATGTAAAATAACTGAAATTATAACAAACTGTCTCTCAGACCACAGTGCAAGCAAACTAGAACTCAGGATTAAGAAACTCACTCAAAACCGCTCAACTACATGGAAACTGAACAACCTGCTCCTGAATGACTACTGGGTACATACCAAAATGAAGGCAGAAATAAAGATGTTCTTTGAAATCAATGAGAACAAAGACACAACATACCAGAATCACTGGGATACATTTAAAGCAGTGTGTAGAGGGAAATTTATAGCATTAAATGCCCACAAGAGAAAGCAGGAAAGATCTAAAATTGACACCCTAACATCACAATTAAAAGAACTAGAGAAGCAAGAGCAAACACGTTCAAAAGCTAGCAGAAGAGAAGAAATAACTAAGATCAGAGCAGAACTGAAGGAGATAGAGACACAAAAAATCCTTCAAAAAAATCAATGAATCCAGGAGCTGGTTTTTTGAAAAGATCAACAAAATTGATAGACCACTAGCAAGACTAATAAAGAAGAAAAGAGAGATGAATCAAATAGATGCAATAAAAAATGATAAAGGGGATATCACCACCAATCCCAGAGAAATACAAACTACCATCAGAGAATACTATAAACACCTCTATGCAAATAAACTAGAAAACCTAGAAGAAATGGATACATTCCTGGACACATACACCTTCCCAAGACTAAACCAGGAAGAAGTTGAATCTCTGAATAGACCAATAACAGGCTCTGAAATTGAGGCAATAATTAATAGCCTACCAACCAAAAAAAGTCCAGGACCAGATGGATTCACAACAAAATTCTACCAGAGGTACGAAGAGGAGCTGGTACCATTCCTTCTGAAACTATTCCAATCAATAGAAAAAGAGGGAATCCTCCCTAATTCATTTTATGAGGCCAGCATCATCCTGATACCAAAGCCTGGCAGAGACACAACAAAAAAAGAGAATTTTAGACCAATATCCCTGATGAACATCGATGCAAAAATCCTCAATAAAGTACTGGCAAACCGAATCCAGCAGCAAATCAAAAAGCTTAACCACCATGATCAAGAGGGCTTCATCCCTGGGATGCAAGGCTGGTTCAACGTATGCAAATCAATAAATGTAATCCATCATATAAACAGAACCAAAGACAAAAACCACATGATTATCTCAATAGATGTAGAAAAGGCCTTCGACAAAATTCAACAGCCTTTCATGCTAAAAACTCTCAATAAATTAGGGATTGATGGGACGTATCTCAAAATAAGAAGAGCTATTTATGACAAACCCACAGCCAATATCATACTGAATGGGCAAAAACTGGAAGCATTCCCTTTGAAAACCGGCACAAGACAGGGATGCCCTCTCTCACCACTCCTATTCAACAGTGTTGGAAGTTCTGGCCAGGGCAATCAGGCAGGAGAAAGAAATAAAGGATAGTCAATTAGGAAAAGAGGAAGTCAAATTGTCCCTGTTTGCAGATTACATGATTGTATATTTAGAAAAACCCCATCGTCTCAGCCCAAAATCTCCTTAAGCTGATAAGCAACTTCAGCAAAGTCTCAGGATACAAAATCAATGTGCAAAAATCACAAGCATTCCTATACACCAATAACAGAAAACAGAGAGCCGAATCATGAGTGAACTCCCATTCACAATTGCTTCAAAGAGAATAAAATACCTAGGAATCTAACTTACAAGGGATGTGAAGGACCTCTACAAGGAGAACTACAAACCACTGCTCAACGAAATAAAAGAGGACAGAAACAAATGGAAGAACATTCCATGCTCATGGATAGGAAGAATCAATATCGTGAAAATGGCCATACTGCCCAAGGTAATTTATAGATTCAATGCCATCCCCATCAAGCTACCAATGACTTTCTTCACAGAATTGGAAAAAACTACTTTAAAGTTCACATGGAACCAAAAAAAGCCTGTATTGCCAAGACAATCCTAAGCCAAAAGAACAAAGCTGGAGGCATCACGCTACCTGACTTCAAACTATACTACAAGGCTACATTAACCAAAACATAATGGTACTGGTACCAAAACAGAGACATAGATCAAAGGACCAGAATGGAGCCCTCAGAAATAATACCACACATCTACAACCATCTGAACTTTGACAAACCTGACAAAAGCAAGAAATGGGGAAAAGATTCCCTATTTAATAAATGGTGCTGGTAAACTGGATAGGCATATGTAGACAGCTGAAACTGGATCCCTTCCTTACACCTTATACAAAAATCAAGATGGATTAAAGACTTAAATGTTAGACCTAAAACCATAAAAACCCTAGAAGAAAACCTAGGCAATACCATTCAGGACATAGGCATGGGCAAGTAGGACTTTATGACTAAAGCACCAAAAGCAATGACAATAAAAGCCAAAATTGACAAATGGGATCTAATTAAACTACAGAGCTTCTGCACAGCAAAAGAAACTATCATCAGAGTGAACAGGCAACCTACAGAATGGGAGAAAATTTTTACAATCTACATTTGACAATCTACCCATCTGACAAAGGGCTAATATCCAGAATCTACAAAGAACTTAAACAAATTTATAAGAAAAAATCAAGCAACCCCATCAACAAGTGGGCAAAGGATATGAACAGACACTTCTCTAAAGAAGACATTTATGCAGCCAACAGACAGATGAAAAAATGCTCATCATCACTGGCCATCAGAGAAATGCAAATTAAAACCACAGTGAGATACCATCTCACAGCAGTTAGAATGGCCAAAATTAAAAAGTCAGGAAACAACAGGTGCTGGAGAGGATGTGGAGAAATAGGAACACTTTTACACTGTTGGTGGGACTGTAAACTAGTTCAACAATTGTGGAAGTCAGTGTGGCCATTCCTCAGGGATCTAGAACTAGAAATACCTTTGACTCAGCCATCCCATTACTGGGTGTATACCCAAAGGATTATAAATCATGCTGCTATAAAGACACATACACATGTATGTTTATTGCGACAGTATTCACAATAGCAAAGACTTGGAACCAAGCCAAATGTCCAATAATGATAGACTGGATTAAGGAAATGTGGCACATGTACACCATGGAATATTATGCCACCATAAAAAATGGTGAGTTCATGTCCTTTGTAGGGACATGGATGAAGCTGGAAACCATCATTCTCAGCAAACTACTGCAAGGATAAAAAACCAAACACCGCATGTTCTCACTCATAGGTGGGAATTGAACAATGAGAACACATGGACACAGGAAGGGGAACATCACACACCAGGGCCTGTTGTGGGGTGGGGGGAGGGGAAAGGGATAGCATTAGGAGATATACCTAATGTTCAATGATGAGTTTAATGGGTGCAGCACACCAACATGGCACATGTATACATATGTAACAAACCTGCACGTTGTGCACATGTAACCTAGAACTTAAAGTATAATAATAAAAAGAAAAGAAAAGAAAAGAAAAAAATAGGATCTGGGGACATACATCTAAGAACTGAATTCTTGGGAGTGGTGACTTCTCCTAAGGAGCGTAGGGAGAAAAAAGGGGAGAACATTTGATTAAGTTTTGAGGAAAGACTGTTAACTGGGGTCAGGAGGAGTGATAACATTATTAATAACAAAATATTTGCTAAAATATACTTTCCACCTTCTATGGGCTAGGCACTATGGTAGGAGTTTCACAAATATTTTCTTTTTTAATTATCAGGCAACCTTGTATTATTACTTACATTTAAGGGTAAGGAAATTGAGGCCTAGCAAAGTCAACCAGTTGGTCCAGATGTGGATAATTTTAAGCACAAGGTAGACAACTATGAAGCACAGTAATAATGCAGTCACGTCCAACCACTTACTGACATCTCTCCCCATGGAGATTGCCAGCCTTTAGAAAAGCACTGTATTACCTGCAGAACTAAACCAAATTTTAAAAGCCCTTGTAGATCATTTAAATGTCAAACTCCAGCTTTGCAGAAGCAACAAACCTGATTCTTAGCCACCTATATCTCCCTCCCAAAATGTTGGTTCAATTATTGCAATTTGGTATTATAAACCCATTTATCACCTCATCATCAAGGGATCATCATTTGAGTCCTTTCTTGGCTAAATTCTAGGGACTAGATATTTCACCAAGGACTATTAACATTCATCTGCATCTATAAGATAAGACCTTATCATTGTATAGTGTTATTATAACACCTGTCTTTTGAGTTAAAATAAACCAACTGTTGTTTAGGTGGCAGGTTTCTTGGATTGTTGCAGGTATTCTGGAGAAATTTATTAGAAAATAATAGCTACCACATACAGTGTTATATGGGGAGAGGCTTCAGCAGGATACAAGTTAGGAGAGGGTGCATGAGGCCAGGGACACTATCCAGGACAGCCTTCTCCTGTTGGGCAGAGGTCACCAGCCATCCTCTTGATGTCTGCTCTTCGAGTCTAGGTATGGTCCTGGTCCAAAAAGCTGTGGTCTCAGGATCTAAAGCATGGAAATCTATGTATGAAAATGAACTAACTAATTTGTCCTAAGAGACGTCCGGAGGTGGGAGGCACTCAGGGTATATGCTAATCCAATAATGATAGTGGTTTTTTTTAAGTTTGATTTGCCATATGAAGTGAATGGTACTCAGAGATATGAAGAATTCTGCTCAGAAACAAATCTTGTTACACAAAATTGGGTATTAGAACAAGACTTCCTAACTTCCCAGTTCTCTGTCTATGCCATCTTGTCACATAATTTCTACTGCTTTTCTTTTCTTTTTTTTTTTTTGTGGGGGATGGAGTTTCGCTTTTGTTTCCCAAGCCGTAGTACAGTGGCCCGACCTGGGCTCACCACAACCTCTGCCTCCCAGGTTCAAGAGATTCTCCTGCCTCATCCTTCTGAGTAGTTGGGATTACAGGCATGTGCCACCATGCCTGGCTAATTTTGTAATTTTTTTTTAATAGAGACAGGGTTTCTCCATGTTGGTCAGGCTGGTCTCGAACTCCCGACCTCAGGTGATCTGCTCTCCTCGGCCTCCCAAAGTGCTGGGATTACAGACATGAGCTACTGCACCCAGCCCTGTTTTCCAAAAGATTTGATGAAACAAAAATCTACTTTATACAAGGAATTTGAATGAGCCCTGGAGGTCTGTTATAATAGAAGATCTCAGAAAGAGAGGATGTTTGAATTGTTGCTATTTGGGGTTAGATTTAAGGAAAGATAATTTCGTCAATGCCATGAACAAAACAGTTACACTGTGACCAAATGAAAATATATTTCATCTCCTAATGGTTCCATCATTGGTCTCTCACTGGGGTCCAGGGGTGTCTTCAGGCCACCATTTTATTCTGAACGCCTTGACAGTCAGTCTGGCCTATTAGCTTACTCTTACCTCTGCTATGGAGGATGCAGAGGTGAAGCTATCTTCCTCTGCCATTTGCTGCATAACTACAAGATAACCTCTTCACTAAAGGAAGCTGGTATTGGCTTGCCTCAAGGATAAGGACTCATAATTTAACACTCGCATTTCAGATTTCATGACTTTTGTTGTTGTAGGCTGCTTGAAGATTCAAACTCAAGACTTTTGATTATCTCTGAGAGGACACATTGTGTAGAAGAAAGAATATGACCTGGAGTCATTAGTGCTTCTTACTATCTGGTTGTCCTTCGGGATGTTATTTGGATCTCTGAATATTTATAATAGGGATAATAATACATGCAATAATAGAGGATTAAATAAGATTATGTATGTAAAGATCCTAGCAGTATTTGGTATGTATGTGTAACACAATCTTTTTGTCCTCCAACGTTGTAAAACATCAACTTGTGGAAATTATTTAATTATCTCACCCACTTTCACATGTAAAGTAAAAAAGAGGTTTAAATATTTTAAACCTGATCAGAATGAAAATATTTCCATTAGATTTTTTTCCTTGATAATGATAGGATGACTGGTTATACTGGCAATTTTCTGGTTGACATCAGGGCTGATCTGAGGCCAGAGAACAGGAATAGGAAGAAGAGACTACGCAAGTTACATCTGTGATATCAATCAGGGATCACATTGAGAAATAAGAGATCTTTTGGGGCTGAGGTCCAAATACAACATTTAATCATTCCTTCAGCAATTATTTATTGAGCATTTTCTATAGCCTAACCTCTAGACTTGATACTGGAGCTATAGTCACAAGTAAGTAAGGTTAATTGCTAAATTGCCTTTAATTTTCACTCTTCTTTGTATCTATACCTTTTGCAGTGGGACCTGGTGGCTATAAAATGGTGAATATTTGTTTACATCTTGAATCTGATCTCATCTTGGGACTTGCTTAGGTCAACAGAGTACAGCAAAGGTGACAATGTGCTAGGTAATCTTAAGCCTAGGCCTTAAAAGGCCTTGCCACCATCCCCTTGCTGGAGGATGAGTGACCATGTGGAGAGAAACAAGGATATCCCAGCCTATAGGCACTGAACTTCCAGACCAGAGCTGCTCAGCTGACCTGCAGCTGACTACAGATGTCTAACGGAGACCAGCTGACAGCAGAAGAACTGCCCACTGACTTGTAGGATTATGAGCTGTTGCTTAAAGCTATTAAGTTTTGGTGTGGTTTACTATGTAGCGAGAGCAAACTGATCCTTAATTCCTGACCCCAAGAAACTTAGAATCTTGTGGCTGCAGAAGCCAAACACAGGTTTTCAGAAAAAGAAAACTCTTCTCTAGTCTCTTAGAAGACAATATAGAGCCAAAGCACTTTCCTGATGAAATATTCAATGGCCAAGCTGTTTGGTGTGATCAAATCAAGGAAACATGCATAGGCTGAGTAAAAATGTATTCTTCTTTTACAAGGACAGAAGGCAGAAGAAATGCTCTAAAAGAAGGAAACTTTAGAGCATGTCACATTATTAAGTGTCCCTTAGTGTGTTCTTGGTAATATTCTTGCAACCAGGTGGTGCTTGTGGGTATAATTTCAGAACTGTGGCCCAGGTCTCTTGATCCCAACATGAAGTGAGTGCTGCTCTCTCTGGTGTTAGTTGAACCGCAAGATCTGGAGATTTTCTTCATAAGCTTGCATTATGAATTTTAAGTGCTGTAGCAAGTTTTTTTTTTTGAAAGAAGACAGGACATTTCAAATTAATTTAAATTCAATTAATTTTTGAAGTAGCATATTTTGATCCTTATGATAGTTCAATATACACATTAAGTCTACTCCAAAGATGGCCTGATTTCCTAATAATATCCCAGATATTGTAGCTCCTCTCTAATTCATGGAATTGGGTCAATTTGATTTCTGGGGAGCAGCATCCAAAGCCTACTGTAATACTACAGCCCCATTGTGATAGAAAAGTTCAGATAATAAGAAAGTGGATGATTGAGGTTGAGATTTTCATTTAATGGGGATTTTCATTTTTAATAGTGTTTTTGTTTAAGCATTTGGCCAATATAACAATTTCAAGGCTCAAATTCTCTTTCATTTGAATGTTAAATTGCTCTGTACTTTGTTTAAATATTACTGTTACTACTACTACCTCCACCACACACACCCTCCCACACACCCCCCCCACACACCTGCTGTTTACCACATTGATATTCTTATGCTGTTTACATACTATCTCATTTATCCTTATAATAAACTCTTGAGGTTGATATAGTATTATTATTACCATTTTGCAGAGGAAATTGAGGTATAGAATTATTTAGAAACTTAGAATTACGCAGCTAATAAGAGTATGCATCTATGTGTGAAGTCAGGATTCCTGGGTCTAAGTTCAGTTTTCTTCCCACTATACTGTTACTCCCCTGTTTGAAATCCATTAAATGTTTTCCTTTGTATAAAGAGCAAAATCAACCTCCTCATGAAGGCT
The DNA here is from genome assembly GCF_000001405.40 of Homo sapiens. Lineage (NCBI taxonomy): Eukaryota > Metazoa > Chordata > Mammalia > Primates > Hominidae > Homo > Homo sapiens. The sequence continues at coordinate 56,431,597 of NC_000002.12, forward strand.
TCACAAATTCTGTATCATCTGGCTTCTGACTTCATCTTGTATCACTTTCTCCCTGGCTCACCAAATTTCAGTCAGCTCCCTGTCATTTAAAAGAACAGTCTACATAAGTATTTTCTTTAGCTTCTGCTTTATATGAACATGGGTCCTTCTTACCCATAAGGAGGACATCATCTCCTTTGAGAAGAGATACCTGAATGCACCAGCTAATGCAGATCCCTCCTTTGGAATTCCAGCACTATTTGTTACTTTCATAGAATTAGGTGTGACTATAACTTGCTTACTGGTTCAATTACTTATATACGGCATTTTTCAATCCTCAAAATTTCGATGCGGTAGATGTTAATATGATTCTCAATTTGTAGATGAGGAGAAAAGGTGGAGGAGCTTAAGAACTTCGTCAATAATACATAGTAAGTAACAGAAATCAAATCTGAATGCTGATCTTTTTCATTATAGAGCTGAGAATCTTTGCCGTTGTGTTGCTGTCACAGCTTGCCAACTTTGGAGCATTTCTTTTTGAAAAATTTTTGTGAGTGCATAGTAGGCATATATATTTATGGGGTATATGAAATGTTTTGATATAGGCATACAATGCATAATAATCACATCAGGGTAAATGGGGTATAGATCACCGCAAGCATTTATCATTTCTTTGTGTTACAAACCATTTAGTTATATTTTTATTTTAAAATGTACAATAAATTAATGTTGTCTCTATTTACCCTGTTGCACTATCAAATACTAAATCTTATGCATTCTATCTAACTGTACTTTCATGCCCATTAGTCATCCCCACTCCCCTCCCCCACCCTCTACACTTACCAGCTTCTGGTTACCATCATTCTATCTGTATCTCTGTGAATTCAATTGTTTTAATTTTTAGCTTCCACAAGTAAGTGAGAACATGTGAAGTTTGTCTTTCTGTGCCAGGCTATTTCACTTAACATAATGGCTTCTGGTTCTACCCATATTGTTGCAAATGACGGGATCTCATTCTTTTTTTATGGCTGAATAGTTCTCCATTGTGTATATATACCACATTTTCTTTATCCATTTGTTTGTTCACGGACACTTAGATTGCTTCCAAATTTTGACTACTGTGCATAGTGCTGTAATAAACATGGGGATGCAGAGATCTCTTTGACATACTGATTTCCTTTCTTTTGGGTGTATGCTTAGCTGTGGGATTGCTTGATCATAAGGTAGCTCTATTTTTATAGTTTTCTGAGGAACCTCCAAACTGCTCTCCCTGGTAATTGTACTAATTGACATTCCCACCAACACTGTACATGTGTTCCCTTTTCTCCACATCCCTGCCAGCATTAGTTATTGGCTATTTTTGGATATAATCCATTTTAACTGGGGTGAGATAATATCTTACTGTAGTTTTGATTTGCATTTTTCTGATGATCAATAATGTTGAGCACCTTTTCATATGCCTGTTTGCCATTTGTGTGTCTTCTTTTTAGAAATGTCTATTTAGATCTTTTGTCAATTTTAAAATCAGATCATTAGATTTTTTTCTGTAGAGTTGTTTGAGATCTTTGTATATTCTGGTTATTAATTCCTTGTCAAATGGATAGTTTGCAAATATTTTCTCCTATTCGATGGGTTGTCTCTTTACTTTCTTGATTGTTTCCTTTGCTGTTCAGGAGCTGTTTAACTTGTTGTGATCTGATTTGTCCATTTTTGCTTTGGTTTCCTGTGCTTGTGGGATATTACCCAAGAAATCTTTGCCCAGACCAATGTGCTGGAGAGTTTACCCAATGTTTCCTTGTAGTAGTTTCATAGTTTCAGGTATTAGATTTCAGTCTTTAATCCATTTTGGTTTGATTTTTGTTTATGGCAAGAGATAGGGGTGTAGTTTTATCATACATAAGAATGTCCAGTTTTCCCAGCACAATTTATTGAAGAGACTGTCCTTTCACCAGTGCATGTTTTTGGCAACTTTGTCTAAAATGTGTTCACTGTAGGTGTTTGGATTTACTTCTGGGTTCTCTATTCTACTCCACTGGTATATGTTTCTGTTTCTATGCCAGTAACATGCTGTTTTGGTTAATATAGCTCTGTAGTATAATCTGCAGTCAGGTATCGTGATTCCTCTGGTTTTGTTCTTTTTGCTCAGGATACTTTTGGTTATTCTGGTCTTTGGTGGTTCTACATAAATTTTAGGATTTTTTTTTCTGTTTCTGTGAAGAATGCCATTGATATTTTCATAGAGATTGCATTGAATTTGTAGATTCCTTTGGGCAGTGTGGACACTTTAACAATATGATTCACAATTCTTCCAATCTGTGAACATGAAATATTTTTCAATTTGTTGGTATCCTTTTTAATTTCCTTTATCAGTGTTTTATAGTTTTCATTGTCAAGATCTTTCACTTCTTTGGTGAAGTTAATTCCTAGATATTTAACTTTACGTGTGGCTATTGTAAATGGGATTACTTTTTAATTTCTTTTTCACATTGTTTATTGTTGTCATACAGAAATGCTACTGATTTTTTATGCTGATTTTGTATCTTGCAACTTTACAGAATTGTTTATCAGTCTACATAGTTTTTTGGTGGTTTTTCCAAATATAAGATCATATCATCTGCAAACAGGAAAAATTTGACTTCTTCCTTTCCAATTTTGATGTCCTTTATTTGTTTCTCTTGTCTGATTGCTGTAGCTAGGACTTCCAGTACTATGTTGAATAACAGTGGTGTACATGGGTATTCTTGTTCCAGATCTTAGAGGAAAGGCTTTTAGTTTTTCCCCACTTAGTATGATACTAGCTGTGGGTCTGTAATATACGGCTCTTGTTGTGCTGAGGTACGTTGCTTCTCTACCCAGTTTTTTTAGTGTTTTTTTTTTATCATAAAGGTATGTTGAGTTTTATCAAATGCTTTTTCAGCATCAATTGAAATGATTTTATGGTTTTTGTTTTTCATTCTGTTGATATGATGTATCACATTGATTGATTTGTGTGTTTTTTATTTTATTTATTTATTTTTTAGTTTTTAGATGGAGTTTCACTCTTGTTGCTCAGGCTGGAGTGCAATGGTACAGTCTCAGCTCACTGCAACCTCCACCTCCCGGGTTCAAGTGATTCTCCTGCCTCAGCCTCCTGAGTATCTGGGATTACAGGTGCCTGCCACCACACTCGGCTAATTTTTGTATTTTTAGTAGAGGCAGGGATTCACCACGTCAGCCAGGCTGGTTTTGAACTCCTGGCCTCAGGTGATCCACCTGCCTCAGCCTCCCAAAGTGCTGGGATTACAGGTGTGAGCCACTGCACCGGGCAGATTTGTGTATGTTAAATCATCCTTCCATCCCTAGGATAAATTCTGCTTCATCTTATTGACTGACCTTTTTAATGTATTGTTGAATTCAGTTTGCTAATTTTTTTAAAAGAATTTTTGCATCAATGTTTATAGAGACACTGACTTGTAGTTTTTTTTTTTTAATGTGTCTTTATCTGGTTTTGGTATCGGGGTAATACTGACTTTGTAGAATGAATATGGAAGAATTCCCTCATTGTCTATTTTTTGGGATAGTTCAAGCAGGATTGGTATTAGTTCTTTAAGTGTTTGGTAGCATTCAGCAGTGAATTGCACTGGGTCCCAGGCTTTTCTTTGCTGGAAAACCTTCTATTACAGCTTTGATCTCATTACTTGTTATTGATCTGTTCAGGTTTTGGATTTCGTCATGGTTCAATCTTTTTTTTTTTTTTTTTTTTTTTTTTTTTGAGATGGGGTCTCGCTGTGTCACCCCAGGCTGGAGTGTAGTGGCACGATCTTGGCTCACTGCAAGCTCTGCCTTCTGGTTTCACGCCATTCTCCTGCCTCAGGCTCCTGAGTAGCTGGGACTACAGGTGCCCACCACCACGCCTGGCTAATTTTTTGTATTTTTGGCAGAGACGGGGTTTCACTGTGTTAGTCAGGATGGTCTAGATCTCCTGATCTTGTGATCCGCCCGTCTCGGCCTCCCAAAGTGCTGGGATTACAGGCATGAGCCACCATACCCAGCCTGAGCCACCGCACCCAGCCATCATGGTTCAATCTTGGTAGGTTATATGTGTGTAGGAATTTATCCATTTTTTTCTAGGTTTTCCAATTTTTTGGCATATAGTTGCTCATAGTAGCCTCTAATTATCCTTTGAATTTCTGTGATATCAGGTATAATGTCTTTTTTTACATCTCTGATTTTGTTTATTTGGGTCTTCTCACTTTTTTTCTCTTAGGTTGTCTGGCTAAAAGCTTGTTGGATTTTGTTTATATTTTCTTTTTATTGATATTTTCCATTGTTTTTTGTTTCAATTTTATTAGTTTTTGCTCTGATCTTTATTATTTCTTTCTTCTACTAATTTTGGGTATGATTTGCTCTTGCTTTTCTACTTCTTTGAGATGAATCATTAGGTTGTTTATTTGGGGCCTTTCTACTTTTTCTTTTTTTTCTTTATTATACTTTAAGTTTTAGGGTACATGTGCACATTGTGCAGGTTAGTTACATATGTATACATGTGCCATGCTGGTGCACTGCACCCACTAACTCGTCATCTAGCATTAGATATATCTCCCAATGCTATCCCTCCCCCCTCCCCCCACCCCACAACAGTCCCCAGAGTGTGATATTCCCCTTCCTGTGTCCATGTGATCTCATTGTTCAATTCCCACCTATGAGTGAGAATATGCAGTGTTTGGTTTTTTGTTCTTGCGATAGTTTACTGAGAATGATGATTTCCAGTTTCATCCATGTCCCTACAAAGGACATGAACTCATCATTTTTTATGGCTGCATAGTATTCCATGGTGTATATGTGCCACATTTTCTTAATCCAGTCTATTATTGTTGGACATTTAGGTTGGTTCCAAGTCTTTGCTATTGTGAATAGTGCTGCAATAAACATACGTGTGCATGTGTCTTTATAGCAGCATGATTTATAGTCCTTTGGGTATATACCCAGTAATGGGATGGCTGGGTCAAATGTTATTTCCAGTTCTAGATCCCTGAGGAATCGCCACACTGACTTCCACAATGGTTGAACTAGTTTACAGTCCCACCAACAGTGTAAAAGTGTTCCTATTTCTCCACATCCTCTCCAGCACCTGTTGTTTCCTGACTTTTTAATGATTGCCATTCTAACTGGTGTGAGATGGTATCTCATTGTGGTTTTGATTTGCATTTCTCTGATGGCCAGTGATGGTGAGCATTTTTTCCTGTGTTTTTTGGCTGCATAAATGTCTTCTTTTGAGAAGTGTCTGTTCATGTCCTTCACCCACTTTTTGATGGGGTTGTTTGCTTTTTCTTGTAAATTTGTTTGAGTTCATTGTAGATTCTGGATATTAGCTCTACTTTTTCAATGTAGGTGTTTATAGGTGTAAACTATCGTCTTAGTACTGCTTTCATTGTATCCCAAAGGCTGTGGTATGTTGTGTTTCCATTTTCATTGTTTCAAGAAATTTTAAGATTTCCTTCTTAGTTTCTTCATTGACCCACTGGTCATTCAGGATCATATTCTTTAATTTCCATGTGTTTGTATAGTTTCCAAAATTCCTCTTGTTATTGATCACTAATGTTATTCCATGTGGTCAGAGAAGGTACTTGAGATTAATGCAATTTTTAATGTTTAAAGACTTGTTTTGTGGTCTAACATATGTCTATCCTTGATAATGATCCATCTACTTAGGAGAATGTGCATTCTGCAGCCATTGGATGAAATGTTGTATAAAAGTCTATTAGTTCCATTTAGTCTACAATGCAGATGAAGTCTCATGTTTCTTTGTTGAATTTCTGTCTAGAAGATCTGTCCAGTCCTTAAAGTGGGGAGTTGAAGTCTCCAGCTATTATTGTCTTGGGGTCCATCTCTGTCTTTAGCTCTAATAATGTTTGCTTTATATAACTGTGTGCTCCAGTGTTGGGTGCAAATGTATTTACAATTGTTATATTCTTTTGATTAATTGATCCCTTTATCATTATATAATAACCTTATTTGTCTCTTTTTATACTTTTTCCTTGAACTCTATTTTGTGTGATGTAAGTATAGCTACTCCAGCTCTTTTCAGTTTCCATTTGGATGGAATATCTTTTTTCCATCCCTTTATTTTCAGTCCATGTGTGTCTTTGTAGGTGAAATGTGTTCTCGTAGACAACAGATGATTGGGTCTTTTTTTTTTTTTTAATCATTTCCATCACTCTATGTCTTTCAATTGGAGAGTTTAGTCCATTTACATATTCAATGTTATTATTAATAAGTAAGAACTTACTTCTACCACGTTATTTTTTTCTGGTTCTTTTGTGGTCTCCTCCTCCTTCTTTTCTTCCTTCCTGTCTTCCATTTAGTGAAGATGATTTTCTCCGGTGGTGTGTTTTAATTTATTGAATTTTAGTTTTGTATGTGTATCTGTTGTGTGTTTTTTTGATTTTAGGTTACCATGACAGTTGCAAGTAATTTTATATTTTATTATTTTAAGCTAATAACAAGTTAACACTTATTGCGTAGACAAACAAACAAGCAGGCAAAGATAAAGCAAACAAAACCTCTACACTTTAACTTCATGCCTTCACTTTTTAACATTTTATTGTTTCAATTTTATCTTATTATACCATATCATACTATATCTTGAAATGTTGTTGTACTTATTTTTGACAGGTCCATCTGTTAGTCTTTCTACTCAAGATATGAGTAGTTTACTTACCAAAATTATAATATTATAATATTCTGTGTTTTTCTGTCTACTTACTATTACCCATGAGTTTTGTACCTTCAGATGGATTTCTTATTGCTCATTAGTGTCCTTTTCCAGAACAGGCCTGGTGTTGAAGAAATTCTCAGCTTTCATTTGTTTGGGAAATATTTCTCCTTCATATTTGAAGGATATTTTTGCTGGATATACTATTCTAGGATAAAATTATTTTTTCCTATCAGCATTCTAATTTACACTAATAAGTCTGCTGCCAGATTATTGGACCTCCTTTGTATGTTATTTGTTTCTTTTCTATTGCTGCTTTTAGGATCCTTTCTTTATTCTTGCTGTTTGGGAATTTGATTGTTAAATGTCTTGAAGTAGTCTTATTTGGGTTCAATCGGTTTGGCATTTATAACCGTGTTGTACTTATATATTGCAATCTTTCTCTAGGTTTGGGAAGTTCTCTGTTATTATCCCTTCAAATAAACTTTTTACTCTGATGTCTCTCTCTACACCCTCTTTAAGCCCAATAACTCTTGGATTTGCTGTTTTCTAACTATTTGCTAGATCTTGTAGGTGTGCTTTATTTTTAAAAAATTCTTTTTTCTTTTGTATCCTCTGACTGTATATTTTCAAATAACCTGTTTTCAAGCTCACGAAATCCTTCTTCTGCTTGCTTAATTCTGCATTAAGATACTCTGGTGCATTCTTCAAGTATTAGTTCAGTCTTGCATTGCCGTAAAGAACTACCAGAGACTGGTTTGTTTCTAAAGAAAAGAGGTTTAATAGACTCAAAGTTCCACAGGCTGTACACAATGCGTGGCTGGAGAGGCCTCAGGAAACTTACAATCCTGGCTGAAGGTGAAGGAGAATTGGGCACAGCTTGTATGGCTAGAGAAGGAGGAAGAGGGTGAAGGGGGAGGTGCTAAACACTTTTAAACAATGAGATCTCATGAGAACTCACTCACTGTCACAAGAATAGCAAAAGGGAAATCCACCCCCATGATCCTATCACCTCCCACCAAGCCCCTCCTCTAACATTGGACATTACAATTCAACATGAGATTTGGGTGGGGACACAAATCCAAAGCATATCATTTCACTATGCTAATTGCATTTTTTAACTCCAGAATTTCTACTTGATTCTTTTAAATTATCTCTCTGTGTTAAATTTATCTGATAGAATTCGGAATTCCTTCTCTGTGTTATCCTGGATTTCACTGAACTTCATCAAAACAGCTATTTTGAATTATCTTTCTGAAAGTTCACATATCTCTGTCTCTCTAGGATTGGTAATTGGTGTCTTCTTTAGTTTGTTTGGTGAGTTCATGTTTTCCTGAATGATCTTGATACTTGTGGATGTTCATCTGTGTCTTGGCATTGAAAAGTTAAGTATTTATTGTAGTCTTCACCGTCAGGGCTTGTTTGTACTCATCTGTCTTGGGAAGGCTTTCCTGGTATTTGAAGGGACTTTGGTGTTACAATCTAAGTTTTTGGTCTCTGCAGCTATGTATGCGTTAGGGGGCACTCCAAACCTCGTAATGCTGTGGCTATTACAGATGCATTGAGGTACTGCCTTGGTGGTCCTGGATAAGATATAGAAGAATTATCTAGTTTAGCTGGCAGACCTGAAGTCAGCATAGCACTGGGTCTTGCCTAAGGCCTGTGATGGCCACTGTCTGGCTAGTACCTATCTTCAGTCAAGGCCCAAGGGTTCTATGATCAGCAGGTGGTGAATCCAGCCAGGCTTCTGTCTTTTCCTTCAGGATAACATGTTCCCTCTGGCCCAGGTAGGTCCATAGATATTATCTGGGAGCCAGGACCTAGAGTCAGGATCCTTAGGAATCTACCTGGTGCTCTATTCTACTGTGGCTGAGCTGGCACCCTTGCTGCAAGGCAAAGTCCTTCTCACTCTTTCTTCTCCTCTCCTCAAGCAGCAGTCTCTCCCCATGGTCACCAATGTCCCAGGCCTGTGGCCAGTACTGCCTTGCTACCAGCAGTGTTCACTCAAGGCACAAAGGCTCTTCAGTTAACTGAAATACTTTTAGGCATAGATCTCTCCCTACAGGGCAGTGGGCTCTCTTTTGGCTCAGGGAAAGTCCAGAAATGCTATCTCAGGGCCATGGCCTGGAATCAGGGACCCCAGGAGCCTACTTGTTGCTCTACTTCACTGTGACCTAGCTCGTACTCAAGCTGCAAGACAAAATCCCCTTTACTTTTCCCTCTCTTTTTCTCAAGCAGAAGAATTCTCTCCTCATAACCAACACAGCTAGGAATGTGCTGGGTCACATCTGAAGCCAGCACAGCTCTGAATCTCACCCAAGGCCTGTGGCAAGTAGTGCTTGTCTACCCCTGTTGATTATTCACGGCCCAAAGATTCTTTAGTAAGCAGCTGATGAATCCTGTCAGGACTATATCCTTTCCTTCAAGGCAGTGGGTGACCTTCTGGCCCAGAATATGTCTAGAAATGTCATACAGGAGCTGGAGCCTGGAATAGGGATTCTGCCTGGTGCCCTATTCTCCTGTGGTTGAACTGGTATCCAAGTGGCCAGACAAAGCCTTCTTTACTTCCTTCTTTGAACTTCCTCAAAACAGCTATTTTTAATTATCTCTCTGAAAGGTCACATATCTCTGTCTCTCTAGGATTGGTCATTGGTGTCTTATTTAGTTTGTTTGGTGAGGTCATATTTTCCTGAATGGTCTTGACGCTTGTGGATGTTCATCTGTGTCTTGGTCCCCACTTCTTTCCTCAAGTAGAAGGAAGGTGTCTCTCTTGGAGCTGCAAGCTCCGCTTCCTGGGGTTGGGGGAGTGGGTGACATAAGCATTCCCTTGGCTGCCCAGGCTGGAATCTCACTAGGTCTCATGCACCTCATTTCCACTGGCCCCGAGCTCAGCACAGTACCAGGACTTGCACAGGAATTGCAGTTCTTGTAGTCTAGACTACTACAGGAAACTACCTTTCACATTTATTTAGGACTGTAGCCCATGGTGCAGGCCTTGCTGGAACTCAGATTCTGATGGCTGGGATTGATTATTTACCTCTGGCTAGGGCTGGTCTAAATGCTTTCTCGGTAGGGGTTGGCTGAGTTCTGTCACATGTTGCTTTGTGCTGTGACAGGGCAGCACTGAATTCCAAAACAAAGTCCCACAATCACTGTGCTCTACCTCCCACAAACACATAGATTCTCCATGACACACAGCCACTGCCAGGGGATGGGAGAGGGGTGGTGCTGGCGATTCAAGGCTGTCTTTCCTACTCTGTTCTTTGCCTCCTTCTTTAATATGATGTTAAAACCCGGTACTATGATTGCTCACCTGATTTTTGGTTCTCATATAGGTGCCTTTTTGTGTGGATAATTTGGTGTTCCTGCCTGGGGGACGATCACTGGAGGCTTGCATTCAGTCATCTTGCTCTGCCTCTGTCTGGAAAATTTCTTTTTATTGGTAATATCGTTCTTTACTTTGATTTTTTTCTTTAGTTCCCCAGATCCTTGAATGTTTTCCTTCTATTATATATTATTTTTATTTTTATTTATTTATTTATTTTGAGACAGGGTCTCATTCTGTCGCCCAGGCTGGAATGCAGTGGTTCAGCCTTAACCTCCTGGGTGCAGGTGATCCTCTCACCTCAGCCTCCTGAGTAGCTGGGACTACAGGTACATGCCACCACACCTGGCTACTTTTTAAATTATTATTAGTAGGGATAGGGTCTTGCCATATTGCCCAGGCTGGTCTCAAACTCCTGGGCACAAGTGATCCTCCTGCTTTGGACTCCCAAAGTGATGGGATTACAGGGGTGAGCCATCATGCCTGTCTCCTATATTCTTAAAGATAATTGCTCCAAGAAAAATATATACCTGTAGATGTAGGTGGGTGGTGGTGATAAAAAAATTTGAGTTTTCGCAAGTAGCCGACTCAGAAGCTTAATCTTTTAATTTGAGCTTTCTTTTAAAGACCTCTGTCAGGAACAAATGTTGCTAGGAAGGATTGACCAAAACCATGGCATCGTATATATTATTCATTTGAAAGGCTTATAGATTCTAAATATGGAAGCAGGGCACTTTATTTATATCATTTCTTTATCTTTTATTTTTAATTGACATGTAATAATTGTACATATTTACAGGGTAAAGAGCAATGTTTAAATGCATACATACAATGCGTAGTGATCGAATTGAAGTAATTAGCATGTCCATTACCTCAAATATTGATCATTTATTTGTGCTAATTACATTCAAAATGCTCCTTTAGCTATGTGAAAATATATAGTAAATGTTGTTGACTATAATCACCCTACCATGCTATAAAACACTAGAACTTGTTCCTCCTATATAGCTGTAATTCTGTATTTATTAGCCAACCTCTCACTACTCCCTGACCTTCACGTACTATAGTAACCACAATTCTACTCTTTATTTCTATGGGTTCAACATTTTTAGTTCCTATTCATGAGTAAGAACATGTGGTGTTTATCTTTCTGTGCCTGACTCATTTTACTTAACATAATATCCTCCATGCTCATGAATATCATTGTGAATGACAGGATTTCATGCTTGTTTATGGCTGAATAGTATTCCACTGGGTGTACACCATATTTTCTTTATGCATTCAGTATCTATAATAGCCAAGGTATGGAATCAGTCTAAATTTCTATCAACAGATGAATGGATACTTATGTTATTTCTAATCCTTCCTCTGACTTTCGTGAGGTGGGTATTTCCATTTCCATTTCTCAGTTGAGATATCGGACTCAGAGAGGTTAAGCAGTGTGTTTAAAGTTGCACAGCTAGTAAGCATAAAAGCTAAGTTGTTTTCCCAGTTTTTGTCAGAATCCAAAGTTCATGTTCTTTCCAATATTGTTCTGTATTTTCCCTTGATTTCTGTGTGCCAAAGTTTTCTAAAAATTTAGAACCTAATAGTTATCTGTGAGAATGTAGTTTTATTATATATGTGTAAATATATATGTATACACACACACACACACACACACACACCCACATATATATATGTATATGTGGAGGGAGAGAGAGATTTTTTTTCACTTCATTTTCAGAAATATTTTGAAAGACAATTTATCCACATGTTTGTATTTTGTGTTTCTTTGTGTCAAATTACAAAGAAACAGAAGATACAAATGTGGATATTATCTTTCAAATTTGTGAAATTACAAATATTATAATCAATCAGATTGACAAACTTTTCTGTAAAGAGCCAGATAATAAATATTTCAGGCTTTTTGGGCTATATGGTTTCTGTCACTTCTCAACTTTGCTGTTTTCATACTTACTATATAAATAAATAGTTTACATATGGTTTCTGTCACTTCTCAACTCTCTGCTTCCATAGTTACTACATAAATAAATAAGACTTTCTGTGTTCCAATAAAACTTTATTGACATTAGAATTTGAATTTTATGTGAATTTTAATGCATTAGGCAATATTCTTTTTATTCATTTTTCAACTATTTAAAAAAGTAAAAATTATCTTAGCTCGTGAGCTGTACAAAAACAGGAACAGGGAGTGGGCCCAATTTGGTCTGTGTGTTATAGTTTCCTACCCCCAAGCTAGATCAATATTCTGTAGGTTCCAAGATTTTGGTTTTCTTAATTTTTATTAAAATTCCAAATGCTCTTAGAAGGATATGAAATCCTTAACTCACCAATTAAGTGGATTCTGAATTAAAGGCATAAGATTGTTCTTTAACGTAAACATTGCATCTGCTCTTCAGTTATAAAAGTGGACAAAGCATTAGGGAAAATATTTTAATAATTAAAATGCTATTATAGTACCTTTAGCAATGTCACTACTGCTTAGAAGAGTCAAATCAATGAATGTGTAACATTTAGATAATACCTTTCCCACAGAGTCCTTTTACTTTTTTCTTAACACCTTGAATATAAAATAAATGTCATTGAAGGTAAATTGAATAAAAAGTGATGTAGCTGCTAAAATGAAAAAGGTCCACAATGGAATCAGGTGGCATTGATGAGGTAAATTAGGTCTCATATGGACTTTGCTTTTCATTGGTAGCAAGAATTTGATACTTGAACTGTGTTTCTTTCCTTCAGATATCTTTTATCTACACAATGGTGAGCCTTTATCTGTAAAGAGATAGGTATTTTAATTTTTGGTGACTAAAGTCCTTGTTGTCACAAACTGAGGCTTAGTCAGTCTGGCTGTATGCAATGTACTGGAGCTCTAGCCTGGCTCAGGCTACTCAGCAGGTGCTGATTTGCTTGGCAGGTGTCCAGCAAGGGGCCAGGCTAGCAAAAGTGTTGTGCCTGGGAGAATGGAAGGAACTGTGAACTACTGCCTCCTTCCAGTCCAGGAAGTCCTGAAGTCTAGTCTGAGCCCTAGCAAAAGAACATTTTATTCCACATTTGTCCAGAACATGGCGTGATTCAAATCGCCTTGAGGCTTGAAGTAAAGACAGCACGTTTTGACACGTGGTGGGTCTTCCAACTTGGGGAGCACCAAGAGCCTGTGGGCAGAGCAGTGATTCCACAGAGGGCCTGGGCAGCAGTGACAGCTGCAGGGACAAATCTCCACCTTCTAGTAGCTGTGAGGACAGCAAATATCCAGGGAGACAGGAAGAGGAGAAAGATGGGAGTGGACTTCAGAATGAGCCCATGTTGGGATGCCTGAGTTTCTGAGAAGATATCATGTGAGACTACCACTGCTGAGTATGTACGGGTGACAAGCCAGATCCACTGGGTGTAAATGCCTGATGTCACTTCATTTAATCCCATAAGCTAGAATTGGGGATGGCAGTGTCAAAAGGCAGGCAAGGATGCACAAGTCAGGAGCCTAGCTTTTGAGCTGGGTAGTAGAAAATGTTCAAAACAGAATAAAACAAAACGAGACATTTAATGTTTAGCTATAAGATTCCCATTTAAGAGGACTGGCAATGTTGGACATGAACTTTTTAGAACTTAGTTTCTGCATTTCTGAAATGTAGACAATAATAGTATTTAACCTATAGGGAGGGTAAGTTGTAATTTAACTTTTAGGAGAGTTAAATTATATTATACCAATGAAGAGCTGAGCACAGTTCCTGGACATACAGGTTTTCAATAGAAGCTAATTATTATTGTTATTATTACTATTACTATTAATATTATTAACATTTTTAGTGAGATTTTTTTGCCTATGTTATTCAAACTGACTCTCAGAAGGTAGCTAGATCTGTCAAAACTGCGGTTCGATTACATTGTTTTCAGGCAATGTTAGCTGAAAGTCAGAAAAACATGGGGCCCAGGTGGGTGTCAAAACTCCTTATCGTAAAGGCAATTATATAGAATGAGACATTCTCAACCTCGTGTTCCAGCTGTGCACCAGATACGTTGTTTTCAGATCATGATCAAGTTTATAAGTATGAATGACTTGAATTCATGATATCTCTACCTTCTGAGTGCCTCAAATTACTATCTTTAATTATTCTAGTAAGTTACAAGCGGAGAAGAGGATTTAGGAGCAGCACAATTTTCTGAAGAGAGAAGTTGGACAGGGAAAACTAGTGAAGTAGGTAGGATTTCCATAAAATGGCATGGAAAAAAACTCCTATGTGGCTAGTCAGCCCAGTAGTTAGTAGGTCACTGCCACTTCCTTTTGGACACTGTAAATGTACCCATTGCCTTTGGCCAAATGCCCAGGAACAAACCTTCACAAGTCAGAATTTACATCTTCTTCTCTGTGCAGTGGGTTTTCTTCATTTCTGATTATATTGAGACTCCCAGGTTTACACCATTCTGGGCATTTATTTTTAAAAATTAATTTTTATTTTGATACTAATGTTCATTGTAGAAAACGTGCAAATTGCACAAAGCCCCCAAATATTCCATAATCTCAACTCCTAATATAGAAATAAAATTATCATTGTTACCTTTCTAATTTATTTTCCATATGAAACACTAATATTACACATGAATGTATTTTTCTTTGCAAAACTGTATCACGTGTGAATACATTTTTCTGCATGCTGCTTATTTTGCTTCTGTGAACCCGACCATTTCAATACCATTTAATATTCTTCTAGAGCATGATTTTTCATGACTATATTATATGAGCACACAATTTATATAACCAGTTCCCTATTGTCAGACATTTAGTTTCTTCCAAACTTTTCACTCTAATGACTAATGCTTAAGTGGAGACTCTTGCAGATAAACATTTGTGCACATTGTTGATTATTTTCCTATATTTCTAAAAATGAATGTTTAGGAATAAAGGGTATATATACATTTCAGGTTGTATTCCAAAAGTGTTTTATTAGAAGGTTGAGTCAACACACATTTTCTGTAGCATCACATAAGAGCATTTGCTTCCTCATACTTTTGTTAACACTGGTAGCTGTATATACATTTTATTTCATCACCAATTTTTCAGTCAGTGAATGGTATTTTATTGGTTATGTATTTTTACTTTGGTTACCCATGGGATAGTTTTTTGCATACAATTATCAGTCATTTGTATTTCTTTCTTTGGGTTTTGCTAGTCTGATTCCTTTGATTATTTTCCCATTGTTATATTAATAATTGGTCTAGATGAGCTTTATATGTGAGACTTATGAGCCACTGTTTGTCATCTATCTTATAAAAAATACATATATTTTATTTTTTGAAAATCATCGTTACATTTTACTTTTTCTTATGGTAGTTTCTAGCTGTATAGAAGCTTCAAAATATATATAGCAAAATATATCAGTCTTCATTTCTGAATTCCTCTGCTTTTAATCTTAAAAAGGCTTTTATCAACTTGATGTTTATAAACATCACATATGTTTAACTGTTATTTTATTAGATACATTATTCACTATTTATCTCTTACATCCATATATTTATTTTCTGAAGCTGAATTACCTCCTATTTTTATATAGGTAGATAGTGTTCGAGTCTTCTCCATCTTCAGTATCTTTCTTGTGCAGCTTATGTGCTGTCAGTGCTACAGGGATGTGCTGGTACTATACTATTTACCATATTCCAGAATTGTCACTATTTCCACTTATTTATCAAATTGACTGGCTTCTTTAAATTCCCGTAAAGTTGCAGTCTTGAAAATGTAATCCCACATCCTTTCTTCTGCATTTTTTCCTGCCTCAGAGCGTGTCTTGTGGAGTGGTTTTAATGATGTCTCTGGATCTGTCTTGTGGAGTTACAGAGTTGGTGGAGATTCTGGTCTTCTTGAGGGGCATCTGCTCTCTTGGGTATTCCAATCTGTCACCTTGACAGGCATGGGTATAGGTCTCAAAGTGTCCAATAGTCTCTCTCTTTTTTAAGAGTTTTTTTTTTTTTAAACTTAACAGGCAGTCAATGCTGCCTCGATATTAGCCTAAGCGTCTTTTATTCTTACATAATTATGGTCCAGAGTCACACTGTAAATTCCAAAGTCTTATTTACATGAGGACCCAAATCCATTTAGGGAGCACAGGAGAAGAATTTTGGCCTCTATACACTATTATGTTAGTTATGTTATAGACTCTATATACTATACACTAACATAATAGTGTATAGAGGCCAAAATTCTTCTCAATGTTTGGGTCCAGATACTTGTCTTAGGCACGATTTTTAAAATGCACTTCCTCCCTCAAGATTTTATGCCTTAATTCCTATGTCTGTGAATATGATATCACACCCATTCAAATACAATGTTACCAGAAGAAAAGGATTTGGGATATGTAATTAATGTTGCTAATTGTTTGATGGTAAAATAGGGAGATTATCCTGGATTATTGTTTGGGCATAATCTAATCACATAAACCCTTATAAAGCAGAATATTTTATTTGGCTAGCGTAGAAGAGGAAGTCAGAGATTTGAAGCACAAAGGAGATTCGATGTACCATTTCTGGCTTTGTAGGTGGAGGGGGCCATGTGCTTAGAAATGCAAGTGGCCCTGAGGAATGGAAAACATTCCTCAGGGTGTGACAGCAAGAAAGGAACTGGAGACCTCAACTTTACAACTCCAAGGAACAGAATTCGGCCAATAATCTAAATGAGTCTGGAAGTGGGTTATTCCCCCAAAGACTCTAGATAAAAGCCTAGCTTGTCTAACACCTTGATTTTAGGCCTGTGAGATGCTAAACTGAGAACCAAACCACACTGTACTTACACTTCTGACCTGTAGAAATTATGAGATAATAAATGGTGTTGTTTCAAACCACCAAGTTTGTGGCAATTTGTTATGGTAGTAATATAAGCTCCCATATAATACCTGCATTGGGACTCATATTCACAAGGGCATAGATGACATAACACAGTGGGTGGGGAGGGTGAACTGTGACTCAGAGTTTGTGCCAAAGAACTCTTTATAGTTGTGGAAATGGAGGCTCAGAGAGGTTAATTGACATGGAGTAAGTCACAGAGCTGACTAGTGTTGTAGCAGAGGCTGAAGGCCATTGCCCATCAGATAATGATTCACTGAGTGTTCTCACATGCTCTAGACTGAAGGCATATTCAGTTAGAGGCAACTCGAACAAATGAGCTGTGGGTCAGAGGAAATGTGGAAGGGAGTGTTATTTAGAGTCTGGTGTCAGTTTCCACGCGATTACTTCAGCTATGTCACTTGGGTCGCCATAAAACCATCCACTGATTTACTCTGGGCTCCTGGGCCTGCCTCATAAAGGCATCTTTGTAATTCTCACCAGAGACTATCCTCTGGAATGACAAATAACATCGATCATTAAAAATGACATCTGTAATTTTGCAGCCTGAGAAGATGATCTTTTAAAGCTGTCAGTGAAACAAAAGAGATTTTAGGAGATGCTGATGCAATCTCTTTAAAATTTTTGGAAATTCTAAAGCATAAAGATGAACTGTCTATTTTGAAATTGCAGGATGAATCGTGTGCTAAGGCATGCCCCACGCATGCCCACTGTGTCAGTGCAGGTGAAGTATGAGGCAACCAGAGTTCCTGCAGCTCAATCATTAACTTGCGGAACGACCTAAGAGCCAAAGGAGTTAATGGGCTTCATCCAGAGCTGGAGGAATGGAGCGAAGGCAGAGAGACAGGGAGAAAACACATTGTCTGTTGTAGGAAGAAACGGTGGGAAGCAAAGCCACAAAGGGAGGTGAGGGAGACACAGAAGTTCAGGAGACGCCAGCTCCACTTTGGGGCTGGTGATCATTTAAGCAATGAAACAAATTCTGCGTCACAAACTCTCAATTTTACTAAAGATAAAGTCCCCTTAATAAATAATATCGTCTCCCTCCCCCCTTCATTAAATTTTCCCCAACAGCAAAATTGCTGAATCGTCAGCATGTCAATCTCTACAGCTCTGTGAAAAATAGAGGAAGAAAAGAACAGAAATCAGATGTCCATTTTCCTAAAAAAGGAGAGGGAAGAAGAGAGGAATAAGCCTGGATCTTGTGTCCTTTTCTCACCAGAGGCAGGAAGCCAATTAGCTTAAATAAACAGAAGCTCAGAATACCAAGACTAATGAACAGACTTGCTTTCTCCAAGTGGAAAGCAGGAATTCTGCAAACAGCTGAAACTGCAGAAGGGATGGAGCTGAGGGCATGAAGGTCACCTGTCTGGGGTGGGGCAATGTTGCATCTGAGGGATATATCTCCACTTAAAGTCTCCATGTCTGAGTCAACATAAAGCTGAGCTGGAGTGCCAATGTAGTCTATGGCCTCAATATACCTATTTGCAGCAATTTTGCTTCTCCATGCCAATTCCAAATATGCTTTTTATTACATTGGTTATATTTTAGAGAAAACTAACTGCAACAGTTATTGTACAAGAGTCTGAGAAACTGATGACCTACATTGTTAGCTGTACTTAGTTCCTTGAGAGCTTTCTCTGTTTTATAACCTGATTTGATGTTTTCTTTCTGTTTTTTTTTTTTTTTTTTTTTTTTTTGTCTGCAGTGAATTGTCAGCTTGCTGCTGACCCCCAACAGTCACTGGGATTCCCAGGCTGGGGAGGTGTGTAGTCAACATGTCAGACTCTGCGGTGGAAGTCAGCACAAGGGGGTGGAATTATTTTCCTGTGCCATTGCTTGCTGACTTGGCATTTAGTGTAAATACCTCTTTCTTCCAAGATACCTCTTCCATAATTACCAAGGATGATTCTATTTTCAGGGCAATAGCTGAGAGGATGTAATTGGAAACCACAGAGGCAGATTATTTTCTTTCTTTAAGAGGCTTTTTGCTATTATCATATAATATTTTGCTCCCACTCACTCATACCAGGTGCTTCTCATGCTGAATTAGAAAATACACTGGTTCTGAGAATTTTTCTGCTCAGGTTATACTGGTTAAAATCTGTAAAAGTGATAAAACATGGTTAAACATAGTAGTATTAATGTTCCCTTCAGCTTGACTAAACTTTAGACAGATTTCTTCCTTACCATAGGCTCCTGACCTCCCTTTTCTTAGATCATTTACTTTAGAGAACTTGAATTTTTAAATCCTTTCTCTGCCCCTTTGAGATGTAAATCTTCAACCCAGAAATGTCTTTCTCAAGGAGTTGGAGCCACCTGTGTGAAGTGAAATGTCATCATCAAGAAAGATAGCACTTGTATCTCTCAATGTCTGGGATGGTAGAAGCCTAACTTCATTAAGCTCTAGTTAGCAAACAGTGATGACTTAATGACCTTGAATAAACTCCTTCCTAACTTCCTCCAGTAGTTTTCCAGTAGCTCACCCCAGTGCTTAAAAACTGAGCCCTTTGTTTTAATGGTGCTAATTTCCATCTCTCTCCCCTATTGCAACAGTCTTAAATAAAGTCTTCCTTGCCCATTTAACTTGGAGTTTAGCTGAGTTCTATACTTAGTCTCTCTCCCTTACTGATATAGCTCTAATAAAATATGTCTTGCTATTTTTAGCAAGTGTCAAGTGCAAACTCTCTTTAACACTGTACACCTGCAATGTCACATTTTCTTGCTGCACAATATAGAAAGGCTAGATATTATTTCTTAATTTATAAAGCGAGCCCTTTTCTAAGCCATCCAACTGCCATGAGTTAAGGACATTTATTTTCCAATAAAAATTATTTGCTCATAAAATACCTGTTGAGTTCCTTCTGTATATTACCCACTGGGAATGCAATGATAAGAAAAAATAAACAGAATTTCTATTATAATATGGTTCATTGCACATGAAGAAAACAAACATTAATTGAGAAATCACACAACCCACAATTAAATATAAAATCGTGAATGTGAAAAGTGCTGTGAAGGCAGAGTATATGGTTCTATAAGAGCATGTGACAACATGAAGATGACCTCGATGGGGAGGTCAGTGTTTCCTTGAGGGATTTAACTGAGTATGAAAGAAGAATGAGAGGGTTGGGTTATTCACAAAGAAGCAAAAGCATGTATATAGGACCCCTTTAAGAATTTTAAAAAGAAAATTTGAGGAGAGTCAGTGAGGCTGGAGTGAAGACTCTATATCCCTGTTGATATTATGGTTGATATTATGTAGTTTGGTCAGTAGTCAAATGCCCACCCTCCCCAGCTTCTTCCTTCTCACTGACATGCATGGTTTCTTGTGGTCTCTCTCTAGGCCCAGCCCTCCTCTATTTAATCATTTGTTGACCCAATGCTTTGGAGTCATCTCTTGTTCTCCATTCATCCCTGATCACTTAATATTTTTCATCCCTGATGATTTGATATTTTAGATGATGTGCTGGTTATACTCCATTTGACCTCTTGTCCCCTATACCCAAGTTCTGTTCTGTATCCTCATTCACCCTCTTCTGGGCCCCAGGAGGCCAACCTTCCAAGTCTGCATCATCAAGGCTCCCTTGGTTTTGGTTGGTTGAATTCAGCCAAAGGGAAGCCCCTATTGGAAGTGGACAGGCAAGAGAAGAGGGAGGTTGAGGTTGGGTGCTTGCTTTGGGCTGAATTTCTAGCAGTGGCTGTATCCCTTCATTATTACAGCTCCTATCAGGGAGATTCCAGTTCCAATAAGCCTCCATAGCACAATTTATGCATCTTGTTCTTACTTTGGCCGTCTCTGGTTGTCTCAACACCCTGTTTTTTAATGGTGCCTGTATGTCTATGAACATTTTTTTTTTTCGGTTTCTTGTGCCGTCTGAATTGGATTTGTTTCCTTCTGGGATCCTGACTGATACAGATGGTCTCACTAAAGTGATCTCCATCTAGGATAGTGACACAGTTCTCTCTTGCTCTGTCTTCAAAGTTGACAATTAACTCTTGGTCATTCACATTCGCAACCCTGGCTTTTGGGTACCTCAATCTAGCTTTTGTTCCCAAGCCTCAGCTAGCCCAAGAAAGAGTATTGGGTAGTGCAATGATGGTCTCTAGCATGGTGAGTCAGCTCCAAAGGCTTTGCTCTAGAAAAGATTGCTCCTAGTATCTTCATGCTCCTCTCAAAATGCCAGGATCCATTTGTTCCTGAGCCCAGGAATCGCCAGCTGTCCTGAGGATCAATTTTAGGGTTTTCATTATTTGGGAATATCTTGCTCCCCACAAATCCTAAAATTCTTAGTGGCTTGACAGTTAAATAATTCTGTTACATTTCATAATTTAAGATTGTCTTTCAGGATAGTGCCTCAGTTTGGGGTTATTTATAAACTTTCCATTCCCCTCTTGCCTGCAGGGGGATCAAACAGCTTACCAGTCTCAAGTTTTATTCCCAAGAACTCTTGTCTTCAGATAGTTGCCTAGAAAGCCTGTGCTAGATGAATTCAGGTGGAAGTGTTAAAAACTATGGTTCTCAACACACTTACATGTAACAGATGAGAATCTCTGATATGCAACAGAGGGAAAAAAATGCCCTAATTCCAAAAAACAATTTCTAATGTGCAAAATTGTCAGCGTTGTGGCAGGCTAGTAGAAGTAATAACAGAATGGAATGGAAGGGGTAAGAGTCTACACAAGAGGGCCTTGGTGAAGCAGATGAAATGTCTACCCTACTGGTTTGGAAATATGCTTTTTTGTTTTGTTTTGTTTTGAGACAGAGTCTCTCTCTGTCACCCAGACTGGAATGCAATGGCATGATACCAACACACTGCAACCTCCGCTTCCCGGGTTCCAGCGATTCTCCCGCCACAGCCTCCCAAGTAGCTGGGATTACAGGCACCTGCCATCATGCCTGGCTAATTTTTGTATTTTTGTAGAGATAAGGTTTCCCCATGTTGGCCAGACTGGTCTTGAACTCCTGGCCTCAGGTGATCCGCCTGCCTCGGCCTCCCAAAAGTGCTGAGATTATAAGTGTGAGCAACCACGCCCAGCCAGAAAGATGCTTTTTATTAGTAAATCAGAGAGAGACTAGGGAGTTTTAAACTTGTCCTAGATTATTTTTTCCCTAGAATTTCCCACCTCATAATCCTAGCTAAAAAAATAAAAGTGGGCTGGGCACAGTGGCTAACACCTGTAATCCCAGCTACCGGGGAGGCTGAGGCAGGAGAATCACTGGAACCGAGGAGGTGGAGGTTGAAGTGAGCCGAGATCTCACCACTGCACTCCAGCCTGGGTGACAGAGCAAGACTCGTCTCAATAAATAAATACATAAATAAATAAAAAAAAGTGGTAGAAAACTTTCATAGAAGACGAAGCTCTAATTTCTGTGAGTTGTGACGCTGCTGATATAATTCAAAATTTCATGTTTGATAATACAAAAATATGTGTAACAAATCAATGATATATACTTTTAATCCATGAACCCACCACCCATCTCAAGGATTAGAGCATTGCCAGCACTTTACAACTTTCCATTTGTTCCTCTCTCATCCCATCTCTGTTTCCTCATTAAAAGTAAGCACTGTCTTTTATGAACTGCAGCTTTGCCCTTAGGTACAGCCATCTTCTAGCACCTACTTCCTCCATAAACGGTCCCTTCTATAACATGTCTCTCCCTGTGATTCTGCTCTTCCTAATGAAAATAGAGGTGACAGAGATATAGGATCATAAAAATAGAGGTGATAGGGATATAGAATAGTGAAAATAGAGGTGACCCTCTTTATGAAATTGAAATGAGATTTCCTTTAAGAGTACTTTTTATCTGCTAATCCAATTAATCAATTTTTGATGTAACATTTGAAAAAGAAATTCCCTCTTTGGATTGTTTGGAAGGTTTTTGTCATCCGGTGTCATTTCACTTCCTTGGGAACAGCCTTGCTACTTCTGTGGTATATTGTACATAACTCAACTGATCCTACACAATTAGCCACTGATGTCTGCCCATCATGAGAGCAAAGGTAAAAGAAAAGGCAACATTAAAACATATGCTGAATTATATGCCATGTATAATAACTATTATCTAAGATATTTAAAAGACATTAAAAGGAAATCAAGTTTATAAGTCAAAGTGATTGTAGGAGGAGAGTACACTTATCTTCTACAATAGAATTTGTCTGGATTTGAGGATAAGAGGAAGGATGAGGAAGTTGTCTAACTGAACTATTAATCCAAGTGACTTTTTGAAATGTGAGATAGCTTCTATTCTTTCTGCCTTCTGCAGTTTCAAAGCAAAATAAGTTTAATAATTTCAGAGAAAAAACCAAACGTAGACAAGAAAAAAAAACATACCACTAAGCTTAACCCACAGGAGAATTAATGATGGAACAATATAATCCTATAATAATTTATTGTCAATTTGCTCTTTACTCATCAATGTTCTTTAAAAAAATGAGAATAGAAAAAGTTTAGAAGAAAAAAGTTTATCTACAGAGAAATTCTTTATAGAACTATATGTATTTCTGGTTTCTAAGGCTTGTGGCCAGATGTGATAATTTTTTTAAACCTCTATTTTTTCATAGCTTCACAGCTAATTGGTCAGTAAATCTATATATTTATCATCAGAGAGACACAGTAAATGATTAACTCAGAAAAGGTATGTATTCTAGTGCCATATTGTGGATTGATTCTGTGAAAAGGAACAGTGTATTCTCCTCTCCTGTCACACACACAATACTCTTATCCACGTACACACTCACTGCTCCATTTTTCTGCCTTGAAAATGAGGACAATGCTAGCTTGACTCCTGAGGATTGTATCAGGGTTAAATAAATAATTGAGTGATTGGAGACAAAGGGCTATGAAAGTATGAAAGTGTGATATTAAACTGTAAAGCCATGCAGGCTGTGAAGGCAATAGAGAATTTAAGTGCTGAATGAAATACTGTTATAAAAACTGAAACCCATTAGTTCATAAGAATGCTCTTGAGAGTCCAGGAGAACCCAAGGGTCTTTGGGTTGTGATGTGAGATTCCTTTTTCCAGTGTAATCATATTTCAAGAAGCAGCACTAATATTTATAAAGAGAAATTGCTCTGTTTTTGAAGAGATAAAATTTCAGGGGATGAAGATGAAGTTCTTTTTATGGGTGCAGAGTGCAGACTTGCCAAAAAAAAAAAAAAAAAAAAAGAAGAAAAACAGCAGCTACAACTAGTTGGCATATGGTAGAAACAAGAGAAATGTACTCAAGGGTATCCTTTAGCTTAGGAGGTGTCAGAGATAAGAGGCCAGAATTGGGAGACCCTCAGGAGTTTCCCAGTAGTGGGCAGTTTGCACTCACATACGTGTTGTGGAAAGGCCACACCCTGGATTGTAACTCCCTGAAGATGATGCTGTCCTTGCCATAGAAATGCACCAAATATTGGCATGGCATGCCTACACAGGCTCTGGAAAGAGGTGTGTCCAATTCACATTGCCTGATGTTCCATAATTTTGAGACACCCTAGACTGTAGCCTAGTTCACAGGTGTGGCATGGGGATGCAAAGAGTTGTTACAATCACCCAGCTCCCACCATGTTGTGCTCTGACACTTCTGTTTGCTGCTCTCCAAAGGGAGAATGTACAACATGACCGATTTTATCCTTGTCAAACCTGTGCCCTCCCTGGCACGAAAGGCAAAGAATAAAAATTTCAGTTACTTTAAGGAGGGGAAATGTCTTGAGGTTTTCTGAACTCAATTAAGTTCACTTACCAAACTGCTTTGATTTTGTCAGTTTTGAAAATGGTGATAAAGTTTTGCTGCATACTTCATGCTTGATCTTAATCAATACAATTTTGTACATTCTTTTGCTCTGATGCATCAGAATATAAGACAGGAAATCATTGAAAATTTTTCCATAGCTACTTTGTGCTAAAAAAAATCAATGATTTTGCCTCTGTGGGGAGGAAGAATGGAACTTGCAGGGAAGGCATAATGATTCTAGAATTACTTCCCACCATAAGTAAGCTACCAAGGATGGTGTGTTTTTTATAATTTTTTTTTTTGAGGAACAAAATTCTCTTCACTTTGGCAAAGTGATTTTATAAAAAATAATATGAATAACAACAGAATATTTCTTTGTCAGCCAGCCCTGCCACTATTGTTGAAAGTGCTAGGCAGAGTGTCCTAACTTCACATTTGGGGATTAGATCAAACCTGTGTTTATAGTTTGAAACTCTTAATAGAGCCATCTTTTCTTGGGAAACTCTTTGAACTAGACAGACCAAGCTTCAGAATGGTGCCATGTCCTCTGCACCTTTCTGATGGGATTCTCACATAGCCTGCTGAGAGAGGCACCCAACAAGCGCTTATTTGCAAAATCATTCTATAAAGTAATTCCTGAATCATGAGGGCACACCACATTTGCAGTAGGATAATTACTAGTTTTCCCTAATCTTTTCTAAGATGACATTAGAACTCTGCTTTCTTTTTTTTTTTTCCATTAAAAAAAAAGGACAAAACTATAAAGCATGTCTCAAAAGCCCAAGTGGCAGTTTGGCACTTGCCCAAGTTTGGCAGTTGAGCCCAAGTGGTTCTCAAATCAGAGTGCCTGACACTCCTTCCTGATTGCATGACCTATTAGTTGTGACTTTGGGCAAGTCACCTTTGGCCCACCCTTCCCTTATTCCAGCTATGTTTTCACAGGACTATAACCCAGAACAGAACGCACTGGGATATCACTTCTGAGCCTGGTAAATCCTCACAGTGACTCTCAAACCATGTCTTCAGTAGCCACATTTCCCAAAGCCACTGAGTAGGACCTTTTAGTTGGTCTGCTTAGAGAGAACACCAATAAGTTTTCTCCAGAGGGCTTGGTCCTTTTCCTTCAAGCATAACATCTACAACAAACCCCGATCTCTTCATTGGTCTAGAGCAAACATTAACTTCTTTGCTGTGAAGGGAGTTGAATTACAGAAAACATGTATTTTGAGTTTCCTACAATCAGTTTATGATCATTCCCTCACATATCCTCGATATAAGCAATTTCTTTTATTTTTTACACGTTGGAAACTCACATGGCATTGTTTTTCTTTGAATTTAAACTTTTACAATCTTTTCCTCACAAGAGCCACATAACAATGATATTAATAACAATGAAAATAGCTAAGTTTATTGGACAAATAATGTTTAAGGGCCTCTGCAAAATGCTTTTACCATAAAGAATTTTAATTAGTCCTCTCAACAATCCTATTAGGAAGATATGATCATTTCAGTTATACAAGCAAAGAAACTGAAAATCCAAGAAATAGAAGTTCTTCATGACAATTTTTACCACTAGCAATTCTGTCTAATGAAGTTTTTCAACTTCAAGATATAGGACTCTGAAACACTTCTATAGGCTCATCTCACCTGACGGCCAAGATTCAGTGATATTCAGATGGCCTCTCAACTAGTTTCTGTGGGTAACATTGTTCCCATTAAAGTGGGGAACTAGATGTCTTCTGCTTACACATTTTCTCCTAGGCTGTCAGAACGATTAATGCTCCATTTATAGCAAAGATAGAGTAAAAACTTGGATTCAGCTTTAAATTTGGAAACTCCAAACAGGGCTGCTAGAACTTTTCCTAAAAATGGAAGAAACTTGGCAACTACAAAATTAAATTTGTCCAGTCCTAGAAATAGCACATTAGTTATGAATGTGGTTATCTATTAAGGCCCATAGATTAAATGAAAGCCTTCCATCCTCACCTCTCTCCACACACACACACACACACACACACACACACACACACACACACACCCCACGCACACAATTCATCTTTCTAGCCATCAGCTAGTAGTTAAATTGTGTATGTGTGCATGTTACAACTGCTATGATTGCCAGCGTCGGTTTAGGCTGAGGCAACTCTGTCATACTCCCTGCCTTTGCAGTAGCTGATGCCTCCTACCCTTTTTGTATACTAGTGAGGAAGGAAAAGCTTTGAGATTGTCATGGGGGAAGCTCAATTTCACTTGTACCTTTGGTCCTGTATTTATTCAGCCTCATCTGTGAAATGTTAAAAGTACCTGGAGGGGCTGGGTACAGTGGCTCACGCCTGTAATCCCAGCACTTTGGGAGCCCGAGCTGGGTGGATCACCTGAGGTCAGCAGTTCGAGACCAGCCTGACCAACATGGTGAAATCCCATCTCTGTTAAAAATACAAAAATTAGCCATATGTGGTGGCACACATCTGTAGTGCCAGCTACTTCAGAGGCTAAGGCGCAAGAATTGCTTTAACCCAGGAGGCAGAGGTTGCAGTGAGCCAAGATTGTGCCACTGCATTCCAGTCTGGGCAACAGAATGAGACTCTGTCTCAAAAAAAAAAGTACCAAGAGAAACTTTCCTAGTATTGGGGGAAGATGAGTGAGCAATGGTACTTTCTCTTCTTTTCCCTCTGCCAATGACTTCTGAGGCTTGTATTCCTTTCTGTTTTCAAAACAATGACTGTGGCATGGAGTGGGGGAATATCAACCAAACCATACCAATCATTACATTCTTTCCCTCTAAAATAGTTTTATCACCTCAGAGTAATCTGTTCTGTATGAGTTTGGCTCTCAACTAGCCATGTGTCCCTGGATAAATCGCTGAACCTCTTTAAATGCCCCAGGCTCCCTTTTACAATACAAAGTGCATCAGACTTGACCTCAGAGGAGCCAAGTTCTTGTCCCAGCCCTACCCCTTACTATCTCCCTGGCATTGGACAAATCACTTTACTTCTTTGATGCCTTCTTTTCTTATGAGGAATAAGAATCACTAGTTTCCAGAGTTTTATTGTTTTTATGAAGATTAAATGAAGAGGACACACACACAGGTATATATAAACATACAATGTAAAGCTATATAATAAACATCTACATGTTTGTATGTAATGTTTATGTAACATATATGTTTACATAATAAACACGTGTGTTCATTGTATACATATTTCTATGTGTTTGTGTTTATATATGATGCTTTTTGTGCACTGTAGATTTCCATGTAGGTATAAGAGATTGCTGTCACATTTGTTGCTTGCAGACTTAGTGATGTCTATCTGAGAAGGCACAATGAGCTCTGCTGTCTGCTCCCACCCACTTTTTTGTTACAGCATTGTACTAAATAAATCTGGCAAAGATGGATGGAGCACCAAATTCCCTGGCTGCCCATTAAGTCAACGTCCACCAAATTTTATTCCTTTCTCAGCCATTTCTCTTCTCATGGGACTTTTGTAAGACAGAGGCATTAATATGACATAGATGGTTGTAAAAATGGCCCTCCTAGACCTCATAAAGGAGCCCATGCTGGGATCCCTATCCACACTTGGTGCCCAAGCTTAGGTCAGGATTTCTGTGTTTAACTTGTACCCAGAAATGGATTTTTACAAACAGAAATGAGAAGTCTTCAAAGTAACTTTCTTGAAAGTAACAACATACTGTTAGAATAAATAGAAAGAAAATAGAGGTAAAATTAAATAGAAGCTTAAGTAAAAAGACTCTTTTTTTTGTTTTTGTTTGTTTGTTTGTTTTTTGTTTTTTTTTTACTTCCATTAGGACTTTTTAGTTAAGCAACACAGACTTTAAACAGCATTTGATTTTGAAGAAACCTCATGGAACTTCTCATCTCCATCCTTTTCTCTCCCTGCCTTTTGTTTTCTTCCCACCTCTCTCTCTCTCCCTCTCCCAGCTACTGATGGACTTGCTTTTTTAGGAAGGCCTATTGAGTATTGTGGGGAAGCTTGACAACTTTGCCAGGGCAGACTGATTCCACATTTTATTTCTGGCCAGTGTCTCCAACTTGGCGATTTACACACACACACACACACACACACACACACACACACACACAATACTCCATGGATCACAAATTAAGAAATGTTGGTTTGCATCATCTTCCTAGGAGGGTCAAACCATCTTACCATCAGGCCAGGGCCAAACAACCAGAATCATTGTTTGTTACAGAGAAATGTGAGGCAGAATTCTGGCATAGGGTCAGATTGAAGGTAGAAAAGGGCTGTCAGATACAGCACCTCATCAGGGTATAACCTGACCAATTACAGGTTTGAAAGGAAGACACCAGGACAGGAATCAGTGCCTTCAGTGGTGCCATCTCAGACCAAAAAGACACATCTGGTACAAGGGCAGAGCTAACTCTAACACAAGCTTCTGGGGTATGAGGTGCCTGAACTTCTCCATTGGCTGGCTTGTTTTATGGGAATGTGAAGGATTACCTGCTGGCCACACTTGCTTCTGAGTGATATACAAGAGCAACATGACACACACTAATAGTAAACACAACCTGTTCAGATTTCATGTGGCAATCTCTGTCACCCTTTGCACCCCAGCACAAACTTTGTAAAATTATATTGATCTGTGTCTGGAACTGTATTGCCTCCGTTTTAACCTGTAAGAGCAATATGATTATTTGATAATATGACTTGAATGTTTCAGAGAGATATCAGTAAGGCTACTGGCAGCCAAGCAACCTAACCCCACAAAAACAGTCAACCTGCAAATACACAAACACACTCCATAATGGTTCATGTTCAAAGAGCTGGGCCAGGGCACAATTCACATGTATGAATAATATTTGGCCACCAACTGAATGGCCCCAGGTGGGTAGCATCACTCTTGCCATTGCCACTATACTCTCCAGTAGCTGAGATCGCTGAGTTACTGCTGTGACCCAGTAGCCCAGGGGATTCCCACATGAAATACCTCCTGACAGAATCTCTCAACTTACGAGGATCTCCATTGATAAGGAAGAACACAGAGGAGCAATTCAAGGTATGAGCTCAACTCAGCCTGACGAGTTTTGTTTCTGTCTTTGGTGTTTGGTAGAAAATACTATTCATTTAAAGAGATCTATCAATGGCCTACAAGTAAAGCATATATTGCCCAATTGCCACTATCTTTATGGGCCTGCTATATTAATGAAGAGTATTTGTACTATATAAAGAGAATGTGAACTTTACTGTTCCACATCTGTGGGCTTGTGCTTATGATGAAGATACATTGATGATTTGTGATCTGCAGGGCTTAAGATCAAGTGGTTGATATGACATGTGGTTGATATGTTTGGCTGTGTATGAAAACACTCATGTATACAGATGGACACAGAGTTGTGCTAGGATTATAAGAGAGCCTGTCTACGGGTTTAGGCTGCTAACAATGAGTGTGCGCCCTTAACATATCTTAGAAAATCTATGTATATATATATATATTTTTCCTTTGGATCCAATTTTATATGTTGGAAACAGACTTATGAAGCTCAATGGGTGTACCTAAAATTAAAGGCAATAGAAAGTAGCAGAGCTAGGATTTGGAACTAGGTCTATGTGACTCTGAAGTTCACGTTCTTTCTCCCACTTCACACTGGATTGCATTAGACTGGATGCTATTTTTTTTA
Organism: Homo sapiens; assembly: GCF_000001405.40. Taxonomy (NCBI): domain Eukaryota; kingdom Metazoa; phylum Chordata; class Mammalia; order Primates; family Hominidae; genus Homo; species Homo sapiens. Next base: position 56,461,812 of record NC_000002.12, read on the forward strand.
ATCTGTTTGCAGTCAAACTGTGATAATTTGAGGTCAACAGGCAGTAACTATATGTCCTTTTCTTACCCTTTAGAAGCTCTGGTGAATGGGATGAACTGTCGGAAGAACACCAAGAGTAGGCCCGGGAAGCTGGGCCTGGCAGTGAGCCACTGGCCTGTTTCTCTTTTGGTGGGAATCTACTAATTTTTGTTCAGGACACTCTAATTTTTCTGGACTATGTCTTTACGTAAAACACTAATTACTCTAAAGTGCTTGCTTCTAGCCATGTGTGATATAAGGATAAGAGATACCATTAACTACGGCCCATAATCCAGGGGAGACAAAGAACTTCAGAGGCAAGGGCTCATCCTGGAGCTTTGACCTCAACACATGGCACTGGGCAGGTGGCAGGGCTCCCAGCCTCCGCCTCTTTACACCTTGTCTTAGTCTGTTCAGGCTGCTCTAACAGAATTCCATAAATTGGGTAGCTTTTAAACCAGCAGCCCCCAACCTTTTTGGCACTAGGGACTGGTTTCCTGGAAGACCATTTTCCCATGCAAGGAGGGTGGGGATCAGTGGGGGATGGTTTTGGGATGAAACTGTTCTACTTCAGATCATCAGGAATTAAATTATCATAAGGAGTGTGCAACCGAGATCCCTTGCATGCACAGTTTGCAATAGGGCTTATACTCTTGTGAGAATCTAATGCCACTGCTGATCTAACAAGAGGAGGAGCTCAGGTGGTAATGCTCATTATGGAGGCTAGGAAATCCAAGATCAAGGTGCTGGCAGATTTGGTATCTCATGAAGGCTGCTCTCTATTTCATAGATGGGATATTTTAGTGTATCCTCATGCAGTGGAAGTTTGAGATAGATCTCTGAGGCATGTTTTATAAGGGCACTAATTGTACTTATGAGGGCTCCACCTTTATGACCTAATCACTTCCCAAAGGCCCCCTCCTCCTAATATCATTATCTTGGGGCTTAGGATTTCAACATACGAATTTTGGGAGAACACAAACCATAGCATTCTACTCCCAAAAGGCCTGAGAACCAGAAACTCTGATATCCAAGGGTTGAAGAAGATATCTGTCCTAGTTCAGGAAGAAAAATTGCCCTTCTTACATCTTTCTGGCTTTTTCAGGCCCTCAATGGATTGGATGACGCCCACCCACTTTGGTGACGGAATATCTTCTACATTCGTTCCACTAATTCAAATGCTACTTGTTTTGGAAACACTCTCGCAAACATACTGAGAAATAATGTTTTATCAGCTCTCTGGGCATCCTTTAGGCCGGTCAAGTTGACACAGAATATTAATAATCACTCACCTCTAACAGAGATGAAACGAGTATAAACTATTTCAAAGACTCAGCTCTTCAGACCTATAGTCATACACTTTTATTATCTGTTGATTTTCTTGGGGAAAGGATTCATGCAAGTACAAGAGAAGAGGAGGCATAGATTAGAGTTTAAAAATCATACACCCAGAACATCATTTGAAGAAAGGCTCTGTTTAATTCCAAAGTTGATGCTGAGACATTTGCCTTTAAGTTGATTGGAGATAATGAACTGAAAACAAAAACCAGTTTGGATTTTGGACTAAAGGAAAAAGAAACAAAAATTATATTGTAAAATTGTTACCTTTAAAATTTCAAATTTGTCCAGTGATTTGTCTATGACTTTTCTCTTAAGAGAGAGATGTGCTTTGGGCATTGACTCTTACGGTTTATGATAAAATGTTCACTGGATATTCTCATTCACGGAGCAGGAAACTGACTATGTCTTTCTGTGTTACCATTTTGAGAGAAACTTCTCAAGAGGGAGACAAGATGGCTGACTAGAAGCATCCAGGAAGCAACACCGCCAAGAGACACCAAAATATCAAGGAAACCAACATATTTCAAACAGATCTTTAGAGAGAAAACACCACGAGTTGAGAAGAGGTGATGCAGATGCCAAAGCTGAAGAAGGAGGAAGCCTGGAACCCTGCATGGGGTTGCTGAGTGCCGGAACTAGTTCCTGGCCCTGAACTGCTTCTAGGAAAGGGGTGTGTGAAGTGATGGCAGGGCAGGCCACTCTCGCTGTGGACCTCTGGGATTCTAGCTATAAGAGATCCAACGACCCTCTCAGGCATTTGAATTGGCAGGGAGATCTGTCTAGAGATTAGGAAAAGACAGAGCTCCACCCTGTGTGAAACCCAGGTGGTTTTGCGTGTGGGGCAGCTGCAATGGAAGATGGCCATAGGCATCATTCCCCAAGGTTCCCCATCTTCCTCTGAGTAGCTCTAATCCCAGCTGACCACTGGGCCAAAAGAGAGCAGGGCCATCTTTCCCATGGGATTGGACTCCATCTGTTCTGCAGACTCCCTTGCCTGCCGTCTCCTCCCATGGTCCCTGCCTGGCTGCTACTACAGGAGCATATGCATAGTACAACCTCTGCTGCCCAGCCTGAGTGCTACCCTGGTGGCCTGGGGGCATTTTGGATCCCCTAGCGTAGCCAGTGCCTGACCCCAAGAGGCCATAGGCTAGAGCCACAGGCCAGGTTCCTGTGCCCCACAGTTGCAGTGCACAGCCTGGGAGTGCCCAACTGAGATCCGTGGCCCATACTTGAGTAGGGGAGAAGCCCCCACCCTTAAAACACTGAGAAGGGTGAGACCATCAGGTTCATGGGTTGGCATGGGAATGACTTGTGCTTCCCTCTGCAAGGCTAGTCCAGGAAGGGTATGTACTGTCTGTCCACCATGACCTCTGCCCAAGCAAAACCCATGGCCGAGAACACTTAACAAAGGAAATGCAGGCACAGCGTCAGTGATCAGAGGGGGCTACCCTGAGGCCTGAAAGTGTACTTGGTGAGGGGTTTATCTCTGTCCCCTCCCTACACCATAGAGCACTGCCGGAAACACTTTGAAATACAAAAGAGCTGCCCAACTAAGTAACAGCCTATCTGCCAGCCAGTACTTTTAAGTATCATCTACTGGGTTGCAGCCCAAATTACACAACACCAAATATATTCTGTCAGTATGCATTGCTGATGAAATCCAGTGCAAGAATCTAGTTACAAATGAAAATCCTGTACAGAGGTATGGCCCTCTGAAAGTATCCAGAAGGAAGTCAATTGACTATACTCAACTTACAGCACAGTTAAATCCATAGGAAATAAAGAATATAAACCCAAAAGCCTCATCCGACTGATAGCAATTCCCAAAATACAAGCAAACACCAATCCATTCAACAGTGACTAATCCAACTTGTACTAAAGCAAATAATAATAATCCATAATATTAAAGGGCAAACCTGATCCCTTATATTGATCTCTCTAATTCATTTCATTGCTTCAACTAATCTCCTTGGGCTCCTACTCCATTCATTTACACCAACTACCCAACTATCAATAAATCTCCCCCTCAGATGTAAAAGAATCAGTGCAAGAACTCTGGCAATTCAAAAACTCAGAGCGTTCCCTTACCTCCAAACAAGTGCAACGGCTCTCCAACAGTGGTTCTTAACCATATTGAAATGACTGAAATGACAGACATAGAATTCAGAATTTGGATAGCAAGGAAGCTCATCAAGATTCAGGAGAAAGTTGAAACCCAATCCAGGAATCCAAAGAATCCAATAAAAGCATCCAAGAGTTAAAAGACAAAATAACCACTTTAGAGAAGAACCAAACTGAACTTCTGGAATTGAACAATTCACCATACAATTTTCATAATACAATCAGAAACATTAACAACAAAATAGACCAAGCTGAGAAAAGAATCCCAGAGCTTGAAGACTAGTTCTTCAACCCAGTCAGACAAAAATAGAGAAAGATTAAAAAATGAACAAAACATCCATGAAATAAGGGATTATGTAGAGACCAAACCTATGACTCACTGGCATTCTTGAGAGAGAAAGAAAGAGAGTAAGCAACCTAGAAAATATATTTGAGGATATAGTCCATGGAAATTTCCCTAATCTTGCTAGAGGGGTTGGCATGCAAGTTCAAGAAATACAGATAACCCTTACATGATACTAAACAAGATGACCATTCAAAAGCCACATAGTCATCAGATTCACCAAGATCAATGTGAAAGAAAAAATATCTTAATGGTAGCTGGAGGGAAGGGTCAAGTAACTTAAAAAGGGATCCCTATCACCCTAGCAGCAGACGTCTCAGCAGAAACCTTACAAGGCAGAAGAGATTGGGGACCTATTTTCAGTGTATTTAAAGAAAAAATATTCCAACCAAGAATTTCACATACCATCAAACTAAGCTTCATAAGCATAGGAGAAATAAAATTCTTTTCAGACAAGCAAATGCTAAGGAAATGTATTGCCATTAGACCAGCCTTACAAGGGGGTCTTAAGGGGGTGCTAAACATGGAAATGAGAGAAGGATATCTGCTACTACAAAAACAGAGTTAAGCCCACAAACACTATAAAACAACTAACCAAGTCTACAAAAAAACCAGCTAACATGATGACAGGATCAAAATCTCACATATCAATACTATCATTCAATGTAAACGGTCTAAATACCCCACTGAAAAACACAGACTGGCAAGATGGATATAAAGACAAGACACAGCTGCTGTCTTCAAGAGACTTAGAGCACATGTAACAACACCCACAGGCTCAAAGTAAAGGGATGGAGAAAGACCTATCATGCAAATGGAAAAGAAAAAAGACCAGAAGTTGTTATTCTTATATAAGATAAAAGAGACTTTAAACCAACAAGCAAGAAAGGCAAAGAAAGGAATTATATAATGAGAAAAAGTTCAATTTAACAAGAAGACACAACTAACCTAAATACATACACTCCCATGAATGGAGCTCTTGGAGTCATAAAACAAGTTTTTCTTGACCTATGAAAAGACTTAGATGGTGGCACAATAATAGTGGGAGGCTTCAACACCCTACTGACGGTGTAAGACAGATTATGAAGGCAGAAAACTAATGAAGAAATTCTGTACTTCAACTAAACATTTGACCAATTGGACCTAATAGATATCTAAGAATACTTCACCTAACCACCATGGAATATATATTCTTCTCACCTGCACACAGAACATATTCTAAGATCAACTATATGCTAAGTCATAAAGCAAGTCTCAATTTTAAAAAATCAAAAAATATTAAGCACTCTCTTGGACCACAGTGGAATAAACACAGAAATCAATACCAAGAACATCTGTCAAAATTATACAAGTACATGGAAATGAAACAACTTACTCCTAAATGACTCTTGGGTAGACAATGAAATTATGACACAAATTAAAAAAATCTTTGAAATTAATGAAAATGAAACACAATATACCAAAATCTTTGAGATGCAGCTAAAGCAGGGTGAGAAGGGAAGTTTATAGTGATAAACACATACATCAACATGTTACAAAGGTCTCAAATTCACAGTCTAACATCATACCTAGTAGAACTAGAAACCAAAGAACAAATCAACCCCCAAACTAGCAGAAGAAAAGAAACGACTAAAGTCAGAGAAGAACAGAGCAAAATTAAGTTGCAAAATTCTGTACAAAAGATAATGAAACCAACAGCTGTTTCTTTTAAAGAGTAAACAAAATTGATAGACTACTAGCTAGATTAACGAAGAAAAAAAGAGAGAATATCCAAATAGGCACAATCAGAGATGACATTACTACTGATCTCCCAGAAATAAAAAGAAACTGAAAGACTATTATGACTATTTCTATGCACACAAATTAGAAAATCTAGAGGAAATGGATAAATTCCTGGAAACACACATCCTCTCAAGATTGAACTAGGAAGAAAGTGAAAACATGAAAAGACCAATAATGAATTTTGAAATTGAATCAGTAATAAAGGAAAACTACCAATCATAAAAAGCTCTAGACCAGATGGTTTCACAGCCAAATTCTACCAGATGTAAAAAGAAGAACTGTTACCAATCCTACTGAAAATATTCCCAGAAATTGAGGATAAGAGTCTCTTCCCTAACTCATTCTATAAATCCAGTATCATCTTGTTACCAAAATCTGGCAAAGACACAATAAAAAGAGAAAATTCATGCCAATATCCCAGATGAAAATAGATGCAAAAATCCTGAACAAAATACTAGTAAACCAAATCCAGCAGTATATCAAAAAGTTAATTCATCATGATCAAATAGGCTTCATTCCATGGATACAAGATGAGTTCCAAACATGCAAATCAATAAATGTGATTCATCACATAAACAGAATTAAAAACTAAAACCATATGATCATCTCAAAAATGCAGGGAAGGTTTTCAACAAAATCCAACATCCCTTTTGATAAAAACTCTCAATAAAGTAGGCATTGAAGGAATATACCTCACAATAATTAGAGCCATCTATCACAAACCCATAGCCAACATCATGTTGAATGGGCAAAAGCGGGAACAATTCCCTTTGAGAACTGGAAGAAGACAATGATCCCTACTCTCACCACTACTATTAAACGTCATAATGGAAATCCTAGTGAGAACAATCAGGCAAGAGGAAGAATGAAAAAAAATCCAAATGTGAAAAGAAGAAGTCAAACTATCTCTCTTTACCAATGATATGATTATATACCTAGAAAACTCTAAAGACTCTGCCAAAAGGCTCCTAGAACTGATAAACAACTTCAGTAAAGTTTCAGGATACAAAATCAATGTACAAAAATGAGTAGCATTTCTATACACAAACAAAATCCAAGTGAGAGCCAAATCAAGAATACAATCCCATTTACAATAGCCACAGACACACACAAAAAAGTACCTAGGAATACGTCTAGCCAAGGAGGTGAAAGACATGTATAACAACTATAAAACACTGCTGGAAGACATCAGAGACAGCAAAAAGAAATGGAAAAACATCCCATGCTTATGGATTGGAAGAATCAATGTTAAAATGTTCATACTGCCCAAAGCAATTTACAGATTCAATGCTATTCCTATCAAACTACCAATGTCATTTTTCACATAATTAGACAAAAAATTCTAAATTTAAAAAATTCTAAATTTAACATGGAACCAAAAGAGAGCCCCATAGCCAAAACAATCCTAAGCAGAAAGAACAAAGCTGGAGGCATCACATAACCCAACTTCAAACTGTACTACAAGGCTACAATAACACAAACAGCAGGGTACTCATACAAAAACAGGAACATAACCAATGAAACAGAATAGAAATCCCAGAAATAAAGCGGTATGCCTACAACCACTTAATTTTTGACAGACTCAACTAAAATAAGTAATGGGGAAAAGACAGTGCTGGGATAACTGGCTATCCATATGGAGAAGAATGAAACTGGACCCCTACCCATGACTGTATACCAAAATTAACTCAAGATGGTTGAAAGACTTAAATGTAAGTCTTCAAAACATAAAAATCCTGGGAGAAGACCTAAAAAATACCCATCTCAATTTTGGCCTCGGTAAATAATTTATGGGTAAGTCCTCAAAAGCGATTGCAACAAAACAAAAATTGATTAAGTGGGACCCAATTAAACCAAAGTGCTTCTGCACAGCAAGAGAAACTGTCAACAGAGTAAACAACCTACAATATAGAAGGAAGTATTCACAAACTATGCATCCAACAAAGGTCTAATATCCAGAATCTGTAAGAAACTTAAACAAATCAACAAACAAAAAACATCATTAAAACTGGGCAAATAACATGAAAAGACATGTCTCAAAAGAAGACATATACACGCCAACAAAGATGACTAATTTGATACATAATGCACTAAGAAAGTAATTAAGGGGGTGGAGGGGACAGGAGAGATAGTGTGGGTTTCAAATGCCATGCAAAGGAGCAGTGGAGAGAAGTGTGCAGAGACCACTTCAACATCTGAAGGATGTGCTACTCACAGACATGGGGACACACTAGTGTCCTCTGGGCGCTGTGGAGAAAATTGTTACCAGTTTATGTCATATATTGATTTAGCATATATGATTTTAAAATAACCTGAACTTAAAACTATATCAGTATGATAAATCATAATGAATGGGGAGTAATTTCCTTAGTGATGGCCTGAATGGAGCAACTGGAATCAGCTGGGAAAGATAGAGAACTATCAGTGCTCCTACCATTGAAAAAGCAAATAGAATCAATGTGATGAGGTTGCTCCATAAGGCAGAGAATGATTATAATAAAAGACTAGAAGGAGAAAAAAGAGAAAGGGGAGGAAATGACGAGGAGAAGAAAGAGGAAGCAGAGAGACATAGATGATTTTTGAAAGAGTTAAATAAAGTGTGGTAGAATTTTGTAAAATACCACAGTGAACAATAATGTGGCAATTAAATACTGTGATTTTGTTCATCAACTTAGAATGTATACGCATAGTGAAGGATAGAAAAGGAGTCATAGGTTTGTTAAGACTTAAGCTGTTACACACTTTTAATTCAAGGCAGTGCATATTTATTGAATAGTTACTCTGTGGGGAACCCTTTAGGTACTATGCGGGTGACAAAAAGTAGATTGCAATCTAGGATTTAGAAAGACTATTTGTTGCTTTTTAAAAATTTTATGTTATGTGATTTGTTAATTTGAGTTTAAAATAATTACTTGTTTTCTTTTTGTGTATAAAACATATTCATATAAATCACTTGATGTATATTTTTCAGTGTTGATCTTACTTGGTTTCTCAGTAGGAATACAAATTGATCACTCCCTCTTTATTAAAATACTCTCTCCTCTTGCCTTCCATTGTGCAAAAAATACTTGGTTTTCCTTTTTGTTCTATATCTCCTTTGACAGTTTATTCTTTTCTTTCTCTCCAGTAAATGTTGTTTTTCCATGTTCATTCTGAGGTCTTCTTCCCACTTTCTGTAAATGATCTCATTCAATCTTGTGGACTCAATGACCAACTGAAAAAAAAAGGATTAAATGCATTTTGATCTCCAATTTAGACCTTTTTCTACTGAGCTACTTGTAACTGAAGTTACAAGTAAGAAGTTAACTAACTTCCGTACTTGCATGTCTCAGCAAGGGCACTTCTGATTAAAAATATCCCAAAGTAAAGTCACGAGAGCCCATCTTCTCATCCCTTATCTCCTCAAAACAAACAAACAAACAGACAAAAAAGCAAAACAAAAGCAAAGTCACATACACAAACAATAATTCTCCCTTCAAAAAACTCTACAAAATTTAGTCCTCTTCTAATCTAATCTCTCCTGCTTCAGTGAATGGTACCACCATCCTTTAGGTTATGGAATCCAGAAATATGGAAATTACACATAACATTACCTTATTCCTTATCCACCTCTTACCCAGGTCCAACTTTTAATCAACTACTTTGACATTTATCTCCTAAACATCACTTGATATCCTCTTCACTTCCAGGACCATCATACTAATTTAACTCACTATCTTATCCCACCTATTCTAAGACTTTAGCCTCTTAACTATTCTACCATTTCACACTGGCCCCTTTTCCATCTCCAATCTTTCTCCATTCTCTAGCCTGAGAACTCTTTTCAAAATGTAAATCTAATCCCATCTTATCTCTACTTAATACCTGTCACTGGCTTCCCAGTGCTTTTAGAATGAAGATCAAAATCTTCAACATGGCTGGCAAGGTCTTGCATGGCCTGGCCCTTGCTTTGCTCTCCATCTTGATCTCCTTCCAGTCTGCCCTGCATCCACTGCTGGATTTCTCCAGGAAACACAAATGAACTCATGACAAATTAATTCATTCTCACATCAAGGCCTTTGCAATCATTGTTTCCTCAGCATGAAATGCTCTCCCCTCAGAGCTTTGATGATTAACTCCTTTCGCTATCCAGGCCTCAGGTGAAATATTACCTGTTCAGAGAGGCCATGACCTGCCACCCATGACCTGCCACTCATGACCTGCCACCATATTACTCTATTGCTCTGATTCTTTTTTGTTTCCAATATTTTTATTTCATCAAAATTTATGAATAATATAATCAAGATTATAGCTGATGAGTCATTAAATTATTTTGATATTATGTGATTTCTTTTATACAATTTTTATTGATGTTCTTACCACAAATAAATGATAAATGCATGAGGTGGTACATGTGATACATACCTTGCTTTGATCATTATTGCTGTGACTTTTGTAGCCCTAAACCAGCATTATTAGCAGTACTAGGGAACTTGCTAAAAATGAAAATACTCAGGCCCCACCCTAGACCTATTGAATCAAGAACTCTGAATTAAAACAATCTCTGCTTTAATCAGTGCTTCAGGTGATGATGACACATGCTCAATTTGAGAATTGCTGCTTTGTTGTGTCTTCTTCAATGTACTCATCAGGACTTTATTTTATATATTTTGGGGAGGAGAATGCATACTCTTTTTCTATCCCCAAAGGAAGGTGAACTCACTGAGCACAGGGACACTCTTCGTCTACTTTACTGCTGTTTCCTGGGCCTAGAGCACTGCCTAGCACATCATAGGCAGTGAATAAATATTTGACTGCCTGCTAGGTGGAATACTTTTTATTCTAATGGAGCCATATATTTCTTGTTTTTACTAAAAATATTATAATTTTGAAATTCTCCATATGATTATCTAATTAATGCTTTTCCTCCTCTAAACTGTAATTTTCATTAATGCAGGGATTGTATCAGTCTTGTTTACCAGAAATATGGAAGGGCTTGATACTTAGTAGGTATTAAAATATTAGTTGAACAAAACATCTATAAGTGAGTATTCATTTAATTAATAAATATTTATTGAATGTCCATTGTACACTAGACACTTTTCTTTCTGGATGCAAGCATATATAATGTTGAACAAGACAGGCAGAACATTCTTTTCTTCATAGAGATTAAATTTTATTGTGCAAATATGTATGCATGTATGCAAATATTCATATAAAATGCAAGTTTCACATGTTTATAGAAGCACCACTTTCTTTCTTTCTTTTTTTTTGAGACAGAGTCTCGCTCTGTTGCCCAGGCTGGAGTGCAATGGCAGCATCTCGGCTCACTGCAACCTCTGCCTCCCGGGTTCAAGCGATTCTCCTCCCTCAGCCTTCCAAGTAGCTCGGATTACAGGTGCCTTCCACCACGCCCAGCTAACTTTTATATTTTTGGTAGAGACGGGGTTTTACAATGTTGGCCAGGCTGGTCTCGAACTCCTGACCTCAGGTGATCCACCCACCTTGGCCTCCCAAAATGCTGGAATTATAGGCATGAGCCATTGTGCCCGGCCTAGAAGCACCACTTTCAATGCAACTTCAGTCAATTTGAAATATTCTGGGTGAACTGCAACCACATTTTAGGACATCTCCCAGGAAGGCTGTAAGAATCTGGCTAATGAAAGCTGCAGAATAGAAGCTGTTTTCAGATAGGGGCCAATCATGGTCCAGATTGCATGGCTACCCTATTGGATATATCTCCCAATTGTGCAGACAGGACTTTATTTGAGATGGACAAAAGACTCCTCTGAGGAGCTGTTGATCTTTAGACTCTTGAATCTCATGCTTTAAAGCATCACCAAGTATTACAAATGATACAATACTCATGCTCACACAAATACATGCAAATATTTATTAAGAAATTGTTATGTGTCAGGCTCTGGCATAAGTACTTTACATACATTGTCTGATTTAATCATCAAATAACTCTCTGAAGGAGAGTATTGTTATTAGCACAACTTTATATCATGGCAGACTGATGTGCTGAAATGTTACATGATTGCCCAAGATCGCACAGTTTACAAATCAGAAAGTAAGGACTGACTCCAGGAGTGACTTTAGAGCTTATACTCTTCCATTTACTGTTTTTGCAGACATTGTAGGGATTTCTTTCTTAAGAATCTAAATATGTGAGTCAGAGTATTTAGACATACTTGACTTATATCACTGGGGGCTGAGCTAATCATGCTAGGTCCTCAATACAGATCTACAGGCAGCCAGGACAGCACTAAGATGTCCTGGCTTTCTTTTAGTAACTTCATGCTTTTGCATCAAAAAAGAGCCAAGAGAGTGCATAGGGAACTCCATGCTGTGAGGCTGGAGTTGGAGTCAGGATCCTTTAGCCCTTGAGTAGTGCCAGGGATTTATATTAGCCTTTGCTAGAATACCACATACTTTAAGGAGGCTTATTTTAGTCAGAAATACAATGTTGCAAGGATATCCCAGTTCTCCCAACTTTAGGTGGCTTAATATCTTCTATGCAGTTTAAAAATTGTTCTTTAAAGAGTCTCACATAATCTGGTTAAAAGCTGAGTGAAGAGAAGCTTGGATCAGGTTGTTATGCTGGAATTGATCACTCAAGTTGATCCTCAATTTGAAGACCCATTATGGAATTATAAAGCATACTGTAGGTCATGACAGAGATCTTTGGGCCTCTCAGTGACACTTTTAGCCTTTTCCTTCGATCATCGTTGGGGCATTTCACTACCTCTTTCCTTCACAGCTACCCAGACCTAGGAGGTATTTCAGGGAAATTGGAGATGCATGCATGCTTAAAAAAATGGGCTTGTCCACTTGGCTCATGTCTGAAACTCCTCCAACTTCAAGGGAGAAGATGAAGTAGGAGGAGAAGAGGTCTTAGGGATGAGGGGAACTTGGAACGAGGACATTAGAGATGCTGGGAGCACAGGATTGCAGCATATTAACAATCTGGCTCACTTGCAGTTTTGTGCCATTGACAATTTATCCCTCAGATAGTGAACTGTATATTGATTTTTAAGTGGAGCTCTGTTTTAATAGCCATAGGAGAAAAGTCTCTGAAGAAAATAAATATTACCATGCCTTTTGTAGGTGTCAGAGAAGCTTATCTCAGTGACTTGTTTAGAGTGGAAATAAAGGTGCTTTCATTTTTATCAGAGTGAATTTTTATAAACCTAGTTAGTCACTTGCCTTGTGTTGACCTCAGCACCTAGCAATGATTCAAGTGAGTTGATTTCCCTCTCAACTCCTTCTTTTGTTACCTCTCCAAATAATGGGGGTGATATGAGAATAAATAAATAGCACTATAGGGAAAAATGCTATAAGCAGCTCTCACCTGTCAAACTTAAGATACGACTATATGCCACTAAGTCCATGCCACTTATTTAATCACTTTTAATAGGTATCTGAGCACATTGTAATGGCTTATCTGTGCCAATGGTGTAACTCGAGAGAATGAGTTAAAAATAGCACATGGGCAATTATGCAACCTTCACTGGACTGTGCATATTATCCTCAAATTGCCCTGACAGCATGCTGTCCTGGAACGATTCCAGAGAAGTCATTTCTTTGCACTCTCTGCCATCAGAACATCCCAGGGAAGTGTGATTTCAGGTTCTGGTAACATGATACTGCTACCGTTATACAAGGCTCAGAGCTAGTGGGACTAGAGATAAGGTAATCAAAAACAAATACAAAATGTACTTAATTCATTAAAAAGGTGAATCTTTCTAGAACATGCAGGGCTTTACTTTTACACTACTCAACTTTAAGGGAAAAGATACTAAAAACACTTACATCCATGTTATAGATGAATAATTGTGTCAAATGATTCGAATATTATGTTTCCAATTTCATAAATTCAGAGAAGGTCTTAAGCCTGGAGTAGAATGAACTCTGATATTCACTCCAATTTTTCAGACCAAGGAGCTAGAGGCCACAAATAGCTCCAAATTCTCTCTGGCTCAGTGAGCTGCTTGCATTTAATAAATGTTCAGTATTAAAAGCATCCAAATGTGTGCTGATCCGAAACAAACCCAACATGCCTGTTTCTAATCTTTACCTTTTGCTTCCCACAGTGACTTGAGTGATTTTTGCTTTCTTGGCTTTCTGTCTCAGACAAAGCTGGCACTGACCAAAAGCTCATCAGAACTGGTCAGAGCACAAGAAACTCTCCCAATTTTCCTCATTTTCTCAATCTGTGAAATGAGACACACATTTGAGTATAGGATTTTAACCACTGAAAGTCTGAAATGTCTAACTATCCCTTTTTTCTCTACCCTTAAAAATTCATGAGTGACTTTATGCCTCATCTATCTATAATGCATACATTTGAAGTTAATCCATTGATTCCTAAACACCTTTATTAAGGTACAATTTGCATACTGAAATATTCACCCTTTTTAAGTGTACAATTGAATGATTTCTTAGAGAGTTGTGCAATCATCCCCAGAATCTTAGAATAATTTTGTTGCTCCAAAAATATCTTCCATGCCTATTTGAATCATCTTGGCATCTTTCTAGAAAATCAGTTGAATATAAATGTAAGCATTAATTTCTGGACTCCCAATTTCATTTCTTTGATCTATATGTCTGTCCTCAAGTCAGTGCCACATTATCTTGATTCCAATAGCTTTGTAGCAGATGTTGAATTCAGGATGTGTGAATTCTTAAATTTCTTCATTTTCAAGATTGTTTTGGTTATTCTGGGTTCCTTGCAATTAGACATGAATATTAGGATTAGCTTGTCAATTTTTACAAAAAAAGAAAAAAAAAGCAGCTGAGATTTTGACTGGGATTGCATTTAACTATTTGGGGGAGTATTGTCATGTTAACATTGTCTTCCGATCTATGAACATTGGATGTTTTCCCATTTATTTAGGTCTTCAAATTCTTTCTATGATATTTTGTACTTTTCAGTGTACAAACATTATTCTTTTTTTATTAAATGTATTTCTAAATATTTTATTCTTTTTGAAGTTATTGTAAATGTAATTGATTTATAATATAATTATTAGATTGTTGCTAGTATATGGAAATACAGTTGTGTTTGTACATTGATTGCGTACCCTATAAACTTGCTCAACCAATTTATTAATTATAATTGTTGGAGAAGGTAGCTAGGCAGATATGAGCAGGGCAGGAGAAGCCCACCCCCACCAACCAGGAATTTCAGGTGGCCATCAGGTGATCGTTAGGTGCTTGTTAAACTGACTCACTAAAAAAAAATTGTTTGCAGCTGGCACCAGGGGAAGCACGCTTCCAATAATAGAAAACACCTGAAGCTGGTGATGGCTGCTTCCTGATAAGATTTCAGGAATTGGGCAAGCAGGCTTGAGCATGCACACCGAGAAGCAAAATGGCAGAGTTTAACTGGTATATGACCTTCCTCTGGAAACACTTGACTGGTAAGGGAAAAATGCCTCAAATGAACATGTGCACAACTTCAGTAGACACCTGCGCATGTGGCCCCTCCCTAGTTTTGGCAAGCCACTGTGCATGTAGACAGCCTGCCTAAGGAAAAATCAAGGGAGAAGAAATGCAGTGTATAAAAACCTTAAGTCAAGGGCCAAACAGCACACTTGGCTCGATCTCGAGTTACTCGCTTGGCCCCTTTCCAAGTGTACTTTACTTCTTTTCGTTCCTGTTCTAAAACTTTTTAATAGACTTTCACTCCTGCTCTAAAACTCACCTTGGTCTCTCACCCTGCCTTATGCCCCTCAGCATAATTCTTTCTTCTGAGGAGGCAAGAATCGAGTTGCTGCAGGCCTGGATAGATTTTTAAACAGCTAACGTAATGTTTTGTGGACTTCTTTTAATTTTCTATGTAGAAGATCATGTCATCTACAAAAAAGATAATTTCACTTCTTCCTTTCCAATTTTATGTATTATTCTGACCCAATTTCCCTGAGTATGACTTACAGTATAATGTTAGATAGAAATGGCAAGAGAGTGAACAGATTTGTCTTGTTCTTGATTATAAGGAGAAAGCTTTGTCTTTCACCATTAAGCATGGTGCTAGCTGTAGGTATTTTATAGATGTTCTTTACCAGGTTAAGGAAGTTTCCTTCTGTTTTTTTAAATGGTTTTCTTTTTAAATGAAGGTGTGTTGGGTTTTAACAAGGATTTTCCTGCATTTATGGAGATTATATGGTTTTTGTGTTTTATTCTATTGGTATGTTGTGTTACATAGATTGATGTTTTGATTTTGAATCAATCTTATATTCTTGGGATAAATCCCTCTTGGTTATGGTGGATATTCCTTTCTATATGTTTCTAAATTTAATTTACTAGTAATTTGCTGAAAAGTTTTGCTTTTATTTTCATAATGGTTATTAGTTTGTGGTTTTCTTTTATTTTAATGTCTTTTGTTTTGGTAATTCTGTCCTCATATGATGAGTTGAAAATTGTTCCTTCCTTTTCTATTTTTTGGAAGAGTTTATGAAGTATCTGTTTTAATTCCTCTTTATGTATTTGCAAGGGTTCACCAGTGAAACATTATGGGCCTGAGATTTTCATTGTGGTAAAGTTTTAAATTACAAATTTAACCTCTTAATTTGTTATTGGTCTATTCAGATTTTCTTTTTTATCCTGAGTTAATTTTGGTAGTTTCTGTTATTTCAGAAATTTGTCTATTTCATCTAAGTTATCAAATTTCTTGTTGTACAGTTTATAGTACTCCTTTTTAATCCTTTTTATTTCCATGAGATCAAAAATGACATCTTTCTTTCACTTCTGACTTTAGTAATATGCATTCTCTCTCTCTCTTATTAGTCAGTTTAGGTAAAGGTTTTTCAATTTTGCTGACCTTTTCAAAGATCTAACTTTTTGTTTCATTGATTTTTCTGTATTGTTTTTCTATTCTCTGTTTTATTTATTTGTTTGTTATTTCCTTTTTTTCTATTGCTTTGGGTTTAGTTGGTTCTTCTTTTTCAAGTTACTTAAGGTGGAAGTTTAGATTATTAATTGAAGTCTTTCTTCTTTTTGTAATACAGTATTGGTGTTTATAGCCATAAATTTCTCTCTGAGAATTGCTTTTGCTGCATTTCATAAGTTTGGTATATTGTGTTTCATTTTAATTCATTTCGAAACTTAACTAATTTCCCTTGTGATTTTTTTTCTGTGATCCATTAGTTATTTAGGCATTTGTTATTTTATTTCTATGTAATTTTGAATTTCACATCTTTTCTTGTTATTGATTTATAACTTTATTCTGTTGTTGTCAAATAACATAGTTTGTGTAATTGCAATTCTTTTAAATTTATGGAGATTTGCTTTATGGCCTAGCATATGATCAGTCTTGGAGAATGTTCCATGTGTGCTTAAGAAACATAAATTTTATGGCTTTTGGGTGGATGTCTACTATGTCTAGTTGCTTTAAAGAGCTGTTGAAGTTCTATATTTCCTTGCTGATCTTCTGAATAGTTGCTCTATCCATTATTGAAAGTAAGGTCTCCTATTATGATTGTTGAAACTTATATATTTTTTTTACATTCTGTTCAGGTTTGCTTCATGTATCTGAGGCTCTGTTGTTAGGTGTATATATGTTTATGATTGTTATGTCTTCCTGATGGATTGATCCTTTTTTATTATGACATTTTTTATTAACATTTTTTTAAAACTCTAATTTGTCTGATATTAGCATAGCTATTCCTGCTCTCTTTTGGTTGCTATTCACATGGCATATCTTTCCCATCATTTTGCTTTCAATTTACTTGTATTTTTGAATCTAAAATACGTTTGCTGTGGACAATACATGGTTGAATTTTAAAAAAATTATGTCTAATAATTTGTTGTTTTGATAGGATTAATTCTTTCAAATTTAATGTTATTGTTATGGTTTTATTTATGTCTGCCATTTTTGTTTTTGCTGTCTATATGTTTGTCATTTTAGTTTCTTTATTCTTTACTATCTTCTTTTGCATTAGCTGTATATTTTCTAGTGTAACATTTCAATTCCTTTAATGATATTTTAACCATGGTAGGCAAAATAATGATCCACAAATGATGCCCATGTCTGAATGCCCAGAACCTGTGAATATATTACCTAGCATGGCAAAAGGGGCTTTGCATGTGTGATTAAGAATTTTGAGATGGGGAGACTACCCTGTCTTATCTGAGTCACTCCAATGTAATCACAAGGCTAATTATAAGGGAAAGAGGGAGGCAGGAAAGTAAAAAAAAAAAAAAAAACATACTGCGAGTGAGATGTTAGAATGATGCATTTGCTGGCTTGAAAGGGGAGTGTAGTCTCTGAAAGCTAGAAAAGGCAAGAAAACAGATCTTCCTGCTAGAGCCTCCAAGGGGAACACAATTCTGTTTACTTCTTGATTTTACCCATTGAAACCTCTTCAGATTTATGACCTCCAAAACTGTAAGATCATAAATTTGTCTTGTTTTAAGCAATTAAGTTTGTGGCAATTTCTTAAAGCATCAATGAGAAACTAATATTGACATTTTTTGAGTTATTTTCTTAGTGCTTATTCTAGGACTTTCAATATACATCTTATCAGAATTAACTTCAGGTTTATACTACTCAATTCAAGTGAGATACAAAAGATTTTCTTCTGTATATCTCATTCCCTCTCATTCTTTTCTGCATGTTATTACTATTTTGCATATTATGTTTATGTATGCTAGAAACCCAACCCTACATTATTATGCTTATTATTTTATATAATTTTATTTTTAAAAGCTGGAAGAAGAATGAAGAGTGAATTAGTCTGTTCTTGCACTGCTATAGGGTGGCTCACGCCTGTAGTCCTAGCACTTTGGGAGGTCGAGGCTGGTGGATCACGAGGTCAGGAAATTGAGACCATCCTGGCTAACATGGTGTAACTCCGTCTCTACTAAAGATACAAAAAACTAGCTGGGCATGGTGGCGGGTGCCTCCACTAATTGCTATATGATTATTATTTTTGACAATACCCTTGGGCACTGCACGCAGTTTGATCCAATGTAAGTCTGGCTGTTTGTCAGGGGAAGAGTGTTGCCAATTTTTAAGGCTTGCTCTGACTCTTCCCTGGGCAGAACAACTAAACTATGGAGCACCAGCTGGGGTGGGGTGGTGGTGGAGATAAGAAACTTATTCTTTATTGCTTTCCCACCAGCATCCCCCCTATAAAGCAGGAACTGTGTCTATGTGTATATATGAGGAGGCAAGGGGACTGGTGCTGCCACCCAACTACTGCCACTGCCCAATATGGATCTTCAGTAGCTCAGACCTAAAAAGGATGGGTTCCACCAATATTCACTGATTGCCAAATCTACCTGGAATGGGTCTTCCAGCTGAGGAATCTAGGGGAGATGGGAGCAACCCTTTGGCTGTCAAGCCCACTGGAGCAGTTCTTTTACAATGCTGATCTGTTCAGGAAACTGAGTCTGTACTCTTCACCAGCTGGCCCACTTGGATACTCCCTGTGTAATGGGAATTGGGATTGGGGTGACAGATGCCATCTGGCTGCCACTACCTACTCAATATAGGCCTTCCACAGTAGGGAGTGTGGAAAATGGGATCTGCCAAAATTCAGCAGCTACCCAAACCACACAGAATAGCTCTTCTATGCTAGGGAGCTGGAAGAGATAAGAATGTCCCGTGGTTGCCGAACCCACTGAAATAATTCTTCTCAAGGCAGTTATATGGGGTCAGGTACAGTCCCTAGCTCAAATGCTGTACCTCCCAGTGTTCTTACCAAGTTTACAAACATTTTATTGAATAAATCCCTCTCAATTTGTTATAAGCCCATTGATCAACCTCCACAGAGTCTGAGTGACTGTCTTTGTTAGCTCTGGCCTGCTTAATATATGTTTTTCAGGGGAGGTGTTCCTCAAGCGCCTCAGAATGCCATTCTGGAAGCCAGGGTATTTTATTTTTTGATGCTATTGTGAGTGAAATTGTTTTCTTAACTTGCTTCTCATGTTCCTTGCTGGGATATAGAAATATATATACTCTCTTTTTAAAGTTTTAAGGCAAGACTTCCATAGTCTCACCACTTATTAGTAGCATGATCCTGCAGAGTTCAAGCTGAAGACATAAGGCCCCTCTTGCCTATGGTACCTTTTCACCTGGCATGTCTTTGGTATGTTTCAGAGAGGGAAGAAGAGTGAATTCAACATAAAGTGCTTTCTCTAGGACTTAAAGAATTCCTCTGTTGGGCTGCATATTAGTAAAAAGATCATTAGCTTGCCGGAAAGAGATAGCTACTAAAGCTAGCATGAGGGGAAAAATGACATTTAATAAAATTTAAAGGCAAGAAAGGGACAGCCACTAAGAATTTTACTTTTTAGAGATGTGCTCTTTTATGTTTACCCTTTTTTTTCTGGGCTTTTCTTCCTCCCTCACCTTCTCCTTTCCTCCCTTTCTTTCCAGACTGCCTTGGCTCCCCAACCTTGGCTATGCATGTTCTTCTAGTTCAAGTGATCCATGAGCTGAAACTAGGCTCCAAGTAATTAGAAGGCAGAATCAGATTGGCTAATCATGCAGTCAGATGTCCATTCCTGATCCAATCATCCATGGCCACAGTGCAGGCATATGCAGGCCTGCTCTTCCCCAGAAGAGATTGTGAGGGCCAGGTGGAAATGATACTTGTTTCAACCTTCATGTACCTCAGTACCCATTTTCTAAAGCAGTAGGAGAATATCATTGTGAATCTTTAACTTTTTAGGGATGTTTCAAGCCACTGTCAGGACTTTTTATCCTTAATGTCTAAGGCAGCTGGATGAAAACTGATTGGAGCTGAAAGTCAGTAATTTGTAGCTGTCAGGTGAGCTCCTTTGTCTACAGGGAGAAAAACCATGGAGAATTTTGATTACTCAAATATAGATTAAAAATACACAGGCTGTATAGATTTCTGAGCATAAATGAGAGACTTTGAGATAAAAACCATCCAGTATAGTGTAGGGTTAACATACAAAAATAGCAATCTGGGCCTCCCAATGCCCCACCTACCCCTTGACCACCCTGGCTCCTTCCGCTAGACTGGCTCCTTGAACTACCCCAGACTTCCTCAAAATCCTGCAAACTAATGGTTAATACATGGTGTATTAGGAGGCCTCGCCAGACTCTGTGACTATCTGATTAATCAGTGCTTTGCTATACTAGTTTTTAAATATTTTGATAATTGCTGCTAAGGTGGTTAATACAGTCTTTGGAATTAGGAGCTATGTGATCCTGAGCTCATTTTTCTTATTTCTTTCCAGATAATTAATTAATAAGTATTTTTGCCCTCTTCCTGATATTTTAGTTGTCTGTATAATAAGCTTAGCAATTGGGTTTGATTTAATTCAAAACTATACCTGAAATTTAATAAAATATTATTTACTTTTTAAGCCAGGGAATCTTCCCTATCACCTCAAAAGTACTAAAGTTATGCCTTCCTCTAGCTTTTCTCGTTATGAAGGACAGTAGACTTGATAGGAGGTGTTAACAATGCTAAACATAGTGCTAAGGAAATTCATTTTACTCCTCTGTTGGGAGGTGCTGGTGGGGTAGGGAACAAATTAACAAGGAGAGAGGGGTAATTATTAAGTACGTAAAAGTTTCCCAAATCAAATTAGCACTTGAAAACACAGAGGCACATGGGCTTTTCTTCTTTAGGCATATCTCATGTTCTGTTGTAAAAATGCTGCAACATTTCCATAGTGATGAGATTTAATTTGTAATTGCAGAAGGGTCCCATTCTTACTAGAAACGTAAAATCTGTAAAAATTGTAAGTTGTCAGAATCAAAATGGAGTCACTTGGGTTAAAAACTCGGACAAAGAGAGCTGGGAAAGGCCTTGAAGAAATGGTTCTCATGCATGAATGCCTAATCAAGAAACTCTCACCAAAGACTGCAAAACCACAGCCTTGCACAAAGGCTACCACAACCTTAAACAAAAATACACTTCTTTGAGGACAACTGCCCAGTAACTGCCTGTCCAACCTCAGACTGATGCCACCCTTGTTACTGATCCTGGCAGCCAAGGATGATTAATCTTAAAACAATTATGTAATCCCTCTCAATTTTTTTTAAAAACTTTGTCTTTCCAAAATAGGCACATAATTTATTATATATGACACATATTTTCCCAGTGCAAAGCCCATTCCCAAATAAACATCATTTTCTTTTAGAGAGTTCACCTCTCTGTTTGTTATTTAAATTGATAAGCCCTATGAGTAAATGCAGTAAACTTGGAAAATTTGGTAAATTTAATTCTGGCAATTAGTGTTTTTATTGTTTTCTTCCCTATTCCTCTTTATGCATTTAAAAAATGTTTATAGGTTCTTCTCTTGGTATTTCACTCTTTCTTTGGATTTGGGAAATTCCTTCATGGGTTGTTTTAACATGAAGCCTCATCTGATTGTTCAGATTACTCCTTTCTCATTTTTCTCTAAGTAATAATTTTATCTTGGTGCATTATTAGAATTCCTTGAGAATTTTCCATCTTTCCTTAAACTTCTGGTCTTTGCTGGATATTCCTAAAGACTACATTATAGAGCAACTGCCCTACCGATTCCTAGGATGCTTTGTTGCAGTTGAAATATGCTTCCCAAATAATTGTTATAGGACTGTTCTTAGTGCTACAAATTTAATTAATTTTGTTGCCAGCATCCACTCTTCCAGGCTTGTAGTTAATGACTTACTGTTGGATTGTAATAAACCCATGACTAAGTCTCTATTTGCTTTCTTGAGTTTTGGAAACTAAGGACTCTCCTCTATGAAGCTCAAATGCTTTCTGAGGACTGTTGGGCTGTGCCAGTGACACAAAACATGATTACCAAATTAAAGTCTCTGAAAATCAGATCTGGAGATCTTTTTATCTTTTCTAGAAATGTAAGTCATCTTGAGTGAAAAGCTTCACTTTCATCTTTTTTGTAACATGGCCATCTAATAGTATTTTACATAGGTACATTTTCCCTTTAGTGTCTGAATTACAAACAATCGATTTCCATACATCCCTTTAATAAAACATCTGCGAAGAATGTAACTGCAAGGTGATCTTTTCTTACCACCCTTCATTCACTTTCTTCTTGTTGTGCTGCACAAAGGCTGCCACAACCTTCCACAAAACCTTGTCCCACTGTTTGGAGAAACTCCATTATTCCTCCCTATAGCATAACGATTCTTGAACTTGTCTCATTGTCACTTCCTTCTTCTTCCAAGGCCAGTTTTTCCCGGGGGACCCCAATGGTTAAAAGAAAAGGGAAAAGTGAGGTTTGTATGACAAGGAGATTCTTGTGCCACTGAGTGTGGCTGTTCCTAGCATCTGTTGTTCCTCTTACCAGTCTCCAAGTGCCATGTGGAAGCTGGTCACTCTTTATACTGCCCTGTCTCCCAAACACTGCCCCTGTTCTTCATTCTATCATCCAAGTTCCTACCCAGTTTCTTAACATTCTGAGAGAGCCTATTGTAGTAGTTGGGAGTTTTTCAACTGCAAACGAAATGACTCTGAAAAAGTGATAAACAAAATTGGATATTTAATTTACTGTTACAGAATAGAAAGGCTTCAGGCCAGTTTGATCCAGGTGCTCATGCTCTGCCATTTAAAATCTGCCTCTCTACAACTCTATATTCTGATTACAGTAATCTAGAATTTTGACTGTGGAACTTGGCTAAGCAGGCTGTTTTCTTCTCTTTAACACAAAATAACTCACTTTTTCTTTAGTCATTGCCCAACCAGTTTATCTACCCTCAGCTCTGAGCATGAGAATCTTCATATTTACTGCTTGAATGATGGGAATAAGAATGTGTTCTTGGCACTACTGAGTTGGACTATCAATTGCATTTTCTCACAGAGGTATTTTACTTATTTACACTTAAGTTCTGCCTTGCTTCAAAAAAAAATGATTTAAGATGGAAAAGGATTGTTGTACATGGCAGAGAGCTTCAAAGTACTCCTGAAATTGTATGTAAGGTACTTTATAGATTTATGTAGATGGGCTGAGACTGACCCAACATCCAATCGCCATTTTTAACATTTTATCTAAGGGATGTGGATACCAAGTGAAAAATTATTTACAGATGAAATTTTTTTTAGCACAGTCTGGTCAGACTTACAGAGAACTATCTTTATTTCCTTTCATGTCTGTAGCTAACTGAATTTCACTGTGCATTCTACATTAGATTTTCTCATTATGTTTGTACAAATGCTTTACTTAATAAGCACTTTATCTCTTGTATTTTGAGCCAGATCCTTAGTCTAAGTGAATCATATTGTACAGTTTTCTAGCTATCTTGCTACTTCACTACTGAAATCTTGTGCATGTATAACAGCATTGACTAATCCTAGCTAATGTCTATATGCCCTTCTCCCCAGATATAAAATACGTATGCTTCAGTATCCCCAGGCCTTATCAACCTGTGGAAAAAATGAGTTCTCATTACTAATTATACTTAAATCAGGCTGACACATTGTCCCATCTGCTCAAGCAGGAAACCAGCTTCCCAGAAAATCTCCCTATCTCTGCCATTCCTCTACCTCTGAAAGTATACTTGGGAATTCCTACAGAGTATTTTTATGTGGGTTCAAAAAGCCCATACCCCCCAGGGGATTCCATTCTCCCATGAGAGAGAGAATTAGCTCTGTTTTTGAGAGCATAAGCCCTGGACTTAATCTACCTGTGATTGAATCCTGGTGCCACCATTTAGGTACATGACCTTGGACTATTTGCTTAACTTCTCTAAACTTCAGCTTGTTAACTGGAAAGTGGTGATTGTTTTAGGGTTAAGTGAGTTAATGCATTTGGAGTACTTGGAAAGTATCTGACCTATATTAAGAGCCCCATAAAGATTACTCACTGTTATTATCCACCACGTCTTCTGTTGCTGCTTCTCTTTTTTTAAGCCCCACCCCCCGACTTGAATGCTAGCACACGGTTTTAAAAATCTGCCAATCCAGCAGGTATCCATAGGGTCCTCAATGCTCCAGATCATTGTGTATTCATCACAGAAGTGGGAAGAGGGTCCCTGCTTACATTTGGCTCAAGTGCTTTCCTTAGAGCTGGTTGAGGTTAAGGTGGCTAAGATCCCTTGCATTTTCCATCTCTTTTTCAGGCTCTAGTACATTAAAAGCTACCTTTGTGCAGGTACCCTTCACCTCATGTAAATCAGTCAGTATGACCAGAAGCCTGGACAGGGATGAGAGTAGGAATGTAGTCCAGCCACTTAACCCCACCTCAGTGACTTCCCTTTACTGTCAACCATGATCTCTGCAAGCAGAAGGAACCATTTTCTCCATTGCACTTACTACCTTAATGTATCTTAATTTTAGTTGTCTGTATATTAAGTGAATTAATAGACTGAATTCAGGTATTTAAAGTCAAAACCTCTTATTTTCCTTTTTACATGTAGATATTTCAGTGTATTTTAACCCCTCAATCCTACAATTTATTCTGCTTTTTTTGGCCTTGAAAAAGTGGTATTTATAAACAATTATGCTATGCAAAATAATTAAATTATTTTTATAGCAAAAGTGACAATTAACTTAGTAAATACATTTTTAACAATATTAAAATTTTAATTTCAGAGTAACTATTTTTGATTGAATGGAGAGTTTTGGTGGTCTGGATAGAAGATCAAGTCACCCATATTTCTTTAAGCTGAAGTCTAATCCAGAGCAAGGTCCTAACTCTCTTTAATTCTATGAAGGCTGAGAAAGGTGAGGAATCTACAGAAGAAAAGTTTGATGCTAGTAGAGGTTGGTTCATGAGGTTTAAAGAAATAAGCCATCTCCATAACATAAAAGTGCCAAGTGAGGTAGCAACTACTAATGTAGAAGCTGCAACAAGTTATCCAGAGGATCTAGCTAAGATCATTATGAAGCTAGCTGTGTAGCTTCATCAGTGTAAAATCTAAACAACAGATTTTCCATGTAGATAAAACAGCTTTCTATTGGAAGAAGATGCCATCTATAACTTTCCTATTTAGAGAGGAGAAATCAATATCTTGCTTTAAAGTTTCAGAGGATAGGCCAACTCTCTTGTTAGGGGATAATGCAGCTGGTGACGTTAAGTTGAAGCCTGTGCTCATTTACCATTTAAAAAATTCTAGAGTCCTTAAGAATTTTGCTACATCTACTCTGCCTGTGCTCTGTAAGTGGAACAAAAACCCCTAGATGACAGCACATAGGTTTACAGCATGGCTTACTGAATATTTTACAGCCACTGTTGAGATCTGCTCAGAAAAAAAGGATTCCTTTCAAAGTATTATTGATCATTGGCAATGCACCAAGTCACTCAAGAGCTCTGATAGAGATGTACAAGGAGAATAACAGTGTTTTCATGTCTGCTAAACACCACGCATTTTGTAGCCCATGGATCAAGGAGTCATTTTGACTTTTGAGTCTTATTATTTAAGAAATACATTTTGAAAGGCTGTAGCTGCTTTATATAGTGATTCATCTGATGAATCTTAGCAAGGTAAATTGAAAACATTCTAAAAAGTATTCACCATTCTATATGCCATGAAGAACATTTGTGAATCATGGGAGGAGATCAAAATATCAACATTAACAGTAGGTTGGAAGAAATTGATTCCAACACTCATGGATGACTTTGAGGGTTTCAAAATTTCAGTGGAGGAAGTAACTGAAGATGTGGTGGAAATAGTAAGATAACTAGAATTAGAAGTGGAGCCTGTAGATGTGACTGAAGTTTTGCAAACTTATGATTGAACTTTAATCAATGAGCAGTTGCTCCTCATGGATGAGCAAAGAAAGT
The DNA here is from genome assembly GCF_000001405.40 of Homo sapiens. Classification (NCBI taxonomy): domain Eukaryota; kingdom Metazoa; phylum Chordata; class Mammalia; order Primates; family Hominidae; genus Homo; species Homo sapiens. The sequence continues at coordinate 56,488,111 of NC_000002.12, forward strand.
GATTTCTTGAGATGGAATCTACTGGTGAATACGTTGTGAACATTGTTAAAATGACAACACATGATTCAGAATAGTACATAAATGTAATTGATAAATCAGCAGCAGGGTTTGGGAGAATTGACTCAAATTTTGAAAGAAGTTCTATGGGTAAAATGCTATCAAACAGCATCACATGCTACAAAGATATCTTTCATGAAAGGAAGAGTCAAGACCCTCTATCAGCAAAATAATTCACTGAAGGCTCAGATGACTGTTAGTATTTTTTAGCAATACAGTATTTTAAATTAAGTTATGTCCTTTTTTTATGCACAATGCTATTGCACACTTAATAAACTACTACATAGTAGTTTAAACATAACTTTTTTACGCACTGGGAAACCAAAAATTTGTGTGACTCACTTTTATTGTGATATTTGTTTTATTGCTGTGGTCTGAAACTAAACCTGTAATATCTTTGTGGTATGCTTATACTTGGAATTTGTCTCAATTTTGATACCTTGTCAATTCAGAGAGGTAGGAGAGTGTCATGATTAGGTGGGAGGGCTGGAGCTAGTTTGTCAAGTTTGAATTGTGTCCCTACTCTGTGGTAGTTGTGTGTCTTGGGTAAGTTACTTAACTCCTCTGTGTTTCAGATTCCTCATCTGTAAACATCCTCATCTGAGGATAATAATAGCCTAGATGTAATGGGATATGTTATTAGGATTGAAATAGTTAGTATGTTATGTGGTCACAGTGCTTGGCATGTAAGAAATAATAACTGTTGGCTAATATTATTAACTACATCAAAAATATTCGACAAAAAGAACATTATTTTGATTCATTCACTCTACAAGTATTTATTGGGTGTACGCCAGGAACTATGCTAGACTCTGAACTAAAAGGCAATTAAGACAAAATTACTGCCCTCAAGGAGCTAGTAGTCTTGTATCCTAAAATTTTCAGATGATTTCTTCAATCAAACATTTCACTTTAGGGAACATGGATTCATGACATAACATGTCAAAGAGATGTTTATTCTTAAAAAAAGAAAGATAGATCTTGAATTTAATGATGAATTCAACAAACTATATTCAGTAATCTTTTTTTTTTTTTTTGTCCAAAACACCTAGATTTCAGGCAACTGTTGCTATGTAGAAGAATAGCTTTAAACAAATCCAAGTTACTAGGAAGAGTTAATATAGACTGCAGAGAGACTCTATTCTTTTATCCTCCTGGAATTCATTAAAATAATTTTAAAATTAGTCTTGTGAAGATAAACTAAAATAATTTCCATTTTAATGCAACATTGTGTGATTAGCATATCCCTATTTATTAGCCATTTCTGTCCTTCAAAGAATGATAAGGGTTATTTAAACTTGAATAATACAGCTAAGTTTAAATATCTAGGAACAGTACTTTTCTATTTTTGGCAGAAAATACATATTATTTTCTGAAAAGTCAGCATCATCAACAAGACTTCTTAAAATGACACAAATTGGAAAATAATTTAGCTTCCCAATTATTATTGAGAATTTATGAGCAAGGCTGCTAATCATCAGTATCTTGGGGTAAAAGGAAGTGAATTGACAGCAAAAGGTACATATGTAAGTTTTGAAGATAAACTGACCTTGTGCCAGTCTCTCAACCTGTCCTTCTTAACAGATGAATGACATTTGTTGTGTCAGTGGTTTGAAGTCAATAACAATTGATACTCTCCTTGGGGACCTCTTGGGCTTACAAAGGCAATATTTTAGAATGAGGACACAGTCTGGTGATGAGTAAGTAAGTATCTCTGTTGATGTTAGGAAGATATGTTACTTTGAAGCTTTGAAATTCAAAAGAATTATTGCTGCTCTGTTCTTTTAGTAGTTATTGAACAATAATGATGCATAATTTTCAGCTACACTTCAGATGAAAAATAAGTTCTTTTTTCTTAAAAGTAAAAATATTAACATGTTTGTGTACTGTGATATTTCACTCTTGTTCTGTTTGGAGAGTAATTTCATAATGCTGACCCTGGTAAGCATCTTGGTGGGACAATATCTTTTTAAATGAACTTGTCTATTTTTATCTAGGTCACAAAGGTATGCACACATTTAGTTTTCAGCCTAGATGTATTCCCACATTTTGCCTTGCCTTTGATGTCCTTATTCTAGTACTTGCTTACCTGCTTTGTCTTAACCCCAGAAGAAACATGATGTTACTGAACGTCATGGTCGTGAATGTCTTACATGCACCCATTGTGTTTTTGAGATGGTTAATTCCAAACCAACATGAACATAGTTCTTTCTGTTATCAAAGCTGGTTTCTGAGTTTGGCTGGTATGAATCAACACCACAAAATCTGACCACCTTTTGAGGAGCTGACAAAACTTGAGGGCCTGGATTAAGAAACCTTTCTTTGAAGACCTTTCTGAGTAGCTTTTCAAAATTATTCATAGCTCTATTTATTTCAATTCAGAGTATTTACAAACACATAAATGCCTTGTTTTCATTATTTAAAATCAAATCGAGTGAATTTCTCTTTAACAGAATTTTAGCTTGAGTTCACATAAACAATGACATTAATAATAATTGAAAGCAAACTCCCATTAAATATATCTAGATATTCTTATTTCACTCACTATAAAATTTAATCATCTCATTAACTATCTAATCTCTTAAGTGAAATGACCAGGTAATGGAACTTGATCTGATTGATTTGATTGGTTCAGTGATTAACTTATGCTCATATTTATCAGACTCTGTAAGACTCTTTTTTTTTTTAAGTCTCTGTTGTGCAGTGGCGCGATCTCGCCTCACTGCACGCTCCGCCTCCCGGGTTCACGCCATTCTCCTGCCTCAGCCTCCCGAGTAGCTGGGACTACAGGCGCCCGCCACCATGCCCAGATAATTTTTTGTATTTTGTTTAGTAGAGATGGGGTTTCACCGTGTTAGCCAGAATGGTCTCTATCTCCTGACCTCGTGATCCCCCCGCCTCGGCCTCCCAAAGTGCTGGGATTACAGGCGTGAGCCACCGCGCCTGGCCAAGACTCTCTCTTAAAGTCAAAATAAAACTTGACTAGTCAGGTGAACTGCCCCTTTAAAAAAATTCTGTTTATCTCTTTTTGAGTCCCCTATAAGGAGAACATGGACTTAAACCTCTCTGTTTAAGAAATGGGAGTCACTGGAGGACAACTCTATCACTTTGGTAGGAAGGAATCCAACATATATCGAGCAATATTTCTTTACGAAATGCTATGTAAGATGAGCAAATAAAGACCAGGTTGTCTACCAATAGACTTTTTCATATCTGAGCAGCATGTTATTCTTTCACAAAAGGTTTCTGTCTGTTTCTCATATAATCTCAGTTTACTCATTATATGAACACATACATTTGTATGTATATACACACAAACATATTGAGTTTCTACTGTGTATAATTCAGGTTTCAAAGATTCTAAATCTTTAAAATTTTATCTATATAATTAATGCAATCCTCATAAAATACCAACATTTTGAGGCATCTGACAAAATTTAAGTTATATATATATATATCATCTTTTTCAACAGTGAAAAGTGCTGTGGAGAAAATTAAGCACAGGCGGTAGATCGGGAGATAGGGAGGGCTATCTATGGACAATTAGTTTTAAAGAAGGTCCACAGGGAATACCAATGAGGTATTACTTTTATTTTATAGAAGAGAAATTTTACATTTTCAAGATATGTGAGTAGCTATCTAAAATTCACTGATGGTGCAAACAGAGTTTGGTTTGTGTATTTGAGATCTTTAAATTAAAACCCCAGTAGAGCCGTCTTGAAATATAAAATCAAAGCAACAAAATGTAACAAATATCTTTGTTAACAATTCATTACACCTTTATGTTAAACAACCCATAGTTCAAAAATAAAATAAAACTTTGCTTGTGTGATGTTCATACAATAATGAAAATGAAAACAGTAAGCTATAGAATCTATGAGCTATATCCACAGTTCACACAGTATAATTCTCATAGTTTTAAACTTACAAAATAAAGATTAATAGTAAATGAATTAATTATTCAAATCAAGTGTTTTATAAAGATTAACAAATAGGAGCTAAGGAAAATAGAGGAAATTATTGATAAAATGAAAGCATAAATTTATACATAACACAACTGGGAACCTACATAAAGTTTATTTAGCAAAACACAATTGGTAACATATACAAAATTAGAAATGAAAGTGAGGAAATAACCAAACAACCCCAAGTGGAAAGGATATCAACTTAGTTATTCATGAATATTTTATAATATTCTCTCTAAATCTATTTGAAATCCTAGATGAAATAAATGTTTTGTTAATAAAAAGATTTATAAATAACTAGACTTTACTAGAAAAGATTTAGAAAGCCTAAATTGTACAAAAACCTAAGGAGAAATTTGAGAAAAGAATTTAAGTTACTTCTCACAAACAATGTACTCAGAAGATTTTACAGATGAAGTCTTTCAAACAGTTTAGAAAGAAATAAATGTAATTCTGTTAAATGATTACTATTATACAAAAGAGGAAGTTTTAAAGTGATACCAAAATCTGATAGGAATGATAGAAAAAAAAAACTGACTACAAACCACTTTAACAACTCATGAAGGCAAAGTACAGAACACATTATTGGCAAACAGCCCTGCATGAAAGATGTTTCAGTATTTGGAAAACTGTTATTATAATTCACCATATTAAGAGAGTAGAAAACAGTATTTCTTCTTAAATGTTAAACTGAAAAACACCCTTACAAATATAGAAACTTCTGTAGAATGAAATAAATATATGTGTTAATTAAAAAGAAAGCATAAATCTTAATAATGAATCACTAAGACATTCCTGTTATCTCCTGATAAGATGGGAGATAATACAAAAAAGAAATATATAGATGCCCTTTTATATCTTTATATCATTTATTATTTTCCTGGAAGCACAGCCAGTACAACTAGACAAATAATGTAAATAGACTTATAAATGTTAGAAAGTATGTGCCTTTTTTTTTTTTGCAAATGATTGCAATGTAAACCTAAAGTAATCAACTAAAATCTAGTATAATTTAGTAAAATAAAGGTGAAAAACGAATAACCAAAAAGTTTTCTACATGCCAAAACCACCAATTTAGAAAAGCAATGGGATAGAATATTTATAATACCTGGGAATATAATTAATGATCAATGTGTGGAACTTATGTGAAAGAAAATTATTTTCTAAGGACAATAAGGAAGTATTAAAAAGAAAGACATACTTTGGATAAAAAGAATCTATGCTATAAAATGTATATTTTTCTCAAATATATATATTTAATCTATTCCCTTCAAAATACCAGCAAGATTGCTTTTGAGAAAATTTGCAAAAAGATAGTACATTTTGTTGGAAAAAGATAAATAGGTAAGATTAAAATGAAAGATTGTTAATAAGAACAATGAGGGGAAACAAGCCTTGCCAGGTATGTTAATAAACCTGGAGAACTTGAAAGAGCTTGTTATTTATTCAAGAATAGACTGAAGAGCATTTTATTATGGAAATGAAAGTCAAAATGTATGAAGATTTTAATATATAGATAATGGTAGAACTCAAGTAAATGGGGAAGGAAATGGATTATTTAATAAATGATGTTCAATAAGTTGGCTTGATATTTAGAAAAATAAACTGATATCTCTCACTTCTTACCCTAAACAATTAATCTAAATTTCAGATGGCTCAAACATTGGAACATAAAAAATAAAGTGAAATCAGAAAAGCAGTTGAGTAAAACATCAGGATATGATTTAGAAAAGGACTCCAGAACATGCCACAAAGTTTAAAAGTTGTGAAGATAGACTGATAAATCTAAGGGCATAAAAAAATCTTTCAGTCAAGGCAAAAAATAAAAGTCAAGTTTGTGTGTGTAGAGGTGTTCCTAGTAGTTTCTGATGGTTGTTTTTATTGCTGTGGGGACAGGAGAACATTCGTTTTCTAATTTCCAATTGTGTTTATGTGGCTCTTCTCTCTTTTCTTCTTTATTAAACTAGCTAGTGGCCTATCTGTTTTATTACTTTTTCCAAAAACCAACTCCTGGATTTGTTGATCTTTTGAATTTTTTTTTGTGTGTCTTGATTTCCTTCAGTTTAGCTCTGATTTTTGTCATTTCTTGTCTTCTTCTAGCTTTGGGGTTGATTTGTTCTTGCCTCTCTAATTCCTTCATTTGTGAAGTTGGATTGTTAATTTGAGATCTTTCAAACTTTTTGATGTGGGCTTTTAGTGCTATGAATTTCCCTCTTAACATTGCCTTAACTGTGTCCCAGAAATTTGGCTATGTTACATTCTTGTTCTCATTATTTTCAAAGAACTTACTGATTTCTGCCTTAATTTCATTATTTACCCAAAAGTCATTCAGGAGCATGTTGTTTAATATCCATGTAATTGCATGGTTTTGAGTGATTTTTATAGTCTTGACTTGTATTTTTATTGTGCTGTGGTCTGAGAGTGTGTTGGTATAATTTTGGTTATTTTACCTTTGTTGAAGATAGTTTTATGTCCAATTATGTCACTGATTTTAGAGTATATGCCAAGTGGCAATGACAAGACTGTATAGTCTGTTGCTTTTTGTTGGAGAGTTCTATAACAGTCTATCAGATCCATTTGGTCCAATGTTGAGTTTAGGTCTTGAATATCTTTGTTAATTTTCTGCCTCAATGATGTATGCACATAAACTAGAAAACCTAGAAGAGTTGAATAAGTTTCCGGACAGATACACCCTCCCAAGGCTGAGCCAGGAAGAAATTGATTCCCCACACAACCCAATAATGAGTTTCAAAATCAAATCAGTAATAAATGGCCTACCAACCAAAAAAAAAAAAAAAAAAACCACAAAAACAAAAAACCCTGGGACCTGATGAATTCTACAGGATGTACAAAGAACAACTGGTACCATTCCTACAGAAACTATTCCAAGAAATTGAGGAGGAGGGACTCCTCCCTAACTCATTCTATGATGCCAGCATCATCTTATACCAAAACCTGGCAGAGACCTAACAAAAAAACATCAGGCCAATATCCTTGATGAACATCAATGAAAAAATCCTCAGCAAAATCCTTGCAAACTGAATCCAGCAGAACATCAAAAAACTAATCCAGCATAATCAAGTAGACTTCATTCCTGGGATGCAAGTTTGGTTCAACATATGCGAATGAATAAATGAGCACATAAACAGAAACAAAGACAAAAACCACATGATTATCTCTATAGACACAAAAAAGGTTTTCAGTAAAATTCAATACCCCTTCATGTTAAAAACTATCCATAAACTAGGTACTGAAGGAACATACCTCAACATAATAAGCACTATCAATGACAAACCCACAGCCAACATTATACTGAATGGGCAAAAGCTGGAAGCATTCCCTTTGAAAATCGGCAAAAACAAGGATGTCCTCTCTCACCAGTTCTATTCAACATAGTATTGGAAGTCCTAGCCAGAGCAATCAGGCAAGAGAAAGAAATAAAGGGCATCCAAATAAGAAGAGAGAAAGTAAAACTATCTCTACAGATGACATGATTTTATATCTAGAAAATCCCACGGTCTCAGTGCAAAAGCTTCTCCAGCTGATAAACAACTTCATCAAAATTGCAGGATACAAAATGAATGCACAAAAATCACTAGCATTCCTATTTGGTTTTCTGTTCCTGTGCTAGTTTGCTTATGATAATAGCCTCTACCTTCATCCAGGTTGCTGCAAAGGACATGATCTCATTCTTTTGATGGCTGCATAGTATTATTCCCTGGGTATATATGTACCACATTAAAATGGCTATACTGCTAATTTAGTTCAACCCTTGTGGAAAGCACTATGACGATTCCTCAAAGAGCTAAAAGTAGAATGCCATTTGACCCAGCAATCCTATTTCTGGATATGTATGCAGAGGAATATAAATCATTCTACCACAAAGAAACATGCACGTGAATGTTTACTGCAGCACTGTTCACAGTAGGAAAAACATGGAATCAACCTAAATGCCCATCAATGACAGATTGGATAAAGAAAATGTGGTATGTATACACCATGGAATACTATGCGGCCATAAAAAAAGAACGCTCAGATAGAGCTGGAGGCTATTATCGTCAGCAAACTAATGCAGGAACAGAAAGCCAAATACTGCATGTTCTCACTTATAAGTGAGAGCCAAATGATAAGAACTTATGAACACAAAGATGGAAAAAACAGACAGTGGGGTCTACTTGAGTGGGAAGGGTGGAAGGAGGGAGAAGAGCAGAAAAGATAACTATTGGGTACTGGGCTTAATATCTGGGTGACAAAATAATATGTACAACAAACCCCCACAACATGTGTTTATCTGTGTAACAAACCTTCACATGTACCCCCAAAACTATGATAAAAGTTAAAAATAAATAAATTAAATAGAAAGATAAGAAAAAGTCAAAACATGAATGATAATCTGGCAAAAAGTAATTGGAAAAGCATATGAGAAAGGACTAATTTTCTTTCTAGTAAAGAACTCATATATTAAGAAAAATGAATTAGCCGGGCATAGTGGCGGGCGCCTGTAGTCCCAGCTACTTGGGAGGCTGAGGCAGGAGAATGGCGTGAACCCGGGAGGCGGAGCTTGCAGTGAGCCGAGATCCCGCCACTGCACTCCAGCCTGGGCGACAGAGCGAGACTCCGTCTCAAAAAAAAAAAAAAAAAAAGAAAAATGAGCACAACACTATAGAAATATATAATAACAACAAAAAACCAAACAGGATACAATCCAAATGTCTGTCACCATGGTTCATACAAATAGTAGAGTATACTGCACATATTTTATTTTAAAATGAGAAATATATTTTTTGTTGTTCTTGCTTTCTCTTTTAAAAATTTTTTATTTTTATTTTTTAGCTTTTAGGTTTAGGGGTACATGTGCAGGGTTGTTATATAGGCAAATAATGTGTCATAGGAGTTTGGCATACAGATTATTTCATCACCCAGGTAACAAGCATAGTACCCAATAGGTAGTTTTTTGGTCCTCATGCTCCTCCCACCCAGCATTCTCAAGTAGGTGCTGTATCTGTTGTTCGCCTCTGTTTGTCTTTGGGTTCTCAACATTTAGCTCCCATTTATAAACGAGAACATGTGCTATTTGATTTTCTGTTCCTGTGCTAGTTTGCTTATGATAATAGCCTCTACCTTCATCCATGTTGCTGCAAAGGACATGATCTCAGTCTTTTGATGGCTGCATAGTATTCCCTGGTATATATGTACCACATTTTTTTTATCCATTATACTGTTGATGGGCATTTAGGTTGTTTCCATGTCTTTGCTATTGTGAAAAGTGCTATGATGAAAATACATATGCATGTATCTTTATGTTGAACAATTTATATTCCTTTGGGTATATATCCAATAATGGGATTTCTAGTCAAATAGTAATTCTGCTTTGAGTTCTTTGAGAAATTGCCCAACTGCTTTCCACAATGACTGAACTAATTTACATTCCCAACAGCAGTGTATAAGCATTCTCTTTTCTTCATAACCTTGCCAGCATCAGTTATTTTTTGATTTTTTTAAGAATAGCCTTTCTGATTGGTGTGAGATAGTATTTCATTGTTGTTTTTATTTGCATTTCTCTGATTAGTGTTGTTGAGCATTTTTTTCACATGCTTGTTGACTGGGTGTATGCCTTCTTTTGAAAGGTGTTTGTTCTCACTCTTTGTCTACTTTTTAAATGAGGCTATTTGTTTTTTGCTTACTGATTTGTTTAGGTTGCTTATAGAGTTTGGATATTTGACCATCGTTGGGTGCATAGTATGCAAATATTTTCCCTCATTCTATAGGTTGTTTGTTACTCTGTTGATAGTTTCTTTTTCTATGCAGAAGCTTCTTGCTTCAACAACAGCACCATGCTGTTTTGGTTATTGTAGCCCTATAGTATAGCTTGAAATTGGGTAATGTGATGCCTCCAGCTTTGTTCTTTTTGCTTAGGATTTCATTGGCTGTTTGGGCTCTTTTTTGGATCCATACGAATTTTAATATAGTTTTTCCTAATTTTGTGAAGAATGTCATTGGTAGTTTGGTAGGAATAACATTGAATCGCAAATTGCTTTGGGTAATATGGCCATTTTAACAATATTGATTCTTCCTGTTGATGAGCATGGATATTTTCCATTTGTTTGTGCTATCTATAATTTCTTTAAGTTGTGTTTTGTAATTCTCATTGTAGAGATCCCTCATCTCCCTGATTAGCTATATTCCTAGGTATTTTATCCTCTTTGTGGCTATTGTAGATGGGATTGCATTCTTGCTTTGGCTGTCAGATTGCATGTTGTTGGCATTTAGGAATGCTGCTGATTTTTGTACATTGATTTTGTATCCTGAAACTTTGCTGAAGTTATTTATTAGATCAAGGAGCTTTTGGACAGAGACTATGGGGTTTTCTAGGTATAGAATTACATCATCTGCAAACAGGGATAGTTTGACTTGCTTTCTTCCTATTGGGATGCCTTTTATTTATTTCTCTTGTCTGATTGCTCTGGCCAGGACTTCCATTACTATGTTGAATGGGAGTGTTGAGAGAGGGCATTCTTGTCTTGTTCTGTTATTCAAGGGGAATGCTTCTAGCTTTTACCCATTCAGTATGATGTTAGCTGAGGATTTGTCATAGATGGCTTTTATTATTTTGAAGTATGTTCTTTCAATGACTAGTTTATTGAGGGATTTTTAACATGAAAAGATATTGAATTTTATCAAAAGCCTTTTCTGCATCTATTGAAATAATCATGTGGTTTTCATTTTTAGTTCTGTTTATGTGATGAATTACATTTATTGATTTACATCTGTTAAACCAACTTTGCATCCCAGGAATAAAACCTACTTGGTTGTGGAAGATTAGCTTTTTGATGTGCTGCTGGATTTGGTTTGCTGTATTCTGTTGAGGATTTTTGTATCTATCTTTATCAAAGATATTGGCCTGAAGTTTTGTTTTTTTGTATGTCTCTGCCAGCTTTTGTTTTCATGATGAAAATGGCCTCATAGAATGAGTAACGAGGAATCCCTCCTCCTCAATCTTTTCGAATAGTTTCATTAGAAATGGTACCAGCTCTTTTTTGTACATCTGGTGGAATTCAGCTGTGAATCTGTCTGGTTCTTGATTTTTCTTGTTGGTAAGCTTTGTAGTACTGATTCAGTTTTAGAACTCATTACTGATCTCTTCAGGGATTCAATTTCTTCCTGGTTTCATCTTGGAAGGTTGTATGTTTTCAGGATTTATCCATATCTTCTAGGTTTTCTAGCTTGTGTGTATAGTGGTGTCCATAGTAGTCTCTAAGGATTTTATTTAAAAAAAAATTCTGTGGAGTCAGTTGTAATATCCTTTTTATAATTTCTGGTTGTGTTAATTTGGAAATATATCTATATCTATCTATCTGTGTATATATCCTCAACACAGTATCAGATATACTAGTATCAGATATATCAGATACCGTGTTGAGGATATATCTGATGCTTAGTTCTTCTTGTTGAATTGAACCCTTTACCATTATGTAATCTTCTGTCTTTTTTGTTATATGTTAGTTTAAAGTTTGTTTTGTATAAAATTAGAATAGCAACCCCTGCATTTTGATGTTTTCCATTTGCTTGATTTTTCTCCATCCGTTACTTTGAGCCTAGGTGTGTCATTACATGTGAGATGGGTCTCTTGTGTATAGCATATTATGTATAGCATATTATCAGGGTCTTGCTTCTTTATCCAACTTGCCACTGTGTACCTTTTAATTGCATCATTTAGCCTGGTTACATTCAAGGTTAGTATTTATATCTGCAGATTTGATCCTGTCATCATGTTGTTAGCTGGTTATTATGCAGAATTGTTTGTGTGGTTGCTTTATGGTGTCACTGGTATATGTACTTAAGTGTGTTTTGTTGGTGGCTGGTAATGCCTTTCATTTCCATACTTAGGAGATCGGTTTTAAGAGACATAATAAGACTAAATTATCTTGTGAACAAAAGTAGTGACTTAAAAGTATATACAGATTTACTTCTGAAAAAGTGAGCTACACATAAAAAGTTGATGGAAAGGTATGTGAAACAGTTTACAGTACTTACCTCTCTGGGGAGTGGGCATAAAATTATAGTTGAGAGGATCTTTGAATTATACTTTTTGAAATCTTTTAATGATTAAAATGTGTTAATCATATATGTATTATTTTATTAAGTGGATTTAAATAAAAATGAATTTCTGTTAAAATAATATGGTATAATCTATAGTCAAATAGTTTTAAAAATAAATTAAAAAACAGGGGAAATAGTTACCTAAATCAGGGATGGGGAACTAGGTTTTTGCAAAGATAAATAGTCTCTCTTCCATCCTTTAGATGTGTAACTTTTTTTTTTTTTCCCCTCTGAGACATGGTCTTGCCCTATCATCTAGGCTGGAGTGTGGTGACGTAATCAAGGTCCATTGCAGCCTTAACCTCCTGGGCTCAAATGATCCTCCTGCCTCTGCCCCCCAAGTGGCTTGGACTATAGGTGTATGCTATCATACTCAGCTAATTAAAAAAAGTTTTTTGTAGAGACAGGTGGGCTCTTACTATATTGTACAGACTAGTCTCAACCTCCTGGGCTCAAGTGATCCTCCCATGTTGGCCTCACTTGGAGTTATTGGTGTGAACCACTGTGCACTATCTAGATTATAACCTTAAAATAGGTTATATTTTGCTGCATGTCCAACTATATTAACTGATGTGCTACTTTGTCTTGTAAATTAACAACTCTTTTTAGTGAATAATAGTATTTCATGTGATAACATTTGTTAAGACATGGAATGGAGTGCCAAGTATTAACATGAACTTTTTTACTTGATGTTTTCAATGATTCAGAACATTCACCTTTCAAACTAGCGTAATAAAAACACTTTTCTTATTCTCCAAAGCAAGGTGTGAGGAGGAACAATTAGGTTTTGTGTATGAGTTTTCCAGCCATCAAATATCTGTTTAGCACCTACTCTATTAAGCTGTTGTAGTGAATAAACCTGCCACTAGGTTGGTTTCTGGCATTAAGGTATCTACACTATTTTTGTAATCCTGCCTCTTGCCAGTAATACATTTATTGCAAATTGTGGCTGGGAATATCTAAGAGGATATTTCTATCATCACTCTTGGCAGTAATGTTCACTTAATGAATAGCTTAATGGACCTATTATATGACAATATTTGATTATTTCAAAAGTCATCAAATTGAATTTAGAATGCAAAAGAGAATATAAAGACTCTAATGTATATAATTAAATATATTATGTTGATTTCCTATAGAATTGATTTTGTGTTAGTTTTTAAGAGCGTTATTTGAATTTAACATTTTGTCTTGAAGATAGGTGTTTTGAAATTCATTCTGTAACTTTATAGTAGACTATACAAAACATGTAAAAGTCTAAATTATTCAGTTTAGTATTCCAGTGGAATAGCAAATGATTCCAATGCTGTATTCTAAAGGTAAGTATACAGGAGCTTCTTTAATTGAAAAACAGTGAACTTTTATAATTTACCATTTTTTTTTAGCTTTGTGATATATTTTCTATAGCTGTTCTTTCAGAATAAAAGAATGGTTGTCTTAAATCTCTAGGTAGTTGTACCCAATTATTTCATGTTAAATAAAAAAAAACAGTATACTTTGTGTTCAATTTCTGTTAAGTCTCTGGAGGAAAAAAAAACTGTTTCTCTTTTGATACTTTGCCTATTTTTTCATCTTTATTCTCAAGGTTTTAAAAGGATATGAATAATTCCCATTCCTTCCTTCTTTGTAGAAATATTATTAAAAAATACTGTGCCTTCAAATATAAACCAAGCATAAACCAGAGAAATAAAATTCATTCAGCCATTAAATTAATAATTGGTTATTTGGAACTTGAAAATTAATTGATCACAAAGCTAAATTTTATCTTTTTTCCCTTTCCTCTCAAATCAATTTGTGTATGGGCAGTGTTTAATGAGCAAATAGAAAGTTTCATGAAAGAAATTATTGCAGTCATTCTGTTACTAACAGCAAGGCCCTAGAGCAGGTTTTAAAAATAAATTTTATTTTAAAATGATTCTAGGTATTCAAGATGTACAATGTGATGACTGGATATACGTATATGTTGTGTAAAAATTGTCACAATCAAACTAATGACCACATCTATCACCACTCATGCTATACATTCAATCCCCAGAACTCGTTCATTTTATGACAAGCATCTTCCTACTTTCAACACCCTCCGGCTCCTTGCAACCACTGTTCCACTCTCTGATTCTATGTGTTCACCTTTTTTAGATTCTACATATGAGTGAGATCATATAGTATTTGTCTTTTTGTGTTTGGTTTGTTTCACTTAGCGTAATGTCCTCCAGATTCATCCATATTGTTGCAAACGGCAGAATTTCCTTCATTTTTATGACTGAATAACATTCCATTGTGTATATATAGGCAATGAAATATATGTATGTATGTATAATATACACACACCACCTTTTCTTTATATATTCATCTATTGACACTTAGGTTATTTCCATATGTTGGCTATGGCAAATAGCGCTTGATGAATATGAGCATTATGAGGTTTCAACTATTTAAAGTGACTTCTAGTCTTTCGCAAATTATTTGGAATTGATTTACTATAACCTAATAGAATAGCATTGTTCTTCCATTTTCTACTTGAAACTATGGAAATCCAGTTTAGAATCTGGCAACACTACAAGGTGAATCAATTCTAGAGTGAAGGGCTGAGAGTCCTTAGCTTCATTTCTCCCAGCTGTTTCTTTGGCTTCAGGTTAGCATAGAGGCCTCTCACTTGAATCTATTATCATAATCCTTTATATAAAATTATAAAGCACTTGGAAATTGAAGGTTAACATTTTAAACTTGAAATAAAAAATGTTTTTACAAAATGAAGTAAATGTAGTTATCCTCAGGAAAAAAGATCTTCTGTTTACTGTGAGTAATGCTGTATTGCCATGTTTTCCAAAGAACATGCTTTTCGAAATGAATATCTCCAGATGTGAAAAACTCAGTGGGATAAATTAGTTTGCAAATATCTTGGTTAAAAAATACTGTTTTAAAACAATGAAATCTTCTCTAGAGATAATTTATATTCTAATAATGGTGGTGAATATCCTAGTGGGGGCTATATCCCAAACTTATTTAACCATGAAAACACTTTTTTCTCCTGTGGAACATCTGTTTAGTAGAATACAATTTAGGTAACACCAATGAGAGCATATCTTCAGACATTAAAAATATAATTATGCTAACAGTTTGCTTTCAGCAAAATCTCCTGCTAGGTTTAAATAAATGTATACTTCAGAAAGTTAATCTATAATATCACCTTCTTTTCTTAGGTATGAGAATGATTTATTTTTATAGATTTAGTTAGAGGCTTCACAGCTAATTGACAGAATTACACATTGGAGGTGAGTCTGTCAAGGACTTTGTTGGTCAAGTTGCTGCCATGCATTTGTTTGAATAGAGCTTTGCTACTCATAAAAGGTACTGGGCATAGAAACTGAGCGTTGTTATATTCTGTTGGTTCTGCCCCAAATTTCAGCCACGGAGGTAGCCTGGATGTGATGGCTGGCTCTAGAGGCCATACAATTTGGCCACCCTCAGGCAATGATTACTTTGGCCCTGCTTTGAGCAGATGAAAAATAGAGGCATTTTTGTATATAAACACTAAATGCTATTTACTGTAGAACGGCTCGTTATGAGTAGCAGGTGGTATTTATAGTAAATTTGAAGCTTGAGCTCTTTTGTCATTGCTTCTGATACTGTTAGGGGATTTAAACAATCACTACTTTTCTGATCTAAAAATTTCCCTAAATAGCCAATTTATTAATGCTTATTTGAGGGAAATTTTGGTATTCTTTTCTGTCACCGTTCCCCTTTCATATATTCACAGTCAACTTAAAAAATTGTGAGGACTATCACGCAGCTGAATTATTTCTTTACATTATTCCACGGCTTCATTTTTAGTTCTCTTTACAGATCTGTTAAATTTTGTGTCTACATGATAGATTGTCTACCAGTATTTTATTGTTTTATCCAACATATCAATTTCCTTGTGTTCTCTTCTCAATTCTGTGATCCACCACATTCAGTATATCTCTACAGAAACCTCTTTGTACAATGTCCTATAAACAGCAAATGGGAAACAGGTTTCTTTTGTAAGTTTGCTAGATTCTAAAAACATCTTAAATATAAAGAACAAAACTTGCATTATGATTGAAAAAAATACAGAAGGGATATAAACTTACAAAGATGGTTTATAAGTTTAATTGGTGACTGTCTCTGTGATGTAATTCCAGAGATCTCACAACACTAAAAAATGAGGTTTGTAAATATTTTCTACCCCATGGGGTCTCATCTAGTTGCCTTTTAAGCCCTTTGATTAATGTTAAAGTGTGCAAAGGTCTTTGAGTCCTCAGTTAGATACATAAATGTGTTATATATTTGAGAATTTCCAGTGAATGGATTTAAGGGGGAGATTTGAGTAGGGGAAGAGACTGAGAGCGGATGGTTCATATCTTGTCAATTTTTAGTTGGAAATGTGATACATTTTAAAAATTATGGGGTAGGATATGAGAAAAGAAAGCATCTTTGCTAACACACCACTAAAAAAAATCTTTCATGGGTCTTGGGCTTATTGTTATTTGAAGCTACCCTGAAAGTCAACCACACACTTCCTAAGTGAGATGTCCAAGAGCCTCGGATTGTAAATTCTCTGACACCTGAAATCTCTTCACTTATCCAGAGAATCTTCCCTTGCTTTCTTCTTTAATGTCTGTGCCCCTTGTCATTGAACTTCAGGGCTGTGTGTCCAGTAAGTAGATAGAAGGAAGGAGGCTGGAAATAGTGGAAATCTAAGGCTATGAATCTGTGAGGCTTATATTTTGGTAACAGCAACCCCAGGAAGCAGATTATTATGCTCTAACCCCAGGCATTTGAGGCACACCTGGTCCCTGCAGCTGTTTGGCCTTTGTCAAAAAAAAAAAGGTACTCTGCACAACATGTTGGTCTTAGAAGAGGTCAATAGAAACCCATGTTATTGCTGGTCTTTACCAAGCTTATGCATTTGAAGATGTAAGTATCTATAAATTCTCCCAAAATATTATCTCTCCAATTTATTTATTTATTCATGTGTTTCTTTTTGTAGAAAAGTGGTCTTGCTATGTTGCCCAGTCTAACCAGTCTCAAACTCCTGGCCTTAAGAGATCCTTCCATTTTGGCCTCCGAAAGTGGTCTCCTTAATTTTTAGCTTAAATGTTCCATATGTCATGTGTTACGTAAATTCATTTTCTTTTCAATGATCTCTTCTCAAAAGAAAATAATTAAGGGTTGAAATTAGACAAACTAAGTTTCTTGAGCTTTTCTGGCAGAATCTTCTAGTTATAAAATAATACCACACACATAGCATTTTTATGAGAAGGAACTCATAATCCAGTCCTACTCATTTGGTTCATAGATGTGGAGGCCAAGGTCTAGAGAGGTGAAGTGCCTTGCCCAAGGGCTTCAGAGCTGGACATCAACACGAATCTTTGTGCTCCAGTCTTAGGAGGTCCCCACTACATCCCACTGCCTACTTTGCATCTTTGGATTGACTTACCTCATGTCAAATTTTTAAAAAGTTTCCCTTAAAATACTCTAAATGTCAAATGTTTGTCATAAATTTTTAGTACTAAGAACCAAATTAAAATATGAAAAATAATTACACTTCAGTAGAGAAGATTAGCATTAGATTGCTGCTAGATAAAACGCTACTTTAACTTAGTTGGAATCTGAAAATAATATTTAAAATTCACTAAAGATATAAATAAAATTTGCAAATCCACAAAATGAAAACTGGCTTGAAGAAACATAAGGTCAGAATTCAAAGAAAAGACACCTGCTTCTGTTAGCCCCTGCTTACTGTGCTATCTGCTTACCCACCTGTTCTACCAGTGAGCTTGTTCTGACCATACCCCTCCCTGTTCTTTCTTGGCTTGACAGTATTAGGAAGTGAAGAGGCTATTGTGCAATAAAGTCGTTAGCATAAACAAAATAGGTCTCCAGTTAATCTCCACTGTTGTGCATATTTCACAGATTATTTTTTCCTACTATGAGTGTTATTTTCATTGTTTTCCAAACTTTAGATGATTCCTTTGGCTTTCGGCATCTGCCTCGGAAGATATTCACTTAACTTGAAGCAGCTAACCTTGCTCTATTTCTTTCCTTTATGTTCAGCCCTGAAGTAGGCCTGGGACTGGAAGTATTTTTGGTAAGGATGTTTTGCATACAGAGGAGGAGGATAGATACAGCAGCATACTTCTGAAAAATTTATATTTTTCTAAACTAATACTCTATGTTGTAGGTTGGTTTCCCTGGGAAAAAATATTCAGATCGAGATTTTTTGCACAGGGAGTTTATTGGGAGTGCTCTTGGAAACCACACCTATGAGGCAATGAGGAAAGTAGGACTAAATAGAGGGAGAAATTGGATTGCACTGTAGTCACAATGAGGGCCTCTGTTGATCCCATGGGAAGATCTGAAGTGGAATGGCACTGTGGAGTTGACCACATAGAGGCAAGAGAGCTAGACCTGTAGACACCTATATTGACTAACATGTGGATATTAGCTGCCTCCAGAAATGGAGTGTGGGTATTGTGACCCAGGACATGGACGGTCTCTTTACCTGAGGTAGCCTTCTTCAGCCCATGATGTGTCTCAGAGATAAATTCAGCTGAGAGCCATCAGCTACCAACAATTGCAGAAGGTGGGGAAATGAGTGTTTGAGTCCCAAAGTGTTGATTTGGGAAGGACACCTTGCTACTCACAATAGTCCGCCGTTTGCACTGCTCAGATCCACATGCTTTGTATAATAAGCTCCAGGAGTAGCTCCTTCTTGATCTCAAGAGCTTCTTTTCCTAGAAAAATTGTAAGATGGAGGTTAGACCAGACATGGTGGCTCATGGCTGTGATTGCAGCACTTTGGGAGGCCGAGGCAGGTGGATTGCTTGAGCCTAGGAGATAAAGATCAGCCTGGGTAACACAGGGAGACCCCAACTCTACAAAAAAACAATTAGCCAGGCATGGTGACATGTGTCTGTGGTCTTAGCTACTCAGGAGCCTGAGAAAGGAGGATCACTTGAGCCTGAGAGTTTGAGGGTACAGTGAGCTGTGATGATTATGACACTGCACTCACCCTGGGTGATAGAAGGAGACCCCGTATCAAAAAGCAAAGCAAAGCAAAACAAAACAAAAAAAACAGGAAGGGAGGTTAGTGGAATGAATTCCAGTTCTAGCTGCTTCTCAAGGCTACTATTTAACATCTCTCTTCTATTACACACTCTAGATTCCACTTACCTTTGTCTGCTAGCACCTCTGCTAGGCTATTTTTTAAATCTGTTCCCTCAAGTATTTATGCTTTGAGTTACAAACAATCCAATTACACTCTTGAAATTATTTTAAAATGTATAATTATTATTGACTATAGTCACCCTGTTGTGCTATCAAACATTTGGTCTTATTCATTCTTTTTATGTTTTTGGTACTCATTAACCATCCCTACCTCCTCCTCACCTCTGCTGGTCTAGATAACACATTTGCTTGGATGACTGAGATCCTCATCTCTGAGGGTCCTGAGCCCCTGTTCACCATGTTCTTTGCATATGCGGCTGCTGAATTTATCCATTTTCAAGCAAAATTGTGCCAGGGAGTACCAAGATATACTGAAAATATCACTTGGATGCCTCACATGTTCTTCCATGCCTTCGTTTGTGGCATGAAGCTTAAAATGAATGGGCAGCATTTCTAGAGATTAAAGTTCAAAGGCACTCTTGCTGTGTCCTGTGGTGGAAGCATTCCCATCTGGGAGCTAGGATCTCTAAACCTGTAGAGTACAAAATTAAGAGAAAAGAAACTGTGGATTTTTCAAATGGCTTATTGACAGTGAGGGTAAGCTGGGCCACTTGTGTTTCAACCCTTTTGTTCCTGGACCCATGTGGTGTACCCATTGGGAAAATAGCACCATTAAAAGTCATTGATTTAGTGTGATACAACATTCTGGGGAAAGATTCTTCATCTTTCCAGGGCATCATTTGCAAGCAGGTGCCCCAGCTGTTGCTTTATCAGGCCTTTCCTTTGCTCCACTGGGACAGCAGCTTGCAGGTGGTGTAGTAAGTGATAGCTCCAGTGGACCGCCTTGCCGTATGGCCACTGCAAAGCATGAGAAATCCTGTGTCAGTGGATGAAACACTGTGTAAACTCAGAGGGAGGCTAGGTTGGGTTCTGCAGGTAGAAAAGTAAAACCCATACACCAAACGTATGCTGATTCTATTAAAGTTGAGTTGCTGCCCCTTTCAAGACAAAAACAGCCTAATCTGATCAACTTGCCAACAAATAGCTTTGCAGTCTTCTTGAGGGGTAGAGCCATTTGAGCAGCTAAGATTTGATCTCTGTTGTTAGCAAGTTGGACATGTGGCATTAGCAGTAGTTAGATCAGTCTTAGTGAGTGGGAGCTCATGCTGCTGGCCCATGCATAGCCTCTATCCTTGCCACTATACTACTCAACTCATGTATCTATAGTGCAACCATGAGGTGGTCAATGACAGGCTCCTAACCCCAGCAGCAACAATCCAGTTTCATAGTCTTTATAATTATTATCTTTCATATTTCTTAAAGCTGAAGATACCACACCCATAAGTGTAGTCACTTCCACCACTATCCTCTCTCTGTTCATGCTCAGCGAAAGTTTTAATACTTGTCCCAACACTCCAGGTTAGGAGCTGTCAGTATTTCACTTACCACCAGTGATGAACTTTTCATGGTTGATTGGTCGGTAGGTGATTCAGCAGCAAAATGTCATTTTATAGTTGTTTTCCTTGAATCACTCCTGGCACCAATTGTTACAGAATGGATTCCCCTAAAAAACAGAGGCTGAGAAGGAGATCTGCATGCAGAAACTTTATAAGTGTATGTTCCTGGGGTCAATACCCATTTTGGGTTGAAGGAAAAAAGATTGTGTAGAGAGAAGATAAAATGAGAGGCCTTGCATAAAGGTCCCAGGTGATTTCAGAGGGAGCTCTGGAGCTGTGATGGCCCTTTAGTTGAGCCATGATGAGGGTCTGGACCTATATACATCTAAACAGGTTGGCCATTGAATGTCAACTGCCCTTAAGACGGAGGCAACTTTAGAGGCCAGGCATGGTGGTCCACACCTGTAATTCCAGCAATTTGGGAGGCTGATATGGGAGGATTGCTTGAACCCAGGAGTTCAAGACCAACCCAGAAAACATAAGACTCTATCTCTATAAATAAAGATAAAAATAAAATAAAATAATTAGCTAGGCTTGGTGGCACATGCCTGTAGTTCTAGCTACTGGGGAGGCTGAAGTGGGAGGATCACTAGTCCAGGAGTTTGAGGCTACAGTGAGCCATAATCATGCCATTGCACTCCAGCATAGGCAACATAGCAAGACTCCATCTCTAAAAAACAAAAAATTAGCTGGGCGTGGTGGAGTGTGCCTGTGGTCTTGGCTACTCAGTAGGCTGAGGTTGGGGGATTGTTTGAACCTGGGAGGTTGAGGCTGAAGTGAGCTGTGATCACACCACTGCACTTCTGGGTGAGAGAGCAAGACTATGTCTTAAAAGAAAAAAGAAGGAAGCAACTTTAGTCTCCCAATAGCTGGAGGTGATGGAAAAAGGAGCAGTGTTTCAGTCCTGAAAGCGGATTAAGGGATGGGATATCTGGATGGAGCACCACGGCATGCACTATATTATTTATTGCATAAAATTTGCAAAAGGCAAAAAGTGTAAAAAGAAAGATAAATGTGACTCATAATACCATCACCTAGATTTAACTGCTGTTAGTATTTTGATATATTTTCTTCCCTCCTTTTTCCTAGGTATCTATATTTCCTGCATATTTGGAAGCATACCCAAAATATTTCACATATTACTGCATCACTTAACATAATTTACGTAATTCTTCATATTATTGAAAATAAATGTCATATCCTTAATTTTAGAGGCTCTAAATATTTCAACTTGTTGATGTACCTTCACCTAACAATTTCTATATTATAAGTTGGGATCTCCTATATTTTATGAATATAAATAATAGCGGTATAAATTTAAACTGTTGGTCCTTGATCTAAACATATCTCAAAGAGTTCTCTTCTTTCTTGTGAACTAAAAAGTAAATCTTCATCAGAAAGATTCTCTCAACGTTCCCTTCCTGAAATGCTGGGATTTTTTTGTTGTGATGGGGAAAAGAAATAACAGCTGGTCATTTTCTGATTTTCTTGTGTTGTTACTTCAATTCTGCCCCTCACCAGAGGGGCAGATCACCAGGTATGTGATTTCAGGTTACTCAGTTAAGTCCTCCGACCCTAAGATCTTACATCAGTAAGTGTATAATTCCTGCCATTCTCCCTCACAAATTTATTGTGAAAAACCCACACACTCTCCTAACATGGAAGGGATTGTTTTGTAGTGATGATGATCCTGTCTAGGGGTAGGAGAATAGTGTGATGGGCAGAACTAGAAAAATAACAAAACAAAACCTGTCCTTGTTTTTGTGAACTGTATTCCAATTTGCCTAGTGTCACATTTTCACAGACAAATGAAGAAAAT
This sequence comes from Homo sapiens, assembly GCF_000001405.40. NCBI lineage: Eukaryota > Metazoa > Chordata > Mammalia > Primates > Hominidae > Homo > Homo sapiens. Next base: position 56,510,700 of record NC_000002.12, read on the forward strand.
GAGACTCATTAGCTTTGTTTCAAAACAGACAGGGGCTGTGCTTGCATAGCAACCAGCAGCAAGATGGAGAAGAGCAGGGTTCAGCTGACAGTCCAGATGCTTGCTGATTCTCAGGATGCAAACAAAGCATCTGGGTGGTTGACTGAATCTCCCATTCACCATCACGGTGCTTGGTCTCATGTAGACAGTATTGCCAGTTGGTGAGACGGAAGTAGATCATCCATATGGACAGAAATACATAGATTTATATGGATCCCAGTCCAGTATGTTTGAATGTACAAATGTCTCTCTTTGTACCCACATAAGTGGGAATATTAGGCAGGGGCAGCCGTAAAGACTGTAGAGATGTAAATGATGACAGAATAAATAGTCTTCTATCCTACTACAGATAAGCAAAGGGAAGCTTTTTAAAATAGAGTGTTAGGCTGGGCACAGTGGCTCACGCCTGTAATCCCAGCACTTTGGGAGGCTGAGGCTGGTGGATCACCTGAGCCCAGGAGTTTAAGACCAGCCTGGACAACAAGGTGAAACCCCATCTCTACTAAAAGTACAAAAGAATTGGCTGACTGTGGTGGTGTGCATCTGTAGTCCCAGCTACTTGGGAGGCTGAGGTAGGAGGATTACCTGAGCCCGGGAAGCAGAGGCTGAAGTGAGCCGAGATTACGCCACTGCACTCCAGCCTGGGCGAGAGAAGGAGATCCTGTCTCAAACAAAACAAAACAACACCAAAGAGTATTTTATGTACTATCCCAGGTTGGTGTGTGTTTACTTCCTTTATCTTATGCCTTTTCAAATTGGGACCTTTCCAGAAGGCATAAATCATTGTAATTAGTAGGAGGAGATTCCATAGATCCGGGCTTCTTTTCATGTATCTAAGAATGACAAGGCTGGAGACCCTTCAGAATGTGATGCCAATGAGTTAGAAACCCTAGGCCCTAACCTGAGTCAATGCATCCAGATTCCAGATTAAGATGGGATGTTCAGGGGATTTGAGTGTCTCATCTACCCCCCATCTCCAACCAGGCATAGAGGGGAGGAGAGCCTATTAGTTTTCTAGAGGGAGGAAGAAATTAGCTTTCTCAGTTCCTCATTCTTCTCCCTTCTGCTCCTTTACTTCTGTAGCCTTGTAGGAACTTTGGAAATGTGATTGGTTATTTTTAAAATGTATTTATCCAGGGTTATGATTAATCAGACATTCACCAGGAAATCTATCTTTTCTTTTGAGGTTTTTTCATTGACTCTGTATTTGTTATAACTAGAAATTATATAACACACATGTAATAACCTAAAACACGATATAATATTATCCTAAGTAGTATTTGTTCGTCATTCAGTATGTGCTTCTATATGTATTAGGCACCCAAGAGCCAACAGAGTATGAGGGGAAATAGCTCCTGGTACCTGATGTCTCCTTATCTCTCATTCACACCTCAACCCCCTGAAATATGACTCCTGCTCCTACAAGTTAATTGAAATGTCTCTTGCCAAAGTCAATGATGACCTCTGTTGATAAATTCAGTAGAGAGTTAGCTTTTATCTTATTTGACCTCTCAGCAGCAATGCGACAAGGCTGACTAGTTTCTCCTTGAAAAAGCCCCTTCCCAGGCTCCTGGGATACCATACTGCCTGGCTTTCCTACCACTTCTCTCTGGTACCTCTTTCTTTGATCCTTAGCATGTTTCTCCCTCCTCTGCTAATCCTTCCAATGTTGTTGTTTCTCAGCATACTGCTCTAGTCTCCCTCTTCCTCTCCTGTTTGTATTCTCCTTTTCTATCCTGTTCTCACTTCACCCAGCCTCCCTGAGTAAACAAAACCATCCCAACATGTCTGCAGTCCCTAGTTTCATATATGCTATATAGCTCCTTATACATCTGATGTTTAAAATTTTGTTTTCATCTGAATCTTCACACCTGGACACTAGCCCATTTAGCAAATGACCACTTGTAGATCTTGATTTTGTTGTCTCACAGGTGCTTGTATTTTACTCTAATCAAAGAAAAATTCATCCTCTTCTCCCACAGATTTGACTGTCATCCATTTTGCCTTTCTCACTGAATGGTACAAATGTGCAACTCACAGTGTAAGTCAGAAATATGAGTGGCATGGTTAAAGTGAATTTGAGTCACATACGGGTATTTGTTTCTATCTTGTGTTTCTGTTTTGTTTTGTTTGTTTATTGAATCCTCCCAGTGGCAACAAACCTCAGATTGAATTCCTTGCCTCCTGTGAATAAAAAAAGCATCTCCTGCCTAGGGAGTGCTGTTCTTTTCTGTGCTTCTGTTGGCTGATCATTGTCTTCAGATGCAGGGCAGCAGGATGTCATTTCTAGTTAGGATTGTGCCAGGAGGTCTCCCCGCTGTGGGAATAAAGCCAAGGGCCCCTCCTGCAAAGGTACACAGTAAGACAGCCAAGATGAGCTAGGAACTGGAATTTTAATTTTCAGTGTTGGTGGTACAGAGATGTGGATGAGGGATTGTTTTAGCATAAGAAATTAAATGCCTGTCAACATAGTCTGCAGAATTAACATAGAAAAAAATCATTTCCAGCATTTTTCAGGGCTTAGATTCAATGAGTAGTTATTGGCATCATTATTTAGTAGGAGGATTTCTATCAACAGACTTGATATATCTCTGCATCCTAATTTCAATGTATTTTTTTTCCTGTTAGCAAGAAGAATGTTATTATCTGTTAGATTTGGTGGTGGAAGCAAAGCAGAAGGAAGCAGAGAATATGAAATTGTGAACTCAAGCAGTAACAATATTTAGAAAAGGAAACAATCCCAGGAGAAAGAATTGGATAAACTTGATAGGTTTTCTAATTTCTAAATGTTCTTACATATCTAACCAATTTCATGTGCTCTCTGCCATGTCTATGGTATACCTTAAAAATCAATTTAGCCCTTCAGGAAACTGGGTTGGCATGCTTTAGCACAATATTTTTACCAGATTTAGAAATGATCATTATCATTTTTCCTGGGGTTATGATGGGTCTGAAGAAGGTTAGTAGCAGAAGACAAAATAAGAAGCACTATTTTACAATGAGAGAATGACATTTAAATTGTTACCTTTCAAAAATTGTTTATTAGCCATGCTGACCTCTCTCTGAGGAAGTATTGGAACATGAAAAAATATGAAATTGTACACTTTTTTTCTCTTTTCTTAACCATTAGGAGATTGTAACAAGTTCCTACCCCTTAGCAATGGGTATTTTTGAGCCCCACTGGGTAACATGGTATTATAGGCATGAAGTATAAAAAACTTAGGATGTATGTTTACCAAGAAGATTTAAGTGATCATCCAAGCTCCCACATACTTCCTGAAAATTCTGCAGAGTGAGTGTTTTTAATCCAGTTCATGAGATACTGAACTAACATGGGAAAGGAGTCTGGAGGCTTTAAGCATGTTCATTTAGGTAGTAATTTCTATCTTATGTGTTATCAACCTTTATTAGAGTGGTTAATAAGCAGCTAAAATGAGACTGATTGTGGTTTAATTTTATTTAATTTCCCTAGTCTCCACTTAAATGAAAGGCATTAAGTAGCAGTAAGTTGACCAGGCCTCCCAGACAGAGGTGAGAGGAGAAAGAAGAAAAGCACATGTGCAGTTTCATCTGAGATTGGACAAACAGCTTCTGGGTTATAAGGAACTGACTCTACCTTTCTGGAGAAGCTGCAGTTTTATCTGGAGGATACAGGAAAGCACATAATGAGGCATAAATATCATATATTATTTTCTTTGCAGCATGAGATAGTTTTGACTTTTGTTCCTGTACTATTTAGGCTCAGGGTTAGGGCACTAGGGATGCAGACAGCTTGAGTGCAGGATGGAGCATCTGGGTCGTATGCACAGAGCATTAAGCAAACATCTCGTATGCCCACACTTTAGACAATTCTGACAGCTGCTGGAACAAACTATTTTGCAGTACAATTATACAAAACTAAAAGCAGTCAGCAATTGTATTTACCATTGTGAATTGTGTTCCAAATCTTATTCTCTCTGAGATACTCATTTTAATGAGCTAAAGATGTTCACCTAAAAAAATAAAAGGTTTTGTATATAAGCATCTTCAAAAATGTTTTTATACTGTCTGGCGCTGTTACTACATTTCTTCCTGAACATATTATGATTCCTAAGTTAGATCCTACTAGAGCCAAAACTCAGGTCTGTAATTTGTTGAAATGCTCTATGATAGTGAGTTCGTGAGACCTTACTGTCTTTATCCACTAGGAACAGACTGAATGTTAGGAATTGGGCCACACTGAATTTATGATGATGCTTATCTTCAGTCTTTCTAGAGAATATAGGCTACCCAATGAGTGAAATGACATGACAATAAAGCATGTTTATGTAGCTTAGCTTTCTGAAACCAAGGATGTTATAGGACATAGCAAGCTCAAAACATTGAAACTCTTAGCAAATTTGTTAATTTTAGATTTGTTTGGTTCCAATTAAATTTCTTTTTTTTCTGCCACCTTGCAGGAAGTGCTAATAACCAATGGTATGAATAACTCATGATAGAAGCTAGATGAGATATCATTCTCCTTATATGCTCATTGAATCTTTTGCATATTTGCATCATAGCCATAACTTTGTTGTCTTGTATTTTTGTGTGTCTTCCCTGCAGACCATGAGTTGACATAAGAAATCCTTCAGGCCAAATCCTGCCCACTTCTTTTTTTTAATAAATAAAGTTTTATTGATAACACAGCTCCATGCATCTGTTTATTTATTGCCTGTATCTTCTTTTGTGTGGCAATGGAAGAGTGGAGTAGTTGGAACAGAGACTATATGGCAAGCAAAGCCCAAGTATTTACTATCTGACCTTTAACAGAAAATGGTTGCAGAATCCAGCTGCAGCCTATGACCTCTTGAGAAGCTGGGATTCTTTTCTGTTGCCTAGGAATCCCAAATGCATTGCACAGTACTTGGCATATGGTAGTAGGCACTCAATGTCATTATTAAGAAGCATCAGCAGCATTGAGATTAGTCAAGTGCTTACTGTCTTTCAGGCACTCTGCTAAGTGTTAAGTGCCTTTAGCTGCATTATTTTATTGATTCTGCTCAACAACCCCATGAAGTAGGTATGCTATCATTGTCCTCATTTTATAGGTGAAGAAACTAAAACACAAACATGCTGAATGTTGTTTAAAAAGTCACACAGCTGGTATGTGGTGAAGAAGAAGAAAGGTGCTGAAAGATTTTAAAAAAGTCACATAGCTCGTATGTGGTTGACCAGTATTCATAGATTCAAATCTTAGTACCTACACTTACTAAGTGATTAATGAAAACTCAGTACAGTGAAGCAAAGAGCCTGAGTCCCCTACAAATTACACGGCCCCAACAAGGACACATGCCAGAGGCCACCATCCTAGAGGGCTGCACCTTTTTGAGAAGGTAATAAATGGCTATTCTTCTTTTCCTCCCTGCTCTCACTTTTTTAAACCTTCTCTATCTGTTGCACTGGTAAGTAAAGGTCTGAGTGTGTCCTTTGCCAGGCAGGGCTTTATAGAGGACTAACATGGGCCAAGGTGAGGACTTGTGTGGAAAGAAAGCAAGAATGGCTGCTTGACTGTTTCTGGGTCAAGTCTCAGGGCTCTGATTTCTGTGTTGTTCAGCCTAGGTAGATAGGGGAGCAGATGAGTGTTAGAACAGAAGGCTTAGTGTGGTCATGGCTGTACATTTGGCTGGTTCAGATCCTGTGTCTTTTCTCTTGGGAAACTGATGGAAGCAGTGGGTTTTGGATTTGGGGTGGTAATGACTGAACCAAGGGATCCCTAATGTCCACCAGAACCAGCAGTAGAAAACCTCAATAGCTGGTAAATGACTGACAACCACTGTCTGCCTTAAACTGCAATATTGGTAGCTTTGTCAAGTAGTAGGTAGTAAATACAAGAAGTTCACTGACTGCACTACCATCCAGAGATTTTTATGTGAAGAATAAAAAATGACAGAGATTCAGTCAGTATTTCAAAACCCACAATCAGTTATTAAAGGGGAATAATATGCTCAGTATATACTGATGATCAGGGTAAATAGTGGAGTCAACCAGTTTACTGACTGTGGCAAATACTGAGCTCCCTAACAAAATATTATTATATATGTATCTAAACATGTATAGTAGTAAGCATGTATATAGCAGGACGGCTCATTGATTTGGTTCCCACAGAACTTCATTTTCTCTTATACGTTTATTTTTAATTTTAAAAGATGAGCTAAATTCTAATATTGTGTGTCTCAATAAGAAGGTTGAAGTATTATGTTTTAATCAAATAGTTTGATAGTCTCAAATAACCTAAAGCTATCCTCAGATTATTTATTGATTCCTTCTTGTTTATTTCCCAGTATCGTTATTCTTCTTGTCTTCCAAGGTTCCCCCAACCAGGGCACTGTGGCCTGTGCATACCCACAAGTAAGCACTGGGAGTACTTGAGAAACCTGGGAAGCTTCATTAAATTTCCAGGACACCAGGGTAAGAATCACTGTGCCAAGCCAGTCATTTACAGAAAGGCAAAACCCTTGTGCTTTGAATTCTCTTGTTACCACCTCAGAGGTCCATAGAAATCTTCTGAGTTTTTGTTGTTCTTTCTTGGTCTGTTTTTCTTGAAGGAAGAACTCACTAGGTGTGTTTTTATGTACAATTTTACTCAGTAAACTGAAATTACAATATGGAAAACATATAATTATGGAATCAAGCAAGCAGTAATCATTTTGTACAAAATGCCAGAAATCTACAACTATGGCAATTACTGTGGCACACCTAGCTGAGATCAAATTTGCATAGTATTAATGTCTAAGTGATACTCCATGTGGCTCAAAAGAATAAAAAATTTTCTAATCCAAGAGGACTTGCAAATGATAAGCACAGGAAACAAGCAGGGTCTCTTCATTCACCTGGCAAATTTATATATCTTCCCTTCTGAAACTGCTGGTGAAGTTTTATTCTTTTATTTGTGTAATCATCAAAGGATGGCTTTCATAATATTTCTACTGTGAGTTTTTAAAGCACTGTACCTTCTGATAATTGTCATATACCTCATTTTATTCTCATAACACCCCTTTAAGGTGAACATGAAGCTTTTTCTGCTTTCAAATGGCCTTGTGTTCCAGAATCTAGTGGTTTGCCTATAACAGTCTGAAAGAGTTAATAATGCTGAGTGACAGGAACTCAGCTTCTCCTGACTTCAAATTCTCTTTTCCTTAGTGTGGGGAAAATCACATTTTACCTGCTCATAAAGTCCTCTATTTTCTCTTTCTTTTTTTGTCTTAGTTCTAAATAGCTAAAATTAAAAAAAATACTAGATTACATTTAGTCTCACTTTCACAATGTGAGGGAAGCAGACTATATCTAAACCCTTCTCAGCTTTGATTTAGTTACTTTTCAGAGTCTTTGGAAAGGAACGTCTGCACACAGTGAGAACATTTCATGAAAGACAGCAATAGCTAACACTTGAGGTGCGAAACACTCTACTGCATCATATGGGGAAGGTTTTATAGATGAAGAAACTGAAGCTTCAGGAAATTTAAATAATGTATTTAAGACCACATAGCCAGTAAGTGGAAAAGCAGGGATTCAAACCCAAGCAGTCTGGCTCCAGTGCCCAGACACTGAATATTGCTTTGCTATAGCTTGGCTGTATCTTTTTTTCATATCTAGATGGATGTGAATTTCTATTAAGCTAAAGTAGAGATAAGCATAGCAGATAGGTAACAAGCGCCAAGAAATAAAAATGGGTTTGATACCTTCAAAGTGCTTCTAACCCTCATGGTCATCCTGGAGACATTAACAGACATAACAAAGAGTAGCTCTGTAACTTCAGAATGTCTTTTTTTCACGTATCCTAATTACAGAATATTGTGCTTTGGAGGGATTGGTCTCTGAAGTTCTCCTTTTCCATCTCCACTGAAATGTGGCCAATTTGTTCTATGGCTATTTAACATCTTTGGTTAGTGCCCAAAGTCTTCTTTCAGTTTTAACAAGGTCACACAAGTGTTGGTGGAAGTTGCATTTCTTTATAGACTTATAACCTACTTTCTTGGCTTTTCTACTCTATTCCTCTTCTGTACTTATATATTTGGCCTTATCATGTTTCATACCTGTGTTGTACTAAACAGTAGCAAGTGAGGAAAAAGAATTCACAAGGGCTGTGTGGATTCTCAGGATAACTAAAGCAGGCCATCATGCTAAAGGTGCTGGCCACGATGGAGCCATGCACCAGACATGCTGCCATGAGACATTCATGCCTATCAAAACATGGCCCAGTGATGACTCTTCAGTTATCCCATAGTGGAAGACAGTGCAGAAGTGCTTCACGATCCTACTGTCACTTAGATTGACCTACTTTAATGACATTGGAAAAATAAAGAAAATGGTATTTTAGGTTGTGGACAAAAGTACTGTTTTTAAAAGGTACCAATCAAGATGCCTCCTGGTCACACCAGGACTCTAATGAAAAGCCTTGTTTCCAATTTCCAGGCTGACACAGCTCTTTGTACTACTCGCTGTAACATTTTTCAATGTGTAGCAGACTTCAAATAAAAGTCAGGCAGTAACTTCATTACAGTATCCTAACCCAGCCCTGTAGCAATTCTATAATTACCAGTTAGCAAATGCCTGTCCTGCTGTGTACTTGTGTCTACCTGATCATAGGTTTCTAAGAGGTCAGTATAACACATCCTCAAAATGATCATGGCTTAATATTTACAAAGACAAATACCATAATATTTGTTCCTAAAAATGTACATTTTTATGCATGTACTTTACTTTTTAATTGTATATATTTATACACATACAACATGACTTTTATATATGCATTATACATGTATGCATATATATGCATTATACATGTATGCACATATATGCATTATACATGTATGCACATATATGCATTATACATGTATGCATATATATGCATTATACATGTATGCATATATATGCATTATACATATGCATTATATATGTATGCATATATATGCATTATACATGTATGCATATATATGCATTATACATGTATGCATATATATGTGTATATATACACACACATAGTGAAATGATTACTACAGGTAAGTAAATTAACTTATTCATCACTTTCCTTAGTTATTTCTCTCTCTTCCCCTCTCTTTTTTTTGGTAATAACTCCTAAAATCTACTCTCCTAGCAAATTTCTAATATACAATACAGCAGTATTTACTATAATTCTACTATTATTCATTAGGTCTCTAGACTTACATATACTACATAGTTGCGTGTTTGTACTCTTTGACCTACATCTCCCCATTGCCTCACCCTCCACCCACTTACCCCTGGCAAACACCCTTCAACTGTTTCTGTGTATTCACATTTTTAAAAAATTCCACACATAAGTGTGGTAATGAAACATCTTTCTTTCTGTGTGTAGCTTATTTCACTTAGCATAATGCCTTCTAGGTTTATTTGTGTTGTTGCAAATGGCAGCATATCCTTTTATTAAGCTAAGTAATAAGTTCTATGGAAGTAGATGTTCATCCTTGGGGAGTTTCATATAAATTATCTTTGACAACCTCAGCCAGGGGTTAAACTTATTTAGAAGGAATTATAAACCTTGCCATGCATTTAAAAGCTAGGATTGGGCCTCTTTTTATTATGGCAAATTGAAAAGTTTGGTTTACCTCGCACTTACTGAAAATCAGATCTTTTATGCCAAAGCATAGCTCTGTGCTGATTTCTTACACCTGTCTGTATTAGTGGTAATGTTTTATATTGTACTGTTTTGAGGAGACAATGGGGGATCTTGTCTTTAAAACTTCTGAATATCTGGTTTCATTTAGGTATATGGCAGTGTAAACAGGACTGTCTTAATCCATTTGGGCTGCTATAACAAAAATACTGAAATCTTGGTGGCTTATAAACAACAGAAATTTATTTCTCACAATTCTGGAAGCTAGAAAGTGCAAGATCAAGGTGCCTGTACATATATTGACTGGTGAGGTTCTTGCTTCCTGGTATATAGAATGGCACTTTCTTACTTTGTCTTGGCATGGTGGAAGGGACAAGGCAGCTCTCAGGTACCTCTTTTAAAAAGGCATATGATCCCATATGTGAGGGATTTACCCCATGACCTAATCACTCCCCAAAAGCCCCACCTTTTAATATCACCTTGGGGGTTAGAATTTCAACATATGAATTTTGAGGAGAAAAAGCATTCAGACCATAGCATGGGGTCCTAGTCCAGATAACACACATTTGCCACTATAAGTTGTGTAGTACTCCCAGGTAGTTATTATTTAGATCAGAGAATTAGATGTTCTTGTGTTGTTTTGTTTTGGTGTAATTCTATTTATCTGGAAAATTTGTGACTCTGATTCTGGGTCATGAAAAGGAAGAGTAGAAGCAAGGCCTATCACCAATAAAACTGGAAAGTTCTAGAACTATAAATCTAAAATCTAACCTAGTGTTTTATTTATTTTCTTATTCATTCCGTAGGGCACCTTCTAAGTGATTGTGATACATCAATGGACAGGACATCTATCACATCAGCTACCTCACTTTTTGCTAGCATTCCCTTGTTTCTCTCCCTCTCTTGGGTTCGTCACTCCTTGAGCAAATATTTATTGAGTATTTATAACCTATGGAGTACTATCCTGGTTCTCGAATGGCCTTGTAATTTTTTTCAAACAGATTTAGAGAAGGAGGTCAGTAAGTTCTATATTCCCAAATGTGACTTGAAACCAACTTGAAACCAATCAACCTCTTTCTCTTCTAGGGGTGAAAATTTTGAAGTCTTGTTTGAACATAGAGACACTGGCTTTTTCTAAAGGAATTTTGGTATTAAGTAGGTGATGGCTAAGTTACTGGCCTTAGAACCTAGTGTCTATGGATATGCCTGTCTGGCATTCATAGCTAATCAGAAGCTTTCTCTCTTCCACTTTTACTTAGCAGGTAGGAAAGTTGAGGCCACGGAGGTTTTGAATTGCCAAAGGCTTCACATCAAGTCTCTATCAAAACCGACACTGGAACCCGGCTTTTCTGATTCCTAATCTAACAGATTTTTATTTCACCTGGTTGGGTAGGAGGAGAACCTAATATGGAATGAGCCCAGAGAGGACTAAAAGGCTAAAAGTTAGACCCAAAGCAGAATTTGTAAGAATTTGACCTGACAAAGTGAGGTTAATGGAAGACTTCATAACTAGCTGCATTCAAGGATATAAACAGTTTCTACATCAAAAATTATGATGACCAACAGCATAAAAAGAACACATATATTAAGGTTGTACTGTGAATATTTGGGTGAGGTATAAAAAATCTTCCTAATGTTAAAAGGGGGAAAATGTTTCTAGAAAAAAATTACAGAAATTTATTTTTGAAAGATGTTTTTTAGGAAATAGAGTGTATGCTTGTGTGTGTGTGTGTGTGTGTGTGTTTAGTTGCAAACCTACTGTTTAAATGCAATAAAGCGTAGGTAAAAAGTGGAGCTGTGCTTACAGAGAATCCAAGCCATCATGGTTTCTATGAGCTCCTAAGAGCACAGTCTGGGCCAGGCATGGTGGCTCATGCCTGTAATCCCAGCACTTTGGGAGGCTGAGGCGGGTGGATCACAAGGTCAGGAGTTTGAGACCAGCCTGGCCAATATGGTGAAGCCCCATCTCTACTAAAAATACAAAAATTAGCCGGGTGTGGTGGCATGCACCTGTAGTCCCAGCTACTTGGGAGGCTGAGGCAGAAGAATCACTTGAACCTGGGAGGTGGAGGTTGCAGTGAGCCGAGATCACACCACTGCACTCCAGCCTGGGTGACAGACAGAGTGAGATTCCATCTCAAACAAAAACAAAAACAAAAACAAAAAACAAAAACAAACAAACAAAAAAACAAAGCAGAGTCTGAATGAAAAGCCCTGAGCCAGATTATAATTTGCCAGAATGGTTTTACCTTAGGGTAGAGAATGGCTTTATGAGAGTGCTTCAGCTCTGACATTCCAGGAAGGGCTCTTTGCTTGAATATTAACAAGTAGTTTGGCAACGTACGTGATATTCAGCAGCCATTGACTCATGCCCTTTCATTTAAACTAAAGTGAATAATCAGTGCTGTGCTCAACATAAGGCCTTTCACACAGTGGGCTCTTGACAAATATTTGATGAACAAATGCTGTTCTTATGCGTAGTAGAGAGCTCTACTTCTCTAAACGAGTTGGTGAAAAGCAATGAGAAGTCATGGCCCAGAGTTAATTTTGGCTTCTTATCCACTCTACACAGGGTATTGGATTTCACCCCATGGGATGGCTGCCAATGATAAAATTTTCCCAGCTCTGTTTGTATTTATGGCCTGGGCAGGAGCTGGAAGGGCTGTGGCAGCAGAAACATGAGACCCAGACCCGGAGCCAACCTGACTCCATCAATATCTTCCTGCTCAGCACTTCAGAAATGTTTCCTGTATTAACTTCTTTGGACAGTAATTAAGGAAGGAAGGATATTTTTGAAAGAGCAACTTATAAATGCGGAACAGATATCTAAATGTGCTCTGGGTTGGACATGTTTTACAACTAGGATTTTCACAAGTGAATTTTTTCCCTGTTTTTCTTGCTCTGGCCTCTCATGGCTATGGGGAAGTGACTTCAAGGCGTTATGGATTTTGGATGTTGCCAAGTCAATCTACCACAGAATGTGTGGCTTTGGAGAGCAGTAAGTCATTTTCCTGGGTTCGTTGACTTTTTAGGGACCTCACAAATATTTTCAGTACTAGCATATAAGAAAGATTTTATCTTTATAGGCAGAAGGACATTTTGTAACTCTTCCTGCTCCACCTCTAAGAAGTACATTTTTAAATGGTGCCTTCCTTATCATTTTTTCTTCTCTGTATTTTATTTAACATGGAAATAGCATAAAAATAACAACTCAGAAATAAAGACAGAAGAAAGAAGTTGCCCCAAATATCACCACTCAACTATAGCATGTGTTTTAATTTTCAGTGATTCCTTATAGATACTATTCATACAAATATTATACAGTGTTAATCAAGGTGTAGACAGAATTATGGTCTCCATTTCATGTCAAACTTGATGTTTATATATATTCCATGTTGAATAATTTCCATAAATTATCACATTAGTGGCTATTTTTTGTGGATATATTCCATCTTAAGACTTGCTCTGTTGTTTAATGCTTATTCAAAAAGTGTCCAAGTTTTCCTAGTTTAAAAATTGCTGAAATGAGTAATTTCACATATGTAGTTTTTTGTCTTTCTTTTGAAAACAACTCAGCATATAACATGATATTTTCAAGTAGGTATACATTGTGGAATGACTAAGTTTAGCTCATTAACATATGCATTACCTCACATAGTTATCATTTTTGTGGTGAGAACACTACATTCACTCTCAACATTTTTCAAGAAGACAGTATATTAACTATAGTCATCATGTTGTACAATAGATCTACACTTGAAAACATCATGTTGTACACAGTAAATACAAATTAATCTGTCATTTTAAGATATAAATAAATAAGTCATAAAACAGATAATCTTTTGCTTCAAGAAATTTACATTTTAGTGGAGATAGGCATTCATGAAATAAAACAAGTGGGTAGCAGTTGCTATAGCAGCTGGGTACAGTGAGACAAAGGACATTGGTGAATTCCTTTTGAGCAGAATGTTATATATATAAAACATATATAACTTCACATATATATGTATAACATATATAACTTCAGGTGTGTGTGTGTGTGTATATATATATAGATAGATAGATAGAGTCATGTGTGAAATGATGTCGTTCTTAAGTCTTGAAAGATGTGTAGAATTTAACCAAGTATGTGAAAGCAGAAAAGGAGTTGTAGGCATAGGGAAGGGCTTGTGCAAGGGAATGGAAGCCTGGTAAATTCTGGGAACTGCCAGGAGTAGGAATGATTGGAGGTCCATGTGGAAGAGGGCCAGCCTCAGGGCTAAGGTGGGAATCAAATGATGAAAGGCCTTGAGTGCCCAGTTTGGGAACTGGATTTTATCATGTAGGCAATGATAGTGCAATTATTATAATACTTCAGGTAGGAGGGGAAAAGCTTTGGGCTCTATGGAGTTTTATGTGCATGTGGGCTCAGGAGAGAACTAAAAAATTTTAAATTCGTAGATATACATGACACTTGGAAATATTTGAGTAGATGTCATCACCAAGGAGGATTGTGTAGAATGAGGCTGGCCAAAGACAGAGAGTTGGGAAGTAAGACCAGTTATGGAGGAGGCACGAGGGGGAAGAAAGCAGAGGTATAGAACTGACTAGGAAGGCAGCAGGGGAATCAAGTTTGAATAGCCAGAATTATTTATTGGATAAGTATGTTTTGATAAAAAAAATCTCCTGACTTTTATTTGTAGCACTGTCTCTGTATTAAATTCCTAATTATCAATTGGTGTGAGTTTTCTCTATCATGTAGGCATTAGTTCATTGTAAAAGCCATATTTGACATTTATTCTTACTAGTCCATTTTTGTATTTTTAAGTTTTTGATTTTATCTATCATGAGTGCAAAAATTTTAGCATTTGAATTGTGATAATGTTCTTCTGTGATTTTTTTCTTTTGTGTGGAAGTCTAGGCAGATTAATTAATATGGATTGAAGGGATGAGGGATAGATTTAGGGATTCCAGTAAGGAAGCAATTATGGTGTCCTGATGGCCTGAAATAATGGAAAGAGCAGTAGGACAAGAAAGGAGGAGATAAGTAGTGCAAGAGTTATTACAGAAGTAAAACTTACAGGTCTTTCATAAGCAATGGTAAGCATTAAGAAATAATTTTTGGAAGCTGAAGTATTAGAGAATGGAGAAAGAAATCAGAGCTTTATGCTTTTATAATATTTCAGGCAATTTCTAGTTGTTTACATATATTCAATCATTCAAAACTATTTACTGAGAACCTGCTATGAGCATAACACTGTTTTATGTGGTCAGAATATATTAATGGACAAAGCAAAGATTCCTGTCCATACTGAACTTACATTTTGAGAGATGAAGGTGATGATGATAAACAAAAATAATCATAATAACAGATGCAGAGTACATCATGCATTTGAAGTCAAAGTGATTACTAGTCTCAAAGTGATTACTAGTCTCTGTTTTCTTTCTAGATTTACTTCTATCTTTCTCTTTCCTGCCCAGAGCTCTGGGAGTCTGACTTTTACAGATTAATCAATGGGTTCTGTTGCCTTCTGGCCTCCAGCTGCGTTCAACTAATGGGAGATACTAAAAGGAAATCAGAGTTTTGGAGGAGAATGAGAGTTGTTTTCTTGTCTGTGGATCTAAATGTTGACGGTGGCTAGGCTTATCTAGCAAAAGGCACAACTTGTGTAAGATGCTTTCTGCTACAGGATTTAAATAAAGTAGTTGGGTTTCATTGAAAATGAGACATTTGAGTAAAAAAATCAAAGGTGATGAAACCATTATTAAAGTGGATATCTGAAGTTGTGTTAGGCTGTTTTTGCGTTGCTATAAATAAATAAATAAATAAATAATAAAAGAGGTTTAATTGGCTCACAATTCTGCAGGCTTTACAAGAAGCATGGTGTTGGCATCTGGTCAGCTCCTAGTGAAGCCTTGGGAGCTTTCAGTCATGGCAGGAGGTAAAGCAGGAACAGGCACTTTACATGGGAAAAAGCAGGAGCAAGTGTTAGGGGGAGGTGCCACATACTTAAATGACCAGATCTCATGTGAACTCAGAGCTCACTTACCACCAAGGGGATGGCCCAAACCATTCATAAGGGATCCACCTCCATGATCCAGACACCTCCCACCAGGCCCCACCTCCAACACTGGAAATTACATTTCAAAATAAGATTTGGGCAGGGACAAATATCCAAACTATATCAGAGGTAGAATCTTTTCAGGTGGAGGGAGCCACTATAGGTAAGGTAATAAGAATAGTGTGTCCTATAATGTGGAAGAAACAGCAGAAAGACAGCATGGCTGGAACATGGTGAGTGAATTGGTTAGAGCACAGATATACTTTGAAGTAGAAAACAAAGGGAAGAGGAAAGGATAACTCTGTGCCTTGTGTCTTGGGCAACTGGCAGGATGGATTTGTATCCCTTTCAGATGGAGTGGGAAGAGATCGATTCAGTTTTAGGCATGCAGAATTTGAGATGTCTATTTGATATCTCTAATTGAAAATATCAAGAAGGTATATAGATATATAATCTGGAGTAATAAATTAAGAGTCATCAAATAAATGTGCACTGTCTAATACAATAGCCACTGGCCACATGCATTATCACATTTAAGGTGACTCAGTAGCCTGTGTGACCAGTGGTAGCTGTATAGGATAGTAAATATTTCTAATACAGTAGATATATTCTATTGCTATTGGATAGTGAGTATATAGAAGATTTCCATCACAGTGGAAAGCCCTCATGGATAATGCCGATCTAGGCGGTATTTAAAGTAATTAGACTTGATGAAATCATTAATGAAGGGAAAGGCAGGGAAGATAAAAGACTGAACTTTGGAGCAATGCAATATTAAGGGATTAGAAAAAAGGGAAGGGTAAAACAATGATATGAAAAGGAAGTGGACAGTGAAGTACAAGATAAACCAAGAATAACTGATGAAACTGTATCATTTCATCCTCATGACAAAATTAAGAGGCTTACATTATTTTCAACATTATTTAGGGGAGAGAACTAAGGCTCAGAGAGTGAAGGCACGTGTCTTTTATGACACAGTATCAGAACAGTTAGGAGTTGAGACAAGAATGTGAGACCATCCTCCTTTGGGTGGAATCTAGCTGGCTGTGTATGTGATGATGGTGACTACTCTTTGGCCATGACCAGAAGTGTGTCCTCACCAAAGATGCCTATTCTAGTGAATTCAGGGAGTGGTTTTGGGTTTCAAGGATCCCTCTGACCTTGGAGGACAGAATATACTAACAACAGCTTCTGCCTCAATTATAACTGAAGTTCAGTTCTGCTCTAATATGCTGTACTTACTGGAAGACAGAGTTTTCTTTTGAGTGGCTCATCTTGCCTAAGTTTGCCATGCAAGAGGCAGGGGGCTCCATTTTATTGAATCACTAAGTCCTAAGACTGCTACTTAAAGAGTTTTCTGGGTTGCCTGACTTGATATTTCTTATTGCGAAAACTTTAACATCATTTATGTCTTAGTTTGAGTTTTCTTGAAGGCATAGCCTAAAATAAGGATTTGGTTGAAGGTAGTTTATTTGAGAGACGATCCTGGGAGGCAGAAGTAAGGGAGTGGGGAGAATGAGGCAAGAGAGAAAGAACAACTAAAAATGGTTAGTTACCCCCATGAGCAAATAGGGCTTAAATTTTCTGGTGACCTTCTGAATGCACTGACTTCCATCACCTTTGGTTGAGAGTTGCCCTTGGGGAAATTTACTTTGCACAATTCTGGTCTACACTTGTGCACAGCTTAAGCTGTGTTCCCAGCGTCTTTCTGAACCAGACTAACTAGAGATGCTGCAGCTTGTATTTATGGTGGGACACAGGCACTGTGCATAGAACTGTCTACTAAAGCCATGTTGAAATCAGGTGGGCTGGGGGGCCATGGCATGGAGCACCTGTAAGTGTAAGACAATTGGGAAGCAGCATAATATGGCTGTTGGGACTGAGTAATGAGTATGAAATTACACTATCCTCTCTTAAAATGATATTACTTGTATGTAAATATATTAGATGACACTATAATTTATTCATCTCTAAAGACAAAACAATTACAAGTAAAATGTAAAAAGAAACCCTCTCTTTCAAATTTGATACATCACTTTGGAATAAGAGAAATTAGGTTACAGCCTTGACTTGCTGCTGATTTGTTTGAATTTAGGGAAGCCAATTAACATTTCTGCACAGCAAAATTATGATCTGTACAATGAAGACAAACATATTTACCTCATGGGATTATTGCAAGAATTATAGAGCACACACACCACAAGTGCACATATACACACATATCAGGCATGGAGTGAGTACCTAATACTTATTAGTTTCTTTTTCTTTTAAAACAAATCTAGTTATTTAACACCTTTCCAGCCTTAACTCATTTCTTCCTTTTTGAATGGAAAATAGAAACATACTGATTGTTATCAACAATGAAAATAATAGAGTAAAAGTGATGTTAATGTTCCATTAGATTAAGTAAAGATTATTGGACTCTCATGAAATATTTTGTCATTAAGTTATGGGAAAATAAGGTATATGAGAAAAAATCAGCTTATCTAGATTTCCTACTGAAAATCTATATACTACAGTCTAATTTTCCTATTTATGAGATTTGAAAAGATGTCAGGTAAAAACCAAACTACTATTTCTACTTCTACTTACTGTCACGAGTGTATTGTTCATAATAATGTTTAATTTTCTATTAAGTCTCTTTTATCTGCCTTTCTTTATAGTGCACTCATTCCCCATTGTTATTTGCTTACAGCCTTATTATCTATAAATGAAGGGAGAGAAGAAATGCCAACAAGTCTAAATATTGAAAAGTCAGGATATTTACACACAGACGGTTTCACTTTTTAGAATGCATTAGCCGTTACAAGTCTGGTATGTCTTTCAACTTTCAGGTATCAAATTGATGCTGTGCCATTTTCTTTTCCGGAGGCAATTTTTGAGATCATAAATGTGTGCAAGGGACATGAAAACGGGGCCTGAATAATTCAGGATTGAGAGTATTTTCAGCTCATGCCTGTTGTGAAAAAACCAAAGATGCTGGTTTTCACTGGCTATTTGTTTTTGTAACACTTCAAGTAATAAAAGCATCAACATAAATTCTGCATTGGTTTTGTTCCCTCAGTGAAGTTTTGCTATAGAGACTGATGCATCTCTTTGCACAACTGTGTAAATAGTATGCTGCCATTTGGCACAATGAAAGGTTGGTCCTGGTGAAGAATGGAATAAGCACAGGGATTAGAATAAGTGTGGATTGGGAGAGAAAGAGCTCCCCAATCAGGGACTTTTCTGTAATAGATATTGCTCCTGTTGTCTACCCCGCGTATATTTATTTGGGTACCTGCTTTTTCTTTGTCTCATTAGTTCTGGTCAAGCTGGCAGGTACAGTATTCTGACTTTGGTCAATAGAGTAGGCTCTAATGGTCTGATAATTATAAAATTAGAGAGAAAAATAAAATTTTTATATACAAAGATTTTTTTATAATCTATACAAAAATGCTTAACATGGATGAAAAAATCACAAGCAAAAATAAAATACTTGACAAATTTGAAGATACTTCCAAGATACATTACATATAGAGGTCTGATATCACAAATACATAATAAACTCTTAAAATTGGAAGGAAAATAATTTTTATAAAATGGAAGATATGAACAGATAATTCACAAAAGAAATAGCCCTAAAACATAAAAGGCATTCAATTTCAGACATAATTACAAATCTAAAAATTAAAATTGTACTGAGAAACCATTTATGACTTTTCCCAGTTGATGAAAATTAAAAAGTCTAACCACATCCTATTGGCTAGGCTATAAAGAAATCTGCACTCTCATATATTGATGGTGGTAATACAAATGAATACAGCCCTATTGGATGGGAATTTGACAATATCTAATACAAATACATGTTAATTTACCTTTTGACCCAATAATCCTTGTAAGACTTTACTCTGAAAATACACCTCCGATAATACAAAGATAGAAGGAAAAAGAAACTAAAAGATACTGTGTTTCTGTCTGCTTTCCATGTTTTGTTTCTTGTATCCATGTTAATTTTAATATATTTTTGATTATTTACAACATGGAAATGCTTTTAAAAGTCAGAACTAAACCAAATATGATATGATACAGGCCCTTTAATACAAAAGGGAGATGGAGGTAAAGAGTAAAGAAAGAGACAACTGGAATAGGGTACAAAGGTGGGGGCAATACTTCCCTGAGTATACTTTTGGTTTAGTTCTGACTTTTGAAAGCATCTCCATGTTGTATATAATCAAAAATATGTTAAAATTAACTTGGATGCAAGATACCCAACATGGAAAACAAACAGAAGCAAATAAACCTAAATGCATTACAAGTCAGTAACATAACCACAGTGAAGGGGAGGGGGAGAAAGAAAATAATTAACCTAAGAAACTTTGAAAAACAGTGTTTTTTCCCATATACTCTAAGGCTAAAGAAAAAAATAACTGTTCACAAATATTGAACTCTAGTTAGTAGGTTTGTTTTTAACTGATGTATACGTTACCAATTCTAAAACTTATGTATATTCTAGAATTAAGCAAATAAGTAATATATGGTGCATAATGAGAGCAAGTTTTCTCATTGTCTGAGAAAAGAGTTACAGTTAAAGAGAGGGGAAGACTGCTGCCAGTGCTCATCAGCCAAATATCACCCAGAGCATACCTAAAATTGACAAGTAGAGCTTGTTACTCGTTTGCAGAGAGGAGGCACACCATAGCGAACCACAGTATCTTAGTAGAGAATGTTAGAAAGGACCAGTCATGGGATTTGGACTTTTGTTGGGTGGGCAGTGAGTTTAGTGAAGGTCTAAAGAATTGGGGATTCACTCTAGGTAGGATGCTGTTAGAAAACAAGGCGATTCTGTCATTGGGTGTCTCAGTAATTGTATTTATATGGAAGGCAGATGAGAGTGAGAATAAATCTGTAGTTGGAAAAGAAGTAGCAGCCACTTGTTTTAGTCAGGAGAGAAAGGGAAATTTAGTATTTAGTGGGTAGCACAATGACCTTATTTTTTTCTTTTTTTACAAAAAATTATGAAGTGGTCTTGTTTTTTCTCACATTATCAAGGTTGCCGAGTAACCTTTCCTCATGTTTGCTTTCTGTGAGATTGTTTATGTTTAACAGAATAACATATCCAAGATGTGAATGCCAGACCGCCTTCAGGATGTAATGGACTGCTTTTTGACTTTCTGTGGCACTGGATTAGAATCAGTAAAATCAATAAGAACAGGTGGCTCATGCATACTAATGAGTATTTCTTAGCCCTGTCTACCGAGAAGCCTAGAAGCAATGCCACCTGACCATGGATGAGCATACCTCTCAATTACATCTTGCTTCCTAAATATTATTCTCTAACAAAAGAAACAAGAGCTCCTTGGAAAAATGGCCAGTTCTGTGGCTGCAGTAGAGAAATTGCAGGATAAAACCAGAACATTCTGTAGTACTGTTGCAGGACAGGTGAACCCCAGAATTGGAGCTTAGCCCAGGAGGGTTCTTGGCTTCACCCAGGAAAGAATTTGAGAGTGAGCCAGTGGTGTTAGACAGCAATCTTTTATTGGCTGGTGCTGATCCTTGTGGAGCAGGGCTAACTTATGGACAGTGCACCCAGAGTGAACAATGTATGGGCTCTAGGCAACTGTTTATATTCACTTAAACCCACTTCCAATTACATGCAAATTAAGGGGCACATCAGTACAAATTGAGGAGCAGGTCTCACTAGACTAAAGTCAAGGTAACAGTTGTTCTGTGTTTCTTTCTGGAGACACTCAGGGATAATTTATTTTCTTTTTCTTTCTAGATTCCAGAGGCCACTCACACTCCTTAGCTCATGGTTCCCTTTATTTATCTGAAAAGCCAGCAATGTTGCATCATTATAGAGTCATGTGTTAGTCAGGATTCTCCAGAGAAACAGAACCCATAGGATATATTCTCTGTTTTTAAAATTCAAGTTAGATTTTTGTTTACTTGACCTGAAACTTTTCTGCTTATTCAGATCAAGTAAGAATTTAGTAGGCTTCCTATCTATTTCATATCTAGGAATAACATGATTAACTAGTGAATACCACAGGTCTGCATAAGTCAGACTATTCTAATTGTTGCTTTGACCCTGTGATCCATTACAGTAACTAACTACGGCCACCTTGTCTCTGGTGGTTGATTGCTGCCACCTGGCCCTTACCAACTAGGATCCATTTTTTCATATTGCATTTAAGTTTTATAGATTACAGTTCCCATGGTACACTCTGAGCAATCATGAAGCTCCTCAAAGACTCTAGGGCTCCTTTCACAAATCTATTTCTTAAAGTAGTGGTAAAAGATACATCTCCTGGACTCTCCTAATATAGGAAAGTAGGCCATAAATGACAAATTCTCTCCAGCATTCCAGTCTCCCTGAGTCTTTAAATCTTTTCTTCTACCTTAAGCCAAGGGACACGGGACATTTCCAACTAACTCACAGTAGGCCATTGTTGAGTCATTTTTCAACTGACAAAACAAACTATTAGAGCCTTTTCTAACACCCCAGGCTGCAACATTAAATGCAGAATCTGTGCTTAGTGGGCCTATATTAATTTCACCTGATCCATCTTTATGTTCCTTCCATTATTATTCCACACCCTTAATACCCATTCCCACACATGTTCTCTGGATTTCTGCTTGTATAAATTAGAAAACTTAAGTAGCTCTTTGAAAGTGCGACAGACATACCTCCTCATGAATCACACTTTGTATTTTACTTTTGGGGCCCTTCTGGGACTTGACTCTAGTTATTTGTCTAGAAGCAAAGAAGGGTGGTGGGGTGGGTCTTGAGGATAATCAGCATTGCCTTACTTAGCATCTGTCTCAAAGGAGGTCATTGCCATTTCCTTAGGCAATGAAGGGCTAATCCCCTTAGACAGAGGTAGAAAGGCCAATACCACTGTGGGTGGGAAGACTGCTACACCTGGGGGTAGGGAGGCCACATCTGCGGGCAAAACAAAAAACAAAAACAAATAACTCATCAGGATTTAGGAGCTCCACGTACCCACATGTCCTCATCCCAACTTACAGGATCCCCGTATTTCCCAAGCCATGCCCTTACTTTAACGGTAGACACCTTGCAAAGCTGGGAGTTCAATTTTCATTGCAATTCAGCCAATTCCGTGAAGGAATCTTGTGTTTTATTTTCAGCAATTTCAGCCCTGTGGCTACAGGAGATACGATTCTTTGTCAGGACATATATAGAAGCTTTTAGGTCATTTATGTGGTGCTTGAGCTGTGAATTAGAATCCCTGAGATCATCCTTTTCTTTCGTCACTCCATCCAATGACATTAGGAGCAACCAACCAATGTCATTATATTGCTTAGTTTTCCACAAATGTTCAAAAGTAATAACAGGATCACTAAGTTCTTTGTCTCTTGTAAGTGGTTGATTAGGAGTATCCTAATCAAAGTAGAAATACACAAAATATCTGTGTATCTGTATAAATATTTCATGCTATGAACTATTAGTGCTTTTTGTACTATTAAAATAGAGTCCTAGGATTTTAAAATCTAATCAGATTAGACAGCCAAGTACAGAAATCCTAAAACCAATTCAAAAAACACAACCTTAAAATTCTGTTCACCTAGAACCACTCCTGGTGTCAAAATCTGTTTCAGTCAGGGCTGTCCAGTGAAATAGAATCAATAGGATAGATTGATAGGTAGATGAATAGATAACAGGAAATTTATTATAGAAATTGGCTCATGTAATTATGGAGGCTGAGAAGTCTCATGATATGCTGTCTGTAAGCTGGAGAATTGGGAAAGCCTGTCACATAGCTCAGTCCAGGTCTGAAGGCTTTGAGATGCAACAAGGACCACTGTTTGGGGCCTGCTGATCTCCTTGACCACCTCCCTCAACCCCAAGCATAGAAATAAAGAAAACATTTTAAATTCATCCAAAGGAAATTCCAGGCACTTAGCCCTGCAACCAGCAATTAGAGAAGTAAATAAACAACACATTAGCAAGAAGATTGTAGCTTAAATAGTCACCCAAGGAAGCCAGAATCACATTATTTGGTTTTGCATAGAAATTGAGGATAACATCTTGATGTATGTCCCTGAAGTTTTTTTTTTTTTTTTTCAGAAACTAGCTGGAAAATTCTGACCAGCCATTGTCATATAGACCTCAGACAGACTGGAACCAGAAAGTACATAAAAAAAGTTCCAGAAATTCTCCAGCCCTTAACTCACTTCTGAGAACGGCCCCAACCTCTGCCTTTAAAAAGTGTTGCTTGTAAGTCATCACAGTTGAGATCTTAAGCATTAGCTCTCCATTCTCCTTGCTTGGCGCCCTAGAATAAATGTCTTATTTTCTTTCACTTACAAATCCTGGTATCAGGATTTGGCTTTGTTGCACTAGGTGAGTGGACCCAAGTTTGTTCCAACAATAGCCTGAGATCCAGGGAGACTTCTGGTGCTAGATCCATAATCAGAAAGCCAGAGAACCTGTAGTTTTGCTGTCCAAAGGCAGGAAAACATTGGCATCCCATTTCTAGAAGAGAAAGTTAATTTGCCCTTCTTTTCTGCCTTTTTATTCTATTTGGGCCTTCAACTGACTGGATAGTTGCCTCCAATTTCATCTACCTGAATAATCCACGAAAATTTTTCCATCCCAAGGTTCGTAGCATTAATCACATCTACAAAGTCTCTTTTGCCCTGTAAGACAACATATTACAGATTTCAGAGACTGGGAATTGGACATCTTTAGGAGGCCATTATTTTGCTGCCACATATATGATGAACAGTAAAACAACAACTAAAGTAACACAAAAGTTTTAGCTAATATGCCAACAAGGGATATAAAATGGAATCATAAAAGTAAAGCAGAAAATAAAGAAAAAGCAAACAACACAAAGATGGAATAAAAAGTAAAAGAAATCCCAAGATGTAAAAAAAAAATGAATGAAATATAACTGATTAAACACCCCTATTAAAAGGCACATGTTGTTACATTGCATTTAAAACAGGAAAACCTAACTCTAAAACTTGCTTTTTGATGCTGTCAATAACAGTGATAAATTTCTAGCCAGAATGATAAGGATAAAAGAAGAAAATATAAAAATTATCAATATTACAAATAAGTAAAGTGATACCGTTACAGATTCTACAGTCTTAAATGTATTTAACAAGAGAATATTTAAAAAACTTTATACTGACAAATTTTACAATTTAGATGAACAATTATCTTGACAGACACATATTATTAATTATCCCTGAAAAAGAAATAGAATATACAAATTGTTCTTTATTTATTACAGAAATGAATTTGTAATAATCACCTTGTTTGTTTCAGGGTATGAAATTCATTCTGACACTGGTGTTTGTATTACATAAAGCAAATGTGTTAGGTTTAGATGATATTTCTTTTCTGACACTATTAATTCTGTATTATGAGCTACAACAAATAAGCAATAGTAATTTTGGATACAGATATAAGATTGAGGAGGTTAAACATATCTCTTTAGTCCTAAATTTGAATTGAAATCTTTATTTTTATTTTTATTTTTTTGAGATAGTGTCTCACTCTGTCACCAAGGCGGGAGTGCAGAGGTATGATCAAGGCTCACTGTAGCCTTCAAATCCTTGGCTGGAGTGATCCTGTTGACTCAACCTCCTGAGTAGCTGGGACTAGAAGCTGTATGCCACCCCATGCCAGACAACAGTTTTCTTTTCTTTTTTTTTTTTTTTTAGAGACAGTGTCTTACTATGTTGCCCAGGCTAGTCTTGAACTCCTTGGCTCAAGGGATCTGCCCACCTCAGCCTCCCATAGTGCTGCGATTATAAACATGACCTACCATGCCCAGTCCAACTGAAAACTTTTGTAAGAACATTCAGTGTGTTTTCTTCTTATATATGTGTTTTCTAGCTCTTTCCACTGATACGGCACAGAAAGGAAGATTAATGAGAATGAGAAGGCAATAAGAATCCCCAGTGGTCAAATTATGCTCTTTGAATAATATTTCCCTCCAAATGATAGCAGAACTTCTTGCATAAATGACTGATGTGAGGTCTAGAACAGAAACTTTTATAAGATAGACCTGCACCTACTGTGTACTTCTTAGAAAAGGAACTTGTACCAATGTCATGTTAGCAAGACTCAAGATTCAATCTCATTTAATCTCCCATTTTCCAAATGTGGAGCATTTTCAATGGAAACACTAACTTTGATGGATTGAAACACATCAAATATGTTTAACATTGCAAGTTCATAATGATACCCAAAAGAAAGAAAATGCATTTTGAGTAGTACAGAGAATCACTCCATTAGTTTGAAAAGTGTGCAGATAGGAGAGGAATAAAAAATGTATTCTGCCATTCTGTATAATAATATACAAGGAGGAGTTTCTCTTTATAAGTGTATTTATAAATGTAATAAATGAAGAAGGAATGGCAAATCATCACAATTTGAAACTCTTAATGAAGTAATGAATCTAAGCAGTGATTAATGGATGATAACATCAGTGAAAAAGTGCCAACCAGACATCATGTGCCTCCTATTAGAAGTATACACCACACTCTAGGAGGTAGTGTAGTACTGAGCTTGGGCTACCATAACACAATACCATATACTGAGTGGCTTGAAACAACAGCAATTTATTTTTTCACAGTTCTAGAGATTAAAAATTCAAAATCAAGGTTCTGGCTGATTCAGTTTCTGGTGAGGGCTCTGTTCCTGACTTGCAGACAGCTGCCTTCTTGCTCCATCCTTACATGGCCTTTTCTCTATGGCGTATGGAAACAGAGAGAGAGAGACGGAGAGAGTGCATGCAAACTCTCTAGTGTGTCTTTTTATATAGACACTATTCCTATTGGCCCATGGCCCCATCTGACAGTATGATTAACCTTAATTACTTCCTTGGAGGTCCCATCTCCACATATACTCACTCTGGGGATTAGAGCTTCAGCATATGAATTTTGAGGGAACAAAGCTTTCACTTCCATAACACATATTCATATACAAATTACTGAATTTAAGTTGATCAAGTCTCTAGATCAGCTATCAATTTACAGAAAACAGGACAGAGGAATATGTCAAATGATATCAAGGGACTATTCAGCAAAATTGTGCAAAACTCTACGGGAATAATAAAACTTCAACAAAACATTGCAAAGTGGCAAAAAGAAGAGAATAAATGTAGAGATCAACCAATTACAAAGATGCACTTTATTCAGATACCACTTCTTTTCATATTGTGTTGTATCAAAGTCCTTTCAGGAATACTTGAATAAATACTACAGGTCCCAAAGTATAGGTGGTGTTTTATCCTACTTTGTCATCTCTTCTCGTTTATCAACTCAATTGATGATGTGTCATCTTCTTATATCTTTTAGAGCCTTAGTATTACATTTTATTTCAGCATTTAAAAATATCCTCTGTCTAAGCAGAGGATACTTAGGAATAAAATACTATCGTTTCTTACCATTTTAGCCTTATCACTTGCCTCTGATTCACAGTCTGATTTTTACCCCTGGTTTGTTTATAGCTCTGTTTTTCAAGCAGATAATTGCTATGACCTGGTCTTCCTGCTTGCAGTGTCAAACCTACTCCCGTCCATAAATTACTCAAATAAATTATTATTCATCTGCAAAATAAGCTCTTGACAGTTCTCCATGGCCCAATTAATAAAACGATTACTCCTTTCAATGGTATGCAGAGATCTGCCCAATCTGGCCCCAACCATCTTTCCATTCTTATCTCTTGCCACTTTGATCACTGTATTTGCATCATATTACTATTTCCAGAACTTTCTATACTCTTTGCCTTTGTGTATGCTGTTGCCCATGCTGTAATACTCTCTTTCTTTTTAAACCTGGAGCATGCTTACTTGTCGTTTATAATCCAACTCCAAAAGCATCTCGGATATTTTTCTCTGTGCTCCCAACTCCCAAGGTACACAGCTTTCGTCACTCTTTTCTTTCTAACATTTCACACATTTTGTTATTATCAAACTCACCAAATTGTATTGTGATTATGTGTCACATTGTCTTTAGTATACAGCTAACATAATTATTAATATTCAATAAATGTTAATGTTAAATTGAATGAATGCATGGAAGGTAAGTGGGCTGTTTTTGGTGGAGGAAAATATGTTCTGCTACTCCTCAAATGTGCATCATTAAAAAAATCTACTGGATTATGAATAAGGATGACTGTTATCTTCAAGCATGTATGCATAACTTCTATGTTATAAATAAATTTACTTTAAATCTGAGTTTGTTCCTGTATAAATGTGAGTTTATTCCTGTATAAACTCAGATATTCATTTTTCCAGGGGTGTCTTGGGTTAAAAAATTTCTAGATGATAAAAGCCATGTTATTTTCATTTAGTCTATAGTAGTGATATGAAATGGCTATAGAAAAACTTTATTTTAATATTAACTTATTTTATGGTTCTAATTAAACAAGCTAGTTTTTGTTATATAAAATTTTATAGTAGACAAGGTTTTAAATTATATATATATATAAAATATAAAGTTTCACTTTAAACATCAGGTATGCTTTTGAATATAACTTACTGTTAAACTAATTGGATAATGTCAATAACAATCCATCAGACTCTAACTATTGAAAGTCTTTTTTCCTTATATAGAAACTATATTTCTATATCATAAGCAGATGACACTTTTCCAGTCTGAAGTTATAAGCTAGCACACTCCAGACATTTCTCAATTGAGAAACTGATATATAATCACATTCCTACAACTTCCAGTGCTATAAGCTTGACAGATTTGAGTGGACTGTTTTGCTTTTTGAGAAATGATTATATTGTTGTCTCTAAGAGACAGAGCTCCTTACTCTGAACTGGTTTTTGAAGGTTTTACACCTAAATAACAACTGCATCTGTAAAGTGTGTAGGGAGGAAAGCCAGATTTATCTCACATCTTGTGTACTCTTTAGGCACTTGGGAGGGCAGATAATGCATTTTCCCATGCCTTTTTGTTTACAAAAATGTCACCATTATGATTTTTATATAGGACTGTTTACAACCATTTTTTTGTGTGTGTGTATTGTTGAATGTGTTCAAGACAACACAGATGCTCACATGTTGCTATACAAATGCAGTGTTTACCAGTTAGAATGGCTGTTATTAAAAAGTCAAAAAATAACAGATGCTAGTGAGGTTGTGGAGAAAACAAAATGCTTATACATTGTTGATGGGAGTGTAAATTAGTTCAATCATTGTGGAAGACAGTGTAATGATTCCTCAAAGATCTAAAGGCAGAAATATCATTTGACCCAGCAATTCCATTACTGGGTATATATCCAATGGAATATAAATTGTTCTGTTAAAAAGACACATGCACATATATGTTCATTGGAGCACTATTCACAATATCAAAGACATGGAATCAACCAAAATGCCCATCAATAATAGATTGGATAGAGAAATGTGGTACATATACGAACTGGAATACTATGCAGCCATGAAAAATAACAAGATCATGTTGTTTGCAGGGACATGAATGGAGCTGGAGGCCATTATCCTTAGCAAACTAACACAGGAACAGAAAACAAAATACATATGCCCTCACTTATAAGTGGGAGATAAATGAACGGAATACCTGGACACTTAGAGGGAAACAATGCACACAGTGGCATATTGGAGGATGGAGGATGGGAGGAGGGAGAGGATCAGGAAAACTAACTAATGGGTACTAGGCTTAATACCTTGGTGATAAAATAATTTGTACAACAAACCCCCATGACACAAGTTTACTTATATAACAAATCTGCATATGTACTCCTGAACTTAAAATAGGTTAAAAAAATAAAATACAATATTTTAGTACAGAAATATAGTATTTAGTTCTATCTTACAATCCTTGAAGTCAGCATCTGGATTTGCATTCTTCTTTTTGCAATTGAACTTGTGATAAAGAAGACTTGGAGGAAGCTAGAGAGGCATGATAGACCCCTGTGCAGAATGAAGAAATGGAAAACCTGCAATGGTTTAAGTTGATGATCACAGCACTTAATTCTTTTGACTCTAAGCCAGACTCAGCTATAAATTTTCTTATGCTTGAAAGTAGGAAAACATTTCATATGCTTTTTTTTCTATCTCAAATATAGTTTTATCTTGACATGGGTTGAAAAACAAAGTAAGCTTAAAGAAAACAAATCTGCTATCTTCTTTGTCAAAGCCTCCTTTACATCATTTCTCTAGGAGTATGATACCTATTTCTTTTCCATGATGAAAAATGAAACACCCAGTCAGTTATAATCTATGACACATAGTAGTTAAGTGATATCCTGCAAAGGAAATTTAATGTGCTTCCAAGTTTCTTCACATTTTGAAGACTGCGTTTAAGAAAGGAGCCTTTAGTGTATTCTCACAGATAAGATGAAAAATGACTCCAGGTCTTTTAAAAGCCTTAGTGATCCAAGAAGATTTCTTAACCTGTCCTGCTAGTATCAGTGTTTCAACAAAGCACCAATGCTTGGGAGCTTCACTGACCCAGGGAAAAAGGAGACTAGATCTGCAGCTTACATTTCCATTTTATTAAAAATTTTCCAGCTTCATGTTAATGGGTGCAGCACACCAACATGGCACGTGTATACGTATGTAACAAACCTGCACGTTGTGCACATGTACCCTAGAACTTAAAGTATAGTAAAAAGTTTTCTATTCTTCCAGAGTCTGAGTCTTCTTGTGCTGAGTGATGTTAGCAGACTGAGGCTCTCTAGAAAGATTTCACGGAGGAAGAGGGCAGTGTTGTATTTCTTCACTGTAACCAGTGTTTGAAAGGATGACATTTCCTTCTGAATCCTTGGTATGCATATCTACTTATTTAGTGAGGAGAAAATACCACCACTTCATGCCTGCTGCAGAAATCAATGTCATATGGAAAATCTTTTATTTTAGAGTGGAGAAAGGAGGACTACATGCTGTCTTAGTGTGTTTTCTGTTGCTTATAACAGAATTGTTGAAACTGGGTAATTTATAAAGAAAATGAATTTATTTTTTGTAGTTATGAAGGCTGGTAAGTCCAAGAATGAGGGACCACATCTGGTGAGGGTCTTCTTGCTGGTGGGGTCTCTCTGCAGAGTCCAGAGGCCATGCAGGGAATCACATGGTGAAGAGGCTGAGTGTGCTAGCCCAGGTCTGTCTTCCTCTTATAAAGCCACCAGTCCCACCCTCATAATAATGGATTAATCTATTAACACACTAGTCAATTAATCCAGGAATGGATTAAACCACTTACGAGGGCAGAGTCCTTACAACACAATCACCACTTAAAGGAGCCACCCCTCAATTCTGCTACATTGGAGAGTACATTTCAACATGAGTTGTGGTGGGGACAACCATTCAAATCCTAGCACACGTATATGTCTCTGGGACAGGGAATGTTTTGGCTCTATTTCATACTAAAGTATAAATGACTAATAAGTAATCTTTTCCCAAGAGAAATTATCTTTTCTTTTCTTTTTCTTTTTCTTCCTTTTTTTTTTTTTTTTTTTTTTTTTAAGAGATGTGATCTCATTATGCTGGTCTTGAGCTCCTGGGCTCAAGTGATCCTCCCACTTCAGCCTCCCAAGTAGCTGAGTAGCTGGGATTATAAGTGCACATTACCATGCCAGGCTCTCAAGTTTAGTTTTTGTCGAAAGAAGAGAAAGAGAACAAAAGGACACTAAGTGGAGGGAGAAAAGAGTGTCATACAATTGGAAGAAATAAGAAAGAAATGGGTGGCTGGAGTACTCACAAGTCAGCTTTGATGATAGCTTTACATATGTGTAGCCTGGTCTTTCCACACTGCTCACATTTAAAGCAGGTCCTATTGATTTTATGATTATAACTATGGCTGTTTTGGTATTAGCCTCTTAGATGGCTTGAAGTAGTTGCTAAAATAATGGTAGATTGGGCTTACTGTAGCAGCTCTTTTTTTTTTTTTTTTTGCATCTAGAACTAGGTCATATCTTTTTATAATCATTCCTGAGGGTATCCTTCTAAGTACTTCTCTTCTTTCTGCTTGAATTTACCCCTCATAGGACAATAGCATATACAATGCCTATAAAATTCATATTTCTGCTGATGTGGCAATTGACTAATTATGCTTAAATATGGGGATCATGATTCTTCTAGTCCTCTGAAAGCTGCTTTGACAGAAATTAAAAAAAAAATCCAGGAGATGCTTTGACAGAAATTTAACAAAAGTCCAGGAATCAATTAATGCCTATGAAAAACAAATAAAAACACATTTCTTAATTGTAACATAAAATACAATAGGCTTATTCCTATTAGTGATAGTCTTTATTCAGAAACATTGTCATTTAAATGTGATAATTTACCTTAAACTACTTCTAATTCTTTTCTCATTAGAGATTTTTCACAATTAAGAAGTAAATATACTTTTTTCTTTTTTTAGGAGACTAAAATCCATGGAACTGGCAGCTTATATTATAATTTCTTATCAGCTTCCTTTGAGGCCTTTGATCATTGACTTCTTTTTTTTCTCATTTCCTTAACAGAGGAAAGTCTACTGAGCAAATTTTGCTGAATTTGTAAACATCTTAAAGTGCACAAGGTTCCATTCATTGACCAGCTTTTCTCATTTTCCCTGGTCTCTTTAGCCTGCTGCTTAAGATGCTCAAAATGGAATGAAAATTTCATTTCATATTATTTTTTGAGTGTTTGCTATTTCCAAGGAACTATGCTAAAATGTCCAAAAATAGAATATGTCCAAAAATAGAATATTCTTATTTTCAGAAAGCTGAAAGCTGGGAAAAGGGGAGGGTTGGTTAAAATATAAATACTCGGGTGTATAAGCTACACATGGCACACGAAAACAAGCAGATATTTACTGAACATCTACCATGCACTCCACCTTGTGCTAGGTTCTGCGGGTGATGAAGAAGTGAGTATAGTTCATGACCTAACTGGGAAGATGAAGCATACACATGCACACAGGCTGGTATGAACCCAAATAAGTGAGGAGATTTTGACAAGAGGACATGAAGAGTGCTGGATTTCTAGTCAGTGTTTAATACATGTTTAGAGATTGTTTAAAGAAGACTGGGGTAAAAAGGAAGTATAGAATAGCCTTAGCTGGTGCTTTAGGAATGATAGTCTGATATAAGGCAGACTGGGAAGGAAGGAGGAGACACTCTCGGCAGGAAGATGACAGGAGCAAAGGGAATAAATGAGGTATGTACTGGCATGACTGGGGATGAGAGAGGTTGAGGGGGTCATGGGTTGAGCATGAGAAGGAGACTTAGAAGGGCATAAAAAGGAGACTTACGTATCTCATCTAAGGTTGTTCTGCTCAAAATAAATGAAGATGGTGTTTGAACCTAGGAATTCTGATCCTGAGTCCCCTGGGTGGGAGGTAAAATCGCACACACACCTAGATGTGGCAGCCTTAAATTTGAGTACAGTAATGTGACTTTAATTTTGTAGATACATGGGAATTAGGTGAATATTATTTTCTTGTCTTTCTGCTATAAGGACAAATATAAAACAGCTGTTTTAATATTGAAACAAAGAGCTCTGAATGGAGAAGAAAAATTCAAGCAAACATTCAGATTTCTGAAATTATTATCTTGTGCCGTAAGTATTGCGAAGTAATTTTTTAACTTTTGAAATTTGAATAATATATAAAATAAGTAACATACCATTCTGTGCTATTACTGAGTTTCTGCTGAGGACTATTTTAGGTTTCTAAAAGGGATCGTTGTAATTGAGACATAACTTGTTTGGGATTCCTATTATATAGAAAACGTTTCTCTAGGATTTTAAATAAACCCAGTATGTATTTGTAAGAAGAACAAAAAGAGGTAGAAAACAGAATCCTACCTCTGAAATTAATAAGGGAAAATTGAAGGGAAATACAGTATGCCTAGAAGTGTACTATCAACCATGGAGGCATTATCAGGTCTTGACATGGTTAGCTTATCTTCGTAGGCTGTTTGGATTGACATACTGCATAACATCAGAACATAAATTAATGGGTCTTCTTGGAAAAAGAACTCAAATGGAAATTAGGGATGGTGTCACTTGGGGTTATATATTTTTAAAAATAACTGTAATTTTCACTGCTCCAATGAAAAATATTGAAAACCATTGGCAATATTTTTTTGTTTCACTCTGCTGTAGTTTATTAACACGAGTTTTAATTAACTCTGTTGACAGTATTATTTTTCTCTTGCAGCAGCTGACTAAAAATCTAGGGCAAATTCTAGTAATAATTGTGCTGAATCTCTTCAGGGAAAAAGTGAGAGTTATAATACTTATTAAACTTTCCAGTGGTTTGCATTAGCAGAAATTTTTGCTAAGACTGGGTATTTTCACTTTTGAAAGCTAGCAAACCTGAGTCCTGAGTTGTCTGAATTGGAAGAAAAGTTTCACTTTTCATAGAGAGAACTTCTTAAAAAGAGAAATTGTTTTAAAGAGGATGCAAATTATTGGATATTTGTGTGTCTAAGCTTATTTAGTAGCTAAGTGTTGGATGATACGGCATGTCTTCTGTTTTCACAAACACTGAAATTGTGCCTCAGCACTGCAATGAAGACATGACAACTTATGCTTTTCCACATTTTTATAAGCTCTGGAAAAAATCTAGGCCATACCCATATTAAATAAAAAATGTTTAAAAATTATTTCCAGATCCACATAAACCTATTTAAGCCATTCGGATTCTCTTAAAAATATTGAAAATTGCATTTTTGACTCTATAGTACAGATGATACATAAATTTATTAGAATGTATAGATATTTTTTATTCTGACATAATCTTTAATGTTGCTAAATTCCTCTTTTTTCTTTCTTCCTCTTAAGTTTAAGCAAAATAAAATTCCCAGTTTGGATTTAAACTGAGCTTCAAATTGTGGTGAAAAAGAAAAGTCTATAATTTGATTCTGTTAGAACTGGAAATTTGCTCCTTATACATTTTCTGATCTTACATCACTTGAAATTACTTCTCCACATAGTCCTGGCTACCGATATGTGTAGAAACTATGTCTGTCATACTATTATAATCATATTTTTAAAGATTTACTCTTTTTCTTTTACTTTGAAACATGTTTTCTTTATTTTCATTCCAGTAAACTTATTGGGTACCTGATAGGTACTTAATAAAGTTCAAAAAGGAGCTCAAATTATTTCAAGCAAAAAGAAAATTTAACAAGATTTTTAAAGCTTCCCATGGGGAAAACGAATCTTGTAAGTGGGCACGTGTTGTTTTTGGCTTGTTAGCAACCAGGGATTTGAACATCTTTCCTATTATGGGCTAACCCTAACAATGGAGGTAAGCAGGACCCTCTCACAACAAAAGTGAAGGAAGCAAATAATTCTTTGACTTCCTAGGCTTATAGGCAAGTCCCATGGCCTTGGCTAATTGGATACTACAAATAAAAATTTTAATATAAGGGAATCATTCTAAGAACGGGAGCAGAGTTTATGCACAGACCTATCATGGTGTTTTCAGAGGTAACAGTGTCCACTGCTAAGTGGGTGAGTGTCCAGAGATGGCAGCGTCTATTCAGGCAATCTTGGCTATACTTTGGGTTTCTTTATTTCTCCCAATTTTTTACATCTTTCCAGTGTTTCTCGAGCTATGTATGATTCTTTCAATAAAATTACTTTCTGTCTAATTAGCTAGAGTAGACTTCAGGTATTTGCAAGCAAGAAGCATGTCTACTACTTTTCATCATCAGGGATTAATTTTTTTAAAGTGCAGGTGAACTTTAATAGTGACTTTTATTTGCACACTTCTTTAAAAATATTTTGAAGCACTTACACAATCTTATTTAATTTTATCCTAGGAATATTACTATGGAATAGTTGGAAACAGTTTCTATCACTAAATGATATAAGAAAAAGCTATGGCTTGGCTATGCAGGCTCTTTTTTGGTTCCATACGAACTTTAAAGTAGTTTTTTCCAATACTGTGAATACCATCTCATACCAGTTAGAATGGTGATCATTAAAAAGTCAGGACACAACAGGTGCTGGAGAGGATGTGGAGAAATAGGAACACTTTTACACTGTTGGTGGGACTGTAAACTAGTTCAACCATTGTGGATGTCAGTGTGGCCATTCCTCAGGGATCCAGAACTAGAAATACCATTTGACCCAGCCATCCCATAACTTGGTATATACCCAAAGGATTATAAATCATGCTGCTATAAAGACACATGCACATGTATATTTATTGTGGCATTATTCACAGTAGCAAAGACTTGGAACCAACCCAAATGTCCAATAATGATAGACTGGATTAAGAAAATGTGGCACATATACACCATGGAATACTATGCAGCCATAAAAAATGACGAGTTCATGTCCTTTGTGGGGACATGGATGAAGCTGGAAACCATCATTCTCAGCAAACTATCGCAAGGACAAAAAACCAGACACCGCATGCTCTCACTCATAGGTGGGAATTGAACAATGAGAACACATGGACACAGGAAAGGGAACATCACATACCGGGGCCTGTTGTGGGGTAGGGGGAGGTGGGGGGGATAGCATTAGGAGATAAACCTAATGTAAATGACAAGTTAATGGGTGCAGCACACCAACATGGCACATGTATACATATGTAACAAACCTGCACATTGTGCACATGTACCCTAAAACTTAAAGTATAATTTAAAATAATAATAATAAAAAAATGTAAAACTTGAAAAAAAAAAGAATAAGCTATGGCATGGAAACATTAGATGACTTGCCTAAGGACATCAGGCATAGAGAAGAGTTTAGAAGCCAAATCACTTGCCTTTCAATATCATATTTTCCCATATTTGTTTACATTGCTTTATATCATGATTGAACCAGTAAGAGTCTTAACAAACCAAAAATAATAGGCAAGACCAATGTTAACTTAGCTATTTATTGAATAAATCTTTAAGCTCTTATTTAAGCAATAAAAACAAAATGATGAAGCAATGGATGAAGCTGTTCCCATTCTCCAGGAGTTTGCTATCTCATCAGGAAGATAGACCTGTACACAGATAACTTTTATACAATGCCAACAATAAACATGTTCTGAAAGAGGGAGCATTTGATCTGGTTTTCTAAGGATGAATAGGATTTTAGTAGGTGTTTATGAAGTTAGGGAAATTTTCATGAGGGAGCTTCTGAAATGAACAAAGGAACAAAATACATACAGGCATGGAGCTGTGTTCTGGTTGGAGGCAGTGTGGAGAGCTTGCTGTTCTTCATCATGAAGAAAATAAAACCAGACATGGGAGACATATTGGTGGAGGTGTGGTTTTTTTCATAGCAGTGATGAGGAAGGGGTTCTCTGGTTATGTGATATTTGGCCAGGGTCCTGGAGGATGTGGGGAATGAATCAGTCTTGGAAAGAGCCTTCTAGGCTGAGGGAATGGTAAGTACCAAGGCTTTGAGGCTCTGAGGAGGAATTTGTGGAGAAAGCAAGAGTTCAATGTGGATAAAGAGAACAAGAGAGAAGAGGAGCTAAAGGAAAGCAGTTTGAAGAGTTAGAGACCGTCAGATCATTACTGTCAGATCATTCATGCCATGGTAAGGCATTGAACATATTATCAGTGTCATAGGAAGTGGATTTTGAGCAGGTGATTTATGCTTTTAAATGATCACTCTGGCTGCTCTGAAGAAAAGATATTGGTTGAGCAAGTAGGGAGTTGAGAAGTTAGAGGTAATGCTGACCTAGATCAGGTGGGACTAGACTAGGATGGCTGTAGTGATAATTTAACCCCTTTACCCCATGTCTGTCTTGAAAAGATGTTTAAATACAAATAATGGTGGGATCTGTATACTGGCTATGAATCAGCCAGTTTGGGGGAAACATTTTTAAATAGTACTTTTGACACCCACAATTCACACTATGAATATGGCTATGTACTAAGGAAAATGGAAGCTTTTAATATTTCCATGAGAGAAGACTTAATAATTTTTATAATTTACATTTCAAAATAATGTCCATCAGGAAATATTATGTTTACCCATTATTATTCGTGCTGAAATACAATTCTATTGCTTCCTCTAGTACCATATGCTTGTTTTTCAGGTTATAATAAAATAGTCTCAAAATTATGTTAGGATTTCAGCTGTTTTACATGAGCTAGTACTTTTTGTAGCATTAATGTCAATGCCAATTAGAGAACATGACTGAAAAGTAGGCAGGTCAGAATCACCAAAGGAAATGAAGATTGCCAATAGTATTTATGAAGCACGAAGGGCAATTTGGTTTAACCATACAATAATGGTGATTGGCTCATAGGCTTTTTCTATAATGGTATGGAAAATAAACTTATTCCTGTGTTCTTAAATGATTTTTGCTAATGAGAGAATTGACATATATGTTACTTGGAGAAATAGCCTTTTATTTTAAAACTTTGAGAACTGGCAGAAATAAAGGCAATCAAATGCTCTGTGAACAGAAATGCAGTTGTTAATGACAATTAAAAGGGATTTGAAAAACTATGGTGCAATGTTCACCACAGTGAAAAATGAAGTATCCAGTCAGGCATAACCTATGGCACCATTCAGTAGTATGTTGCCAACGGGATATAACATATTTTAGATGCTGGATTAAATCTTGATTGAAACTCTTTTGACAACTTTAAATATTTATGAAAAAAATGCGAAAGTTTGGAAATTAAGGAAAATAGTCATAGGAATAGTTTATTATTTAGGATAATAAAACTGTAAAGAGAGAAACATAACAAGATGTGTTTGCACTTATACTTTTATGATATTGATGAATGACTCTTAATCTATTTAACATCTGGTGAAGGCTTGGCTGTAAGGAGCTCAATAAAAGTTGGATAAATATTATATTAGTCTGTTCTCTTGCTGCTAATAAAGACATACCCAAGACTGGGTAATTTACAGAGAAAAAGAGGTTTGATGCACTCACAGTTTCACATGGCTGGGGAGGTCCCATAATCATGGTGGAAGGCAAAGGAGGAGCAAAGTCACATCTTACATGGCAGCAAGAAAGAAAGCATTGCAGGGGAACTGCCCTTTTATAAAACCATCAGCTCTCATGAGACTTATTCACTATCATGAGAAAAGCACAGTAAAAAACAAAACAAAACAAAAACAGCTCCCATGATTCAATTACCTCCCATGGGGTCCCTTCCAGGACACTTGGGGATTATAGGAGCTACAATGAAGGATGAGATATGGGTGGGGACACAGCCAAACCATATCAAATATGGTTAATAGCTCAGGCTGTGGTGTCTGACTGCTGGGGTTTCAATCATAGTCTACAACTTATTAACTGTGTAACCTTAAGGAGTGTTATAAACGAATCTTTGTGTTCCCCTGCCCCCAAATTCATGTTGAAGCCCTACCCCCCAGTGTGGCTGTACTTGAAGATGGGGTCTTTAAGGAAGTCATTAAGGTTAAATACAGTCACAAGTGAGGGGCCCTGGTCTGATAGGATTAGTGTGTCTGTAAGAAGAGACCCAGAGAGCTTGCTTGCTCTCTCTCTTTCTCTCCACACACCACAGAGGAAAGGCCATGTGAAGACTCAGCAAGCTGGCAGCTCTCTGTAAGCAAGGCAGGGATACTTTACCAGACACAGAATTGGCCAGAAATTTTATCTTGGACTTCTAGCCTCCAGAACTGTGAAAAAATAAATTTCTGTTGTTTATGCCATGTAGTCTGTGGCATTTTGTTATAGCAGCTCTAGTGGACTATACAAACAAGCCACCTAATTTATCTGTGCGTTGGATTCCTTACTGTGAAATGGAGATAACAAATAAACCCACCTCCTGGTGTTGCTTTGATGATTAAATGAGCTGAGTGTAACAAGCTCAACTAATGTTAGTTAGTCATAATGATCCAGAATGCAGTTTACTCTTCTTTTTTTTTTAATATCTGGAATAGCGTAAGATAATTTTCTTTGGTGTGTGAGTTTTCTTTTAATGAATTAAACATATTAGGTATATACTTATGTGTAGAAGAATGTATATAAACCTGAGATAGATTTAAATCTATTGCAAAGAATGCTAAATACAGAGGGCTATAGCATGTAAGAAAAGAAAATAAATAACAAAAAAACCTCTGATATGAATTTTGTTTTTTTTGAAGTTATGACTCAAATGTGGCCAAATAGAGAACTGAATATTGTTTTGAAGTGTTCCAGGTTCTTGGAACTGTACTCCAACTGACAACTGCAAACTGCCTGAGACCTCTCAAACAGTGAGCCCTATAAGGACAAACAAACAAAAAGAGCACAGAGTACATGGCTCATTTAGTTACTTTAGCCCTAAATTTTGACTGAAAGTTTTAACTGTATACTATTAACCAATTTAATTTTTTTTGATGAGTTGATATTTCAACATCATGAAAACACAGATTCAGCCAATTTAGTAAACCAAAGGTCAAATCAATCATTTGTTGTCCTAGAAGAGGAAATGAGTAATTGATTTAATTAATTTTGTAGTTTTCCATTGATGGTCCCTGTGAGTTTTAGACAAAGCCCCAATAATGCCAAGGTTTCTATTATTTCTAGTTACTACTTTAACACATTGATATATATCACCGTATAGACAAATTGCTTACTGCCTTAGGTGCTTTGATAAAGTCTTTGGATCCCAGATTTCAAACTAGATGCACTTATATTAGGGTGAGTGGGAATGATGGGTGGGGAGGAGGGTAGAGATAAAGCCACATGTCTCCAAGCATTTGACTCATTGATCTAAGGGAGTTTTTACTATTCTTTAAAGTAAAAAAAATCCTAGGTTGTTGCTGATGTCTTTGAGCTTTGATGGCAGTGTGAAATTCTTGTAAGAAAATAGGAAAGAGGATACTGAAAGAGTATTGATCAAAAATCAGAAACAATATGGGGAAAACAGATGCTCTGAAAAGATTTCTGTTTTCTAATCATTCCTTTCCCTCTTAATTACCAAGTCCTGTTAGTTAGAGGTAGAATAAGATGAAGATGTAAGAGAGAGGGTGAATATAGAATTTCAATGTTATCAATAAATATGTTCTCTGTGTATGTTTTTGTATGTTTTAGTATGATCCTATAAAACTGGGGCTTAGTAGCAGGCAATTCTATAATAGATCACCAATGCATTTCAACAGCATAAATTGTATTCTCATAATGCTTATAATAGAATAATAAAATATTTTAATAAGCACTAGAAAAATCCTAAATGTAAAACCAAGTAATTAAAAACTGAAGGTTTTTTTTTGTTTTGTTTTAATATAATATTTTATTCAATACTAGGCTGCTTAGTGATTGTGGTAATAGTGTGATTCTTTTTTTTATTTTTATTTTTATTTTTTATTATTATTATACTTTAAGTTTTAGGGTACATGTGCACAATGTGCAGGTTAGTTACATATGTATACATGTGCCATGCTGGTGTGCTGCACCCATTAACTCTTCATTTAGCATTAGGTATATCTCATAATGCTATCCCTCCCCACTCCCCCAACCCCACAACAGTTCCCAGAGTGTGATGTTCCCCTTCCTGTGTCCATGTGTTCTCATTGTTCAATTCCCACTCATGAGTGAGAACATGCGGTGTGTGGTTTTTTGTCCTTGTGATAGTTTACTGAGAATGATGATTTCCAATTTCATCCGTGTCCCTACAAAGGACATGAACTCATCATTTTTTATGGCTGCATAGTATTCCATGGTGTATATGTGCCACATTTTCTTAATCCTGTCTATCATTGTTGGACATTTGGATTGGTTCCAAGTCTTTGCTATTGTGAATAGTGCCACAATAAACATACATGTGCATGTGTCTTTATAGCAGCATGATTTATAGTCCTTTGGGTATATACCCAGTAATGGGATGGCTGGGTCAAATGGTATTTCTAGTTCTAGATCCCTGAGGAATGGCCACACTGACTTCCACAATGGTTGAACTAGTTTACAGTCC
This sequence comes from Homo sapiens, assembly GCF_000001405.40. NCBI lineage: Eukaryota > Metazoa > Chordata > Mammalia > Primates > Hominidae > Homo > Homo sapiens. Next base: position 56,552,209 of record NC_000002.12, read on the forward strand.
CACCAACAGTGTAAAAGTGTTCCTATTTCTCCACATCCTCTCCAGCACCTGTTGTTTCCTGACTTTTTAATGATCGCCATTCTAACTGGTGTGAGATGGTATCTCATTGTGGTTTTGATTTGCATTTCTCTGATGGCCAGTGATGATGAGCATTTTTTCATGTGTTTTTTGGCTGCATAAATGTCTTCTTTTGAAAAGTGTCTGTTCATGTCCTTCACCCACTTTTTGATGGGGTTGTTTGTTTTTTTCTTGTAAATTTCTTTGAGTTTATTGTAGATTCTGGATATTAGCCCTTTGTCAGATGATTAGGTTGCGAAAATTTTCTCCCATTTTGTAGGTTGCCTGTTCACTCTGATGGTAGTTTCTTTTGCTGTGCAGAAGCTCTTTAGTTTAATTAGATCCCATTTGTCAATTTTGGCTTTCATTGCCATTCCTTTTGGTGTTTTAGACATGAAGTCCTTGCCCATGCCTATGTCCTGAATGGTAATGCGTATGTTTTCTTCTAGGGTTTTTATGGTTTTAGGTCTAATGTCTAAGTCTTTAAGCCATCTTGAATTAATTTTTGTATAAGGTGTAAGGAAGCGATCCAGTTTCAGCTTTCTACATATGACTAGCCAGTTTTCCCAGCACCATTTATTAAATAGGGAATCCTTTCCCCATTTCTTGCTTTTCTCAGGTTTGTCAAAGATCAGATAGTTGTAGATATGCAGCATTATTTCTGAGGGCTCTGTTCTGTTCCATTGATCTATATTTCTGTTTTGGTACCAGTACCATGCTGTTTTGGTTACTGTAGCCTTGTAGTATAGTTTGAAGTCAGGTAGTGTGATATCTTCAGCTTTGTTCTTTTGGCTTAGGATTGACTTGGTGATGCAGGCTCTTTTTTGGTGCCATATGAACTTTAAAGCAGTTTTTTCCAGTTCTGTGAAGAAAGTCATTGGTAACTTGATGGGGATGGCATTGAATCTATGAATTACCTTGGGCAGTATGGCCATTTTCACGATACTGATTCTTCCTACCCATGAGCATGGAATGTTCTTCCATTTGTTTGTATCCTCTTCTATTTCATTGCGCAGTGGTTTGTAGTTCTCCTTGAAGAAGTCCTTCACATCCCTTGTAAGTTGGATTCCTAAGTATTTTATTCTCTTTGAAGCAATTGTGAATGGGAGTTCACTCATGATTTGGCTCTCTGTTTGTCTGTTATTGGTGTATAGGAATGCTTGTGATTTTTGTACATTGATTTTGTATCCTGAGACTTTGCTGAAGTTGCTTATCAGCTTAAGGAGATTTTGGGCTGAGACAATGGGGTTTTCTAGATATACAATCATGTAGTCTGCAAACAGGGACAATTTGACTTCCTCTTTTCCTAATTGAATACCCTTTATTTCCTTCTCCTGCCTAATTGCCCTGGCCAGAACTTCCAACACTACGTTAAATAGAAGTGGTGAGAGAGGGCATCCCTGTCTTGTGCCAGTTTTCAAAGGGAATGCTTCCAGTTTTTGCCCATTCAGTATGATATTGGCTGTGGGTTTGTCATAAATAGCTCTTATTATTTTGAGATACGTCCCATCAATCCCTAATTTATTGAGAGTTTTTAGCATGAAGGGTTGTTGAATTTTGTCAAAGGCCTTTTCTGCATCTATTGAGATAATCATGTGGTTTTTGTCTTTGGTTCTGTTTATATGCTGGATTACATTTATTGATTTGCGTATATTGAACCAGCCTTGCATCCCAGGGATGAAGCCTACTTGATTATGGTGGATAAGCTTTTCAATGTGCTGCT